>NC_000016.10:36969487-37269487 GCF_000001405.40 Homo sapiens
CTTTAGACAGAGCAGATTCAAAACACTCTTTTTCTGCAATTTGCAAGTGGAGACTTCAAGCGCTTTGAGGCCAAAGGCAGAAAAGGAAATATCTTCGTATAAAAACCCGACAGAATCATTCTCAGAAACTGCTCTGTGATGTGTGCGTTCAACTCACAGAGTTTAACTTTTCTTTTCATTCAGCAGTTTGGAAACACTCTGTTTGTAAAGTCTGCAAGTGGATATCTTGGCCTCTTAGAGGCCTTCGTTGGAAACGGGTTTTTTCATGTAAGGTTAGACAGAGGAATTCCCAGTAACTTCCTTGTGTTGTGTGCATTCAACTCACAGAGTTGAATGATTCTTTACACAGAGCAGTTTTGAGACACTCTTTTGGTGGAATTTGTAAGTGGAGAATTCAGCCGCTTTGAGGTCAACGGTAGAAAAGGAAATATCTTCGTATAAAAACTAGACAGAATGATTCTCAGAAACTGTTTTGTGATGTGTGCGTTCAACTCACAGAGTTTAACCTTTCTTTTCAAAGAGCAGTTAGGAAACACTCTGTTTGTAAAGTCTGCAAGTGGATATTCAGACCTCTTTGAGGCCTTCGTTGGAAACGGGATTTCTTCATATTATGCTAGACAGATGAATTCTCAGTAACTTCCTTGTGTTGTGTGTATTCAACTCACAGAGTTGAACGATCCTTTACACAGAGCAGATTTGAAACACTGTTTTTCTGGAATTTGCAAGTGGAGATTTCAGCCGCTTTGAGGTCAATGGTAGAAAAGGAAATATCTTCGTATAAAAACTAGACAGAATGATTCTCAGAAACTCCTTTGTGATGTGTGCGTTCAACTCACAGAGTTTAACCTTTCTTTTCACAGAGCAGTTAGGAAACACTCTGTTTGTGAAGCCTGCCAGTGGATATTCGGACCTCTTTGAGGCCTTCGTTGGAAACGGGATTTCTTCATATTATGCTAGACAGAAGATTTCTCAGTAACTTCTTTGTGTTGTGTGTATGCAACTCACAGAGTTCAACCTTCCTTTAGACAGAGCAGATTTGAAACACTCTTTTTGTGGAATTTGCAAGTGGAGATTTCAAGCGCTTCGATGCCAATGGTAGAAAAGGAAATATCTTCGTATAAAAACAAGACAAACTCGTTCCCAGACACTGCGTAGTGATGTGTGTGTTTAACTCACAGAGTTTAACCTTTCTTTTCATACAGCATTCTGGAAACCCTCTGTTTGTAAAGTCTGCAAGTGGATATTTGGACCTCTTAGATGCCTTCGTTGGGAACGGGATTTCTTCATATAATGCTAGAGGGAAGAATTCTTAGTAACTTCTTTGTGTTGTGTGTATTCAACTGACAGAGTTGAACCTTCCTTTAGACAGAGCAGATTTGAAAGTCTCTTTTTGTGGAATTTGCAAGTGGAGATTTCAAGCGCTTTGAGGCCAAAAGCAGAAAAGGAAATATTTTCCTATAAAAACTAGACAGAATCTTTCTCAGAAACTGCTCTGGGATGTGTGCGTTCAACTCACAGAGTTTAACTATTCTTTCCATTCAGCAGTTTGGAAACACTCTGTTTGGAAAGTCTGCACGTGGATATTTTGACCTCTTTGAGGCCTTCGTTGGAAACGGGTTTTTTTCATGTAAGGCTAGACAGAAGAAATCTCAGTAACTTCCTTGTGTTGTGTGTATTCAACTGACAGAGTTGAACCTTCCTTTAGACAGAGCAGATTCGAAACACTCTTTTTCTGCAATTTGCAAGTGGAGACTTCAAGCGCTTTGAGGCCAAAGGCAGAAAAGGAAATATCTTCGTATAAAAACCCGACAGAATCATTCTCAGAAACTGCTCTGTGATGTGTGCGTTCAACTCACAGAGTTTAACTTTTCTTTTCATTCAGCAGTTTGGAAACACTCTGTTTGTAAAGTCTGCAAGTGGATATCTTGGCCTCTTAGAGGCCTTCGTTGGAAACGGGTTTTTTCATGTAAGGTTAGACAGAGGAATTCCCAGTAACTTCCTTGTGTTGTGTGCATTCAACTCACAGAGTTGAATGATTCTTTACACAGAGCAGATTTGAGACACTCTTTTGGTGGAATTTGTAAGTGGAGAATTCAGCCGCTTTGAGGTCAACGGTAGAAAAGGAAATATCTTCGTATAAAAACTAGACAGAATGATTCTCAGAAACTGTTTTGTGATGTGTGCTTTCAACTCACAGAGTTTAACCTTTCTTTTCAAAGAGCAGTTAGGAAACACTCTGTTTGTAAAGTCTGCAAGTGGATATTCAGACCTCTTTGAGGCCTTCGTTGGAAACGGGATTTCTTCATATTATGCTAGACAGATGAATTCTCAGTAACTTCCTTGTGTTGTGTGTATTCAACTCACAGAGTTGAACGATCCTTTACACAGAGCAGATTTGAAACACTGTTTTTCTGGAATTTGCAAGTGGAGATTTCAGCCGCTTTGAGGTCAATGGTAGAAAAGGAAATATCTTCGTATAAAAACTAGACAGAATGATTCTCAGAAACTCCTTTGTGATGTGTGCGTTCAACTCACAGAGTTTAACCTTTCTTTTCACAGAGCAGTTAGGAAACACTCTGTTTGTGAAGCCTGCCAGTGGATAATCGGACCTCTTTGAGGCCTTGGTTGGAAACGGGATTTCTTCATATTATGCTAGACAGAAGATTTCTCAGTAACTTCTTTGTGTTGTGTGTATGCAACTCACAGAGTTCAACCTTCCTTTAGACAGAGCAGATTTGAAACACTCTTTTTGTGGAATTTGCAAGTGGAGATTTCAAGCGCTTCGATGCCAATGGTAGAAAAGGAAATATCTTCGTATAAAAACAAGACAAACTCGTTCCCAGACACTGCGTAGTGATGTGTGTGTTTAACTCACAGAGTTTAACCTTTCTTTTCATACAGCATTCTGGAAACCCTGTGTTTGTAAAGTCTGCAAGTGGATATTTGGACCTCTTAGATGCCTTCGTTGGAAACGGGATTTCTTCATATAATGCTAGAGGGAAGAATTCTTAGTAACTTCTTTGTGTTGTGTGTATTCAACTGACAGAGTTGAACCTTCCTTTAGACAGAGCAGATTTGAAAGTCTCTTTTTGTGGAATTTGCAAGTGGAGATTTCAAGCGCTTTGAGGCCAAAAGCAGAAAAGGAAATATTTTCCTATAAAAACTCGACAGAATCTTTCTCAGAAACTGCTCTGGGATGTGTGCGTTCAACTCACAGAGTTTAACTTTTCTTTCCATTCAGCAGTTTGGAAACACTCTGTTTGGAAAGTCTGCACGTGGATATTTTGACCTCTTTGAGGCCTTCGTTGGAAACGGGTTTTTTTCATGTAAGGCTAGACAGAAGAAATCTCAGTAACTTCCTTGTGTTGTGTGTATTCAACTGACAGAGTTGAACCTTCCTTTAGACAGAGCAGATTCGAAACACTCTTTTTCTGCAATTTGCAAGTGGAGACTTCAAGCGCTTTGAGGCCAAAGGCAGAAAAGGAAATATCTTCGTATAAAAACCCGACAGAATCATTCTCAGAAACTGCTCTGGGATGTGTGCGTTCAACTCACAGAGTTTAACTTTTCTTTTCATTCAGCAGTTTGGAAACACTCTGTTTGTAAAGTCTGCAAGTGGATATCTTGGCCTCTTAGAGGCCTTCGTTGGAAACGGGTTTTTTCATGTAAGGTTAGACAGAGGAATTCCCAGTAACTTCCTTGTGTTGTGTGCATTCAACTCACAGAGTTGAATGATTCTTTACACAGAGCAGATTTGAGACACTCTTTGGGTGGAATTTGTAAGTGGAGAATTCAGCCGCTTTGAGGTCAACGGTAGAAAAGGAAATACCTTCGTATAAAAACTAGACAGAATGATTCTCAGAAACTGTTTTGTGATGTGTGCGTTCAACTCACAGAGTTTAACCTTTCTTTTCAAAGAGCAGTTAGGAAACACTCTGTAAAGTCTGCAAGTGGATATTCAGACCTCTTTGAGGCCTTCGTTGGAAACGGGATTTCTTCATATAATGCTAGAGGGAAGAATTCTTAGTAACTTCTTTGTGTTGTGTGTATTCAACTGACAGAGTTGAACCTTCCTTTAGACAGAGCAGATTTGAAAGTCTCTTTTTGTGGAATTTGCAAGTGGAGATTTCAAGCGCTTTGAGGCCAAAAGCAGAAAAGGAAATATTTTCCTATAAAAACTAGACAGAATCTTTCTCAGAAACTGCTCTGGGATGTGTGCGTTCAACTCACAGAGTTTAACTTTTCTTTTCATTCAGCAGTTTGGAAACACTCTGTTTGGAAAGTCTGCACGTGGATATTTTGACCTCTTTGAGGCCTTCGTTGGAAACGGGTTTTTTTCATGTAAGGCTAGACAGAAGAAATCTCAGTAACTTCCTTGTGTTGTGTGTATTCAACTGACAGAGTTGAACCTTCCTTTAGACAGAGCAGATTCGAAACACTCTTTTTCTGCAATTTGCAAGTGGAGACTTCAAGCGCTTTGAGGCCAAAGGCAGAAAAGGAAATATCTTCGTATAAAAACCCGACAGAATCATTCTCAGAAACTGCTCTGTGATGTGTGCGTTCAACTCACAGAGTTTAACTTTTCTTTTCATTCAGCAGTTTGGAAACACTCTGTTTGTAAAGTCTGCAAGTGGATATCTTGGCCTCTTAGAGGCCTTCGTTGGAAACGGGTTTTTTCATGTAAGGTTAGACAGAGGAATTCCCAGTAACTTCCTTGTGTTGTGTGCATTCAACTCACAGCAGTTGAATGATTCTTTACACAGAGCAGATTTGAGACACTCTTTTGGTGGAATTTGTAAGTGGAGAATTCAGCTGCTTTGAGGTCAACGGTAGAAAAGGAAATATCTTCGTATAAAAACTAGACAGAATGATTCTCAGAAACTGTTTTGTGATGTGTGCGTTCAACTCACAGAGTTTAACCTTTCTTTTCAAAGAGCAGTTAGGAAACACTCTGTTTGTAAAGTCTGCAAGTGGATATTCAGACCTCTTTGAGGCCTTCGTTGGAAACGGGATTTCTTCATATTATGCTAGACAGATGAATTCTCAGTAACTTCCTTGTGTTGTGTGTATTCAACTCACAGAGTTAAACGATCCTTTACACAGAGCAGATTTGAAACACTGTTTTTCTGGAATTTGCAAGTGGAGATTTCAGCCGCTTTGAGGTCAATGGTAGAAAAGGAAATATCTTCGTATAAAAACTAGACAGAATGATTCTCAGAAACTCCTTTGTGATGTGTGCGTTCAACTCACAGAGTTTAACCTTTCTTTTCACAGAGCAGTTAGGAAACACTCTGTTTGTGAAGCCTGCCAGTGGATATTCGGACCTCTTTGAGGCCTTCGTTGGAAACGGGATTTCTTCATATTATGCTAGACAGAAGATTTCTCAGTAACTTCTTTGTGTTGTGTGTATGCAACTCACAGAGTTCAACCTTCCTTTAGACAGAGCAGATTTGAAACACTCTTTTTGTGGAATTTGCAAGTGGAGATTTCAAGCGCTTCGATGCCAATGGTAGAAAAGGAAATATCTTTGTATAAAAACAAGACAAACTCGTTCCCAGACACTGCGTAGTGATGTGTGTGTTTAACTCACAGAGTTTCACCTTTCTTTTCATACAGCATTCTGGAAACCCTCTGTTTGTAAAGTCTGCAAGTGGATATTTGGACCTCTTAGATGCCTTCGTTGGAAACGGGATTTCTTCATATAATGCTAGAGGGAAGAATTCTTAGTAACTTCTTTGTGTTGTGTGTATTCAACTGACAGAGTTGAACCTTCCTTTAGACAGACCAGATTTGAAAGTCTCTTTTTGTGGAATTTGCAAGTGGAGATTTCAAGCGCTTTGAGGCCAAAAGCAGAAAAGGAAATATTTTCCTATAAAAACTAGACAGAATCATTCTCAGAAACTGCTCTGTGATGTGTGCGTTCAACTCACAGAGTTTAACTTTTCTTTTCATTCAGCAGTTTGGAAAAACTCTGTTTGTAAAGTCTGTCTTGGATATTTTGACCTCTTTGAGGCCTTCGTTGGAAACGGGTTTTTTTCATGTAAGGCTAGACAGAGGAAATCTCAGTAACTTCCTTGTGTTGTGTGTATTCAACTGACAAGGTTGAACCTTCCTTTAGACAGAGCAGATTCGAAACACTCTTTTTCTGCAATTTGCAAGTGGAGACTTCAAGCGCTTTGAGGCCAAAGGCAGAAAAGGAAATATCTTCGTATAAAAACCCGACAGAATCATTCTCAGAAACTGCTCTGTGATGTGTGCGTTCAACTCACAGAGTTTAACTTTTCTTTTCATTTAGCAGTTTGGAAACACTCTGTTTGTAAAGTCTGCAAGTGGATATATTGGCCTCTTAGAGGCCTTCGTTGGAAACGGGTTTTTTTCATGTAAGGTTAGACAGAGGAATTCCCAGTAACTTCCTTGTGTTGTGTGCATTCAACTCACAGAGTTGAATGATTCTTTACACAGAGCAGATTTGAGACACTCTTTTGGTGGAATTTGTAAGTGGAGAATTCAGCCGCTTTGAGGTCAATGGTAGAAAAGGAAATATCTTCGTATAAAAACTAGACAGAATGATTCTCAGAAACTCCTTTTTGATGTGTGCGTTCAACTCACAGAGTTTAACCTTTCTTTTCAAAGAGCAGTTAGGAAACACTCTGTTTGTAAAGTCTGCAAGTGCATATTCAGACCTCTTTGAGGCCTTCGTTGCAAACGGGATTTCTTCATATTATGCTAGACAGAAGAATTCTCAGTAACTTCCTTGTGTTGTGTGTATTCAACTCACAGAGTTGAACGATCCTTTACACAGAGCAGATTTGAAACACTGTTTTTCTGGAATTTGCAAGTGGAGATTTCAGCCGCTTTGAGGTCAATGGTAGAAAAGGAAATATCTTCGTATAAAAACTAGACAGAATGATTCTCAGAAACTCCTTTGTGATGTGTGCGTTCAACTCACAGAGTTTAACCTTTCTTTTCACAGAGCAGTTAGGAAACACTCTGTTTGTGAAGTCTGCCAGTGGATATTCGGACCTCTTTGAGGCCTTCGTTGGAAAAGGGATTTCTTCATATTATGCTAGACAGATTTCTCAGTAACTACTTTGTGTTGTGTGTATGCAACTCACAGAGTTCATCCTTCCTTTAGACAGAGCAGATTTGAAACACTCTTTTTGTGGAATTTGCAAGTGGAGATTTCAAGGGCTTCGACGCCAATGGTCGAAAAGGAAATATCTTCGTATAAAAACAAGACAAAATCATTCCCAGAAACTGCGTAGTGATGTGTGTGTTTAACTCACAGACTTTAACCTTTCTTTTCATACAGAATTCTGGAAACCCTCTGTTTGTAAAGTCTGCAAGTGGATATTTGGACCTCTTAGATGCCTTCGTTGGAAACGGGATTTCGTCATATAATGGTAGAGGGAAGAATTCTCTGTAACTTCTTTGTGTTGTGTGTATTCAACTGACAGAGTTGAACCTTCCTTTAGACAGAGCAGATTTGAAAGTCTCTTTTTGTGGAATTTGCAAGTGGAGATTTCAAGCGCTTTGAGGCCAAAAGCAGAAAAGGAAATATTTTCCTATAAAAACTCGACAGAATCATTCTCAGAAACTGCTCTGTGATGTGTGCGTTCAACTCACAGAGTTTAACTTTTCTTTTCATTCAGCAGTTTGGAAACACTCTGTTTGTAACGTCTGCCGTGGATATTTTGACCTCTTTGAGGCCTTCGTTGGAAACGGGTTTTTTTCATGTAAGGTTAGACAGAAGAAATCTCAGTAACTTCCTTGTGTTGTGTGTATTCAACTGACAGAGTTGAACCTTCCTTTAGACAGAGCAGATTCCAAACACTCTTTTTCTGCAATTTCCAAGTGGAGACTTCAAGCGCTTTGAGGCCAAAGGCAGAAAAGGAAATATCTTCGTATAAAAACCCGACAGAATCATTCTCAGAAACTGCTCTGTGATGTGTGCGTTCAACTCACAGAGTTTAACTTTTCTTTTCATTCAGCAGTTTGGAAACACTCTGTTTGTAAAGTCTGCAAGTGGATAACTTGGCCTCTTAGAGGCCTTCGTTGGAAGCGGGTTTTTTCATGTAAGGTTAGACAGAGGAATTCCCACTAACTTCCTTGTGTTGTGTGCATTCAACTCACAGAGTTGAATGATTCTTTACACAGAGCAGATTTGAGACACTCTTTTGGTGGAATTTGTAAGTGGAGAATTCAGCCGCTTTGATGTCAACGGTAGAAAAGGAAATATCTTCGTATAAAAACTAGACAGAATGATTCTCAGAAACTGTTTTGTGATGTGTGCGTTCAACTCACAGAGTTTAACCTTTCTTTTCAAAGAGCAGTTAGGAAACACTCTGTTTGTAAAGTCTGCAAGAGGATATTCAGACCTCTTTGAGGCCTTCGTTGGAAACGGGATTTCTTCATATTATGCTAGACAGATGAATTCTCAGTAACTTCCTTGTGTTGTGTGTATTCAACTCACAGAGTTGAACGATCCTTTACACAGAGCAGATTTGAAACACTGTTTTTCTGGAATTTGCAAGTGGAGATTTCAGCCGCTTTGAGGTCAATGGTAGAAAAGGAAATATCTTCGTATAAAAACTAGACAGAATGATTCTCAGAAACTCCTTTGTGATGTGTGCGTTCAACTCACAGAGTTTAACCTTTCTTTTCACAGAGCAGTTAGGAAACACTCTGTTTGTGAAGCCTGCCAGTGGATATTCGGACCTCTTTGAGGCCTTCGTTGGAAACGGGATTTCTTCATATTATGCTATTCAGAAGATTTCTCAGTAACTTCTTTGTGTTGTGTGTATGCAACTCACAGAGTTCAACCTTCCTTTAGACAGAGCAGATTTGAAACACTCTTTTTGTGGAATTTGCAAGTGGAGATTTCAAGCGCTTCGATGCCAATGGTAGAAAAGGAAATATCTTCGTATAAAAACAAGACAAACTCGTTCCCAGACACTGCGTAGTGATGTGTGTGTTTAACTCACAGAGTTTAACCTTTCTTTTCATACAGCATTCTGGAAACCCTGTGTTTGTAAAGTCTGCAAGTGGATATTTGGACCTCTTAGATGCCTTCGTTGGAAACGGGATTTCTTCATATAATGCTAGAGGGAAGAATTCTTAGTAACTTCTTTGTGTTGTGTGTATTCAACTGACAGAGTTGAACCTTCCTTTAGACAGAGCAGATTTGAAAGTCTCTTTTTGTGGAATTTGCAAGTGGAGATTTCAAGCGCTTTGAGGCCAAAAGCAGAAAAGGAAATATTTTCCTATAAAAACTAGACAGAATCTTTCTCAGAAACTGCTCTGGGATGTGTGCGTTCAACTCACAGAGTTTAACTTTTCTTTTCATTCAGCAGTTTGGAAACACTCTGTTTGGAAAGTCTGCACGTGGATATTTTGACCTCTTTGAGGCCTTCGTTGGAAACGGGTTTTTTTCATGTAAGGCTAGACAGAAGAAATCTCAGTAACTTCCTTGTGTTGTGTGTATTCAACTGACAGAGTTGAACCTTCCTTTAGACAGAGCAGATTCGAAACACTCTTTTTCTGCAATTTGCAAGTGGAGACTTCAAGCGCTTTGAGGCCAAAGGCAGAAAAGGAAATATCTTCGTATAAAAACCCGACAGAATCATTGTCAGAACTGCTCTGTGATGTGTGCGTTCAACTCACAGAGTTTAACTTTTCTTTTCATTCAGCAGTTTGGAAACACTCTGTTTGTAAAGTCTGCAAGTGGATATCTTGGCCTCTTAGAGGCCTTCGTTGGAAACGGGTTTTTTCATGTAAGGTTAGACAGAGGAATTCCCAGTAACTTCCTTGTGTTGTGTGCATTCAACTCACAGAGTTGAATGATTCTTTACACAGAGCAGATTTGAGACACTCTTTTGGTGGAATTTGTAAGTGGAGAATTCAGCCGCTTTGAGGTCAACGGTAGAAAAGGAAATATCTTCGTATAAAAACTAGACAGAATGATTCTCAGAAACTGTTTTGTGATGTGTGCATTCAACTCACAGAGTTTAACCTTTCTTTTCAAAGAGCAGTTAGGAAACACTCTGTTTGTAAAGTCTGCAAGTGGATATTCAGACCTCTTTGAGGCCTTCGTTGGAAACGGGATTTCTTCATATTATGCTAGACAGATGAATTCTCAGTAACTTCCTTGTGTTGTGTGTATTCAACTCACAGAGTTGAACGATCCTTTACACAGAGCAGATTTGAAACACTGTTTTTCTGGAATTTGCAAGTGGAGATTTCAGCCGCTTTGAGGTCAATGGTAGAAAAGGAAATATCTTCGTATAAAAACTAGACAGAATGATTCTCAGAAACTCCTTTGTGATGTGTGCGTTCAACTCACAGAGTTTAACCTTTCTTTTCACAGAGCAGTTAGGAAACACTCTGTTTGTGAAGCCTGCCAGTGGATATTCGGACCTCTTTGAGGCCTTCGTTGGAAACGGGATTTCTTCATATTATGCTAGACAGAAGATTTCTCAGTAACTTCTTTGTGTTGTGTGTATGCAACTCACAGAGTTCAACCTTCCTTTAGACAGAGCAGATTTGAAACACTCTTTTTGTGGAATTTGCAAGTGGAGATTTCAAGCGCTTCGATGCCAATGGTAGAAAAGGAAATATCTTTGTATAAAAACAAGACAAACTCGTTCCCAGACACTGCGTAGTGATGTGTGTGTTTAACTCACAGAGTTTCACCTTTCTTTTCATACAGCATTCTGGAAACCCTCTGTTTGTAAAGTCTGCAAGTGGATATTTGGACCTCTTAGATGCCTTCGTTGGAAACGGGATTTCTTCATATAATGCTAGAGGGAAGAATTCTTAGTAACTTCTTTGTGTTGTGTGTATTCAACTGACAGAGTTGAACCTTCCTTTAGACAGAGCAGATTTGAAAGTCTCTTTTTGTGGAATTTGCAAGTGGAGATTTCAAGCGCTTTGAGGCCAAAAGCAGAAAAGGAAATATTTTCCTATAAAAACTAGAGAGAATCATTCTCAGAAACTGCTCTGTGATGTGTGTGTTCAACTCACAGAGTTTAACTTTCTTTTCATTCAGCAGTTTGGAAACACTCTGTTTGGAAAGTCTGCACGTGGATATTTTGACCTCTTTGAGGCCTTCGTTGGAAACGGGTTTTTTTCATGTAAGGCTAGACAGAAGAAATCTCAGTAACTTCCTTGTGTTGTGTGTATTCAACTGACAGAGTTGAACCTTCCTTTAGACAGAGCAGATTCGAAGCACTCTTTTTCTGCAATTTGCAAGTGGAGACTTCAAGCGCTTTGAGGCCAAAGGCAGAAAAGGAAATATCTTCGTATAAAAACCCGACAGAATCATTCTCAGAAACTGCTCTGTGATGTGTGCGTTCAACTCACAGAGTTTAACTTTTCTTTTCATTCAGCAGTTTGGAAACACTCTGTTTGTAAAGTCTGCAAGTGGATATCTTGGCCTCTTAGAGGCCTTCGTTGGAAACGGGTTTTTTCATGTAAGGTTAGACAGAGGAATTCCCAGTAACTTCCTTGTGTTGTATGCATTCAACTCACAGAGTTGAATGATTCTTTACACAGAGCAGATTTGAGACACTCTTTTGGTGGAATTTGTAAGTGGAGAATTCAGCCGCTTTGAGGTCAACGGTAGAAAAGGAAATATCTTCGTATAAAAACTAGAAAGAATGATTCTCAGAAACTGTTTTGTGATGTGTGCTTTCAACTCACAGAGTTTAACCTTTCTTTTCAAAGAGCAGTTAGGAAACACTCTGTTTGTAAAGTCTGCAAGTGGATATTCAGACCTCTTTGAGGCCTTCGTTGGAAACGGGATTTCTTCATATTATGCTAGACAGATGAATTCTCAGTAACTTCCTTGTGTTGTGTGTATTCAACTCACAGAGTTAAACGATCCTTTACACAGAGCAGATTTGAAACACTGTTTTTCTGGAATTTGCAAGTGGAGATTTCAGCCGCTTTGAGGTCAATGGTAGAAAAGGAAATATCTTCGTATAAAAACTAGACAGAATGATTCTCAGAAACTCCTTTGTGATGTGTGCGTTCAACTCACAGAGTTTAACCTTTCTTTTCACAGAGCAGTTAGGAAACACTCTGTTTGTGAAGCCTGCCAGTGGATATTCGGACCTCTTTGAGGCCTTCGTTGGAAACGGGATTTCTTCATATTATGCTAGACAGAAGATTTCTCAGTAACTTCTTTGTGTTGTGTGTATGCAACTCACAGAGTTCAACCTTCCTTTAGACAGAGCAGATTTGAAACACTCTTTTTGTGGAATTTGCAAGTGGAGATTTCAAGCGCTTCGATGCCAATGGTAGAAAAGGAAATATCTTCGTATAAAAACAAGACAAACTCGTTCCCAGACACTGCGTAGTGATGTGTGTGTTTAACTGACAGAGTTTAACCTTTCTTTTCATACAGCATTCTGGAAACCCTGTGTTTGTAAAGTCTGCAAGTGGATATTTGGACCTCTTAGATGCCTTCGTTGGAAACGGGATTTCTTCATATAATGCTAGAGGGAAGAATTCTTAGTAACTTCTTTGTGTTGTGTGTATTCAACTGACAGAGTTGAACCTTCCTTTAGACAGAGCAGATTTGAAAGTCTCTTTTTGTGGAATTTGCAAGTGGAGATTTCAAGCGCTTTGAGGCCAAAAGCAGAAAAGGAAATATTTTCCTATAAAAACTAGACAGAATCTTTCTCAGAAACTGCTCTGGGATGTGTGCGTTCAACTCACAGAGTTTAACTTTTCTTTTCATTCAGCAGTTTGGAAACACTCTGTTTGGAAAGTCTGCACGTGGATATTTTGACCTCTTTGAGGCCTTCGTTGGAAACGGGTTTTTTTCATGTAAGGCTAGACAGAAGAAATCTCAGTAACTTCCTTGTGTTGTGTGTATTCAACTGACAGAGTTGAACCTTCCTTTAGACAGAGCAGATTCGAAACACTCTTTTTCTGCAATTTGCAAGTGGAGACTTCAAGCGCTTTGAGGCCAAAGGCAGAAAAGGAAATATCTTCGTATAAAAACCCGACAGAATCATTCTCAGAAACTGCTCTGTGATGTGTGCGTTCAACTCACAGAGTTTAACTTTTCTTTTCATTCAGCAGTTTGGAAACACTCTGTTTGTAAAGTCTGCAAGTGGATATCTTGGCCTCTTAGAGGCCTTCGTTGGAAACGGGTTTTTTCATGTAAGGTTAGACAGAGGAATTCCCAGTAACTTCCTTGTGTTGTGTGCATTCAACTCACAGAGTTGAATGATTCTTTACACAGAGCAGATTTGAGACACTCTTTGGGTGGAATTTGTAAGTGGAGAATTCAGCCTCTTTGAGGTCAACGGTAGAAAAGGAAATACCTTCGTATAAAAACTAGACAGAATGATTCTCAGAAACTGTTTTGTGATGTGTGCGTTCAACTCACAGAGTTTAACCTTTCTTTTCAAAGAGCAGTTAGGAAACACTCTGTAAAGTCTGCAAGTGGATATTCAGACCTCTTTGAGGCCTTCGTTGGAAACGGGATTTCTTCATATAATGCTAGAGGGAAGAATTCTTAGTAACTTCTTTGTGTTGTGTGTATTCAACTGACAGAGTTGAACCTTCCTTTAGACAGAGCAGATTTGAAAGTCTCTTTTTGTGGAATTTGCAAGTGGAGATTTCAAGCGCTTTGAGGCCAAAAGCAGAAAAGGAAATATTTTCCTATAAAAACTAGAGAGAATAATTCTCAGAAACTGCTCTGTGATGTGTGTGTTCAACTCACAGAGTTTAACTTTCTTTTCATTCAGCAGTTTGGAAACACTCTGTTTGGAAAGTCTGCACGTGGATATTTTGACCTCTTTGAGGCCTTCGTTGGAAACGGGTTTTTTTCATGTAAGGCTAGACAGAAGAAATCTCAGTAACTTCCTTGTGTTGTGTGTATTCAACTGACAGAGTTGAACCTTCCTTTAGACAGAGCAGATTCGAAACGCTCTTTTTCTGCAATTTGCAAGTGGAGACTTCAAGCGCTTTGAGGCCAAAGGCAGAAAAGGAAATATCTTCGTATAAAAACCCGACAGAATCATTCTCAGAAACTGCTCTGTGATGTGTGCGTTCAACTCACAGAGTTTAACTTTTCTTTTCATTCAGCAGTTTGGAAACACTCTGTTTGTAAAGTCTGCAAGTGGATATCTTGGCCTCTTAGAGGCCTTCGTGGGAAACGGGTTTTTTCATGTAAGGTTAGACAGAGGAATTCCCAGTAACTTCCTTGTGTTGTGTGCATTCAACTCACAGAGTTGAATGATTCTTTACACAGAGCAGATTTGAGACACTCTTTTGGTGGAATTTGTTAGTGGAGAATTCAGCCGCTTTGAGTTCAACGGTAGAAAAGGAAATATCTTCGTATAAAAACTAGACAGAATGATTCTCAGAAACTGTTTTGTGATGTGTGCGTTCAACTCACAGAGTTTAACCTTTCTTTTCAAAGAGCAGTTAGGAAACACTCTGTTTGTAAAGTCTGCAAGTGGATATTCAGACCTCTTTGAGGCCTTCGTTGGAAACGGGATTTCTTCATATTATGCTAGACAGATGAATTCTCAGTAACTTCCTTGTGTTGTGTGTATTCAACTCACAGAGTTGAACGATCCTTTACACAGAGCAGATTTGAAACACTGTTTTTCTGGAATTTGCAAGTGGAGATTTCAGCCGCTTTGAGGTCAATGGTAGAAAAGGAAATATCTTCGTATAAAAACTAGACAGAATGATTCTCAGAAACTCCTTTGTGATGTGTGCGTTCAACTCACAGAGTTTAACCTTTCTTTTCACAGAGCAGTTAGGAAACACTCTGTTTGTGAAGCCTGCCAGTGGATATTCGGACCTCTTTGAGGCCTTCGTTGGAAACGGGATTTCTTCATATTATGCTAGACAGAAGATTTCTCAGTAACTTCTTTGTGTTGTGTGTATGCAACTTACAGAGTTCAACCTTCCTTTAGAGAGAGCATATTTGAAACACTCTTTTTGTGGAATTTGCAAGTGGAGATTTCAAGCGCTTCGATGCAAATGGTAGAAAAGGAAATATCTTCGTAGAAAAACAAGACAAACTCGTTCCCAGACACTGCGTAGTGATGTGTGTGTTTAACTCACAGAGTTTAACCTTTCTTTTCATACAGCATTCTGGAAACCCTGTGTTTGTAAAGTCTGCAAGTGGATATTTGGACCTCTTAGATGCCTTCGTTGGAAACGGGATTTCTTCATATAATGCTAGAGGGAAGAATTCTTAGTAACTTCTTTGTGTTGTGTGTATTCAACTGACAGAGTTGAACCTTCCTTTAGACAGAGCAGATTTGAAAGTCTCTTTTTGTGGAATTTGCAAGTGGAGATTTCAAGCGCTTTGAGGCCAAAAGCAGAAAAGGAAATATTTTCCTATAAAAACTCGACAGAATCATTCTCAGAAACTGCTCTGTGATGTGTGCGTTCAACTCACAGAGTTTAACTTTTCTTTTCATTCAGCAGTTTGGAAACACTGTTTGGAAAGTCTGCACGTGGATATTTTGACCTCTTTGAGGCCTTCGTTGGAAACGGGTTTTTTTCATGTAAGGCTAGACAGAAGAAATCTCAGTAACTTCCTTGTGTTGTGTGTATTCAACTGACAGAGTTGAACCTTCCTTTAGACAGAGCAGATTCGAAACACTCTTTTTCTGCAATTTGCAAGTGGAGACTTCAAGCGCTTTGAGGCCAAAGGCAGAAAAGGAAATATCTTCGTATAAAAACCCAACAGAATCATTCTCAGAAACTGCTCTGTGATGTGTGCGTTCAACTCACAGAGTTTAACTTTTCTTTTCATTCAGCAGTTTGGAAACACTCTGTTTGTAAAGTCTGCAAGTGGATATCTTGGCCTCTTAGAGGCCTTCGTTGGAAACGGGTTTTTTCATGTAAGGATACACACAGGAATTCCCAGTAACTTCCTTGTGTTGTGTGCATTCAACTCACAGAGTTGAATGATTCTTTACACAGAGCAGTTTTGAGACACTCTTTTGGTGGAATTTGTAAGTGGAGAATTCAGCCGCTTTGAGGTCAACGGTAGAAAAGGAAATATCTTCGTATAAAAACTAGACAGAATGATTCTCAGAAACTGTTTTGTGATGTGTGCGTTCAACTCACAGAGTTTAACCTTTCTTTTCAAAGAGCAGTTAGGAAACACTCTGTTTGTAAAGTCTGCAAGAGGATATTCAGACCTCTTTGAGGCCTTCGTTGGAAACGGGATTTCTTCATATTATGCTAGACAGATGAATTCTCAGTAACTTCCTTGTGTTGTGTGTATTCAACTCACAGAGTTGAACGATCCTTTACACAGAGCAGATTTGAAACACTGTTTTTCTGGAATTTGCAAGTGGAGATTTCAGCCGCTTTGAGGTCAATGGTAGAAAAGGAAATATCTTCGTATAAAAACTAGACAGAATGATTCTCAGAAACTCCTTTGTGATGTGTGCGTTCAACTCACAGAGTTTAACCTTTCTTTTCACAGAGCAGTTAGGAAACACTCTGTTTGTGAAGCCTGCCAGTGGATATGCGGACCTCTTTGAGGCCTTCGTTGGAAACGGGATTTCTTCATATTATGCTAGACAGAAGATTTCTCAGTAACTTCTTTGTGTTGTGTGTATGCAACTCACAGAGTTCAACCTTCCTTTAGACAGAGCAGATTTGAAACACTCTTTTTGTGGAATTTGCAAGTGGAGATTTCAAGCGCTTCGATGCCAATGGTAGAAAAGGAAATATCTTCGTATAAAAACAAGACAAACTCGTTCCCAGACACTGCGTAGTGATGTGTGTGTTTAACTCACAGAGTTTCACCTTTCTTTTCATACAGCATTCTGGAAACCCTCTGTTTGTAAAGTCTGCAAGTGGATATTTGGACCTCTTAGATGCCTTCGTTGCAAACGGGATTTCTTCATATAATGCTAGAGGGAAGAATTCTTAGTAACTTCTTTGTGTTGTGTGTATTCAACTGACAGAGTTGAACCTTCCTTTAGACAGAGCAGATTTGAAAGTCTCTTTTTGTGGAATTTGCAAGTGGAGATTTCAAGCGCTTTGAGGCCAAAAGCAGAAAAGGAAATATTTTCCTATAAAAACTCGACAGAATCTTTCTCAGAAACTGCTCTGGGATGTGTGCGTTCAACTCACAGAGTTTAACTTTTCTTTTCATTCAGCAGTTTGGAAACACTCTGTTTGGAAAGTCTGCACGTGGATATTTTGACCTCTTTGAGGCCTTCGTTGGAAACGGGTTTTTTTCATGTAAGGCTAGACAGAAGAAATCTCAGTAACTTCCTTGTGTTGTGTGTATTCAACTGACAGAGTTGAACCTTCCTTTAGACAGAGCAGATTCGAAACACTCTTTTTCTGCAATTTGCAAGTGGAGACTTCAAGCGCTTTGAGGCCAAAGGCAGAAAAGGATATATCTTCGTATAAAAACCCGACAGAATCATTCTCAGAAACTGCTCTGTGATGTGTGCGTTCAACTCACAGAGTTTAACTTTTCTTTTCATTCAGCAGTTTGGAAACACTCTGTTTGTAAAGTCTGCAAGTGGATATCTTGGCCTCTTAGAGGCCTTCGTTGGAAACGGGTTTTTTCATGTAAGGTTAGACAGAGGAATTCCCAGTAACTTCCTTGTGTTGTGTGCATTCAACTCACAGAGTTGAATGATTCTTTACACAGAGCAGATTTGAGACACTCTTTGGGTGGAATTTGTAAGTGGAGAATTCAGCCGCTTTGAGGGCAACGGTAGAAAAGGAAATATCTTCGTATAAAAACTAGACAGAATGATTCTCAGAAACTGTTTTGTGATGTGTGCTTTCAACTCACAGAGTTTAACCTTTCTTTTCAAAGAGCAGTTAGGAAACACTCTGTTTGTAAAGTCTGCAAGTGGATATTCAGACCTCTTTGAGGCCTTCGTTGGAAACGGGATTTCTTCATATTATGCTAGACAGATGAATTCTCAGTAACTTCCCTTGTGTTGTGTGTATTCAACTCACAGAGTTGAACGATCCTTTACACAGAGCAGATTTGAAACACTGTTTTTCTGGAATTTGCAAGTGGAGATTTCAGCCGCTTTGAGGTCAATGGTAGAAAAGGAAATATCTTCGTATAAAAACTAGACAGAATGATTCTCAGAAACTCCTTTGTGATGTGTGCGTTCAACTCACAGAGTTTAACCTTTCTTTTCACAGAGCAGTTAGGAAACACTCTGTTTGTGAAGCCTGCCAGTGGATATTCGGACCTCTTTCAGGCCTTCGTTGGAAACGGGATTTCTTCATATTATGCTAGACAGAAGATTTCTCAGTAACTTCTTTGTGTTGTGTGTATGCAACTCACAGAGTTCAACCTTCCTTTAGACAGAGCAGATTTGAAACACTCTTTTTGTGGAATTTGCAAGTGGAGATTTCAAGCGCTTCGATGCCAATGGTAGAAAAGGAAATATCTTCGTATAAAAACAAGACAAACTCGTTCCCAGACACTGCGTAGTGATGTGTGTGTTTAACTCACAGAGTTTAACCTTTCTTTTCATACAGCATTCTGGAAACCCTCTGTTTGTAAAGTCTGCAAGTGGATATTTGGACCTCTTAGATGCCTTCGTTGGAAACGGGATTTCTTCATATAATGCTAGAGGGAAGAATTCTTAGTAACTTCTTTGTGTTGTGTGTATTCAACTGACAGAGTTGAACCTTCCTTTAGACAGAGCAGATTTGAAAGTCTCTTTTTGTGGAATTTGCAAGTGGAGATTTCAAGCGCTTTGAGGCCAAAAGCAGAAAAGGAAATATTTTCCTATAAAAACTCGACAGAATCTTTCTCAGAAACTGCTCTGGGATGTGTGCGTTCAACTCACAGAGTTTAACTTTTCTTTTCATTCAGCAGTTTGGAAACACTCTGTTTGGAAAGTCTGCACGTGGATATTTTGACCTCTTTGAGGCCTTCGTTGGAAACGGGTTTTTTTCATGTAAGGCTAGACAGAAGAAATCTCAGTAACTTCCTTGTGTTGTGTGTATTCAACTGACAGAGTTGAACCTTCCTTTAGACAGAGCAGATTCGAAACACTCTTTTTCTGCAATTTGCAAGTGGAGACTTCAAGCGCTTTGAGGCCAAAGGCAGAAAAGGAAATATCTTCGTATAAAAACCCGACAGAATCATTCTCAGAAACTGCTCTGTGATGTGTGCGTTCAACTCACAGAGTTTAACTTTTCTTTTCATTCAGCAGTTTGGAAACACTCTGTTTGTAAAGTCTGCAAGTGGATATCTTGGCCTCTTAGAGGCCTTCGTTGGAAACGGGTTTTTTCATGTAAGGTTAGACAGAGGAATTCCCAGTAACTTCCTTGTGTTGTGTGCATTCAACTCACAGAGTTGAATGATTCTTTACACAGAGCAGATTTGAGACACTCTTTTGGTGGAATTTGTAAGTGGAGAATTCAGCCGCTTTGAGGTCAACGGTAGAAAAGGAAATATCTTCGTATAAAACTAGACAGAATGATTCTCAGAAACTGTTTTGTGATGTGTGCGTTCAACTCACAGAGTTTAACCTTTCTTTTCAAAGAGCAGTTAGGAAACACTCTGTTTGTAAAGTCTGCAAGTGGATATTCAGACCTCTTTGAGGCCTTCGTTGGAAACGGGATTTCTTCATATTATGCTAGACAGATGAATTCTCAGTAACTTCCTTGTGTTGTGTGTATTCAACTCACAGAGTTGAACGATCCTTTTCACAGAGCAGATTTGAAACACTGTTTTTCTGGAATTTGCAAGTGGAGATTTCAGCCGCTTTGAGGTCAATGGTAGAAAAGGAAATATCTTCGTATAAAAACTAGACAGAATGATTCTCAGAAACTCCTTTGTGATGTGTGCGTTCAACTCACAGAGTTTAACCTTTCTTTTCACAGAGCAGTTAGGAAACACTCTGTTTGTGAAGCCTGCCAGTGGATATTCGGACCTCTTTGAGGCCTTCGTTGGAAACGGGATTTCTTCATGTTATGCTAGACAGAAGATTTCTCAGTAACTTCTTTGTGTTGTGTGTATGCAACTCACAGAGTTCAACCTTCCTTTAGACAGAGCAGATTTGAAACACTCTTTTTGTGGAATTTGCAAGTGGAGATTTCAAGCGCTTCGATGCCAATGGTAGAAAAGGAAATATCTTCGTATAAAAACAAGACAAACTCGTTCCCAGACACTGCGTAGTGATGTGTGTGTTTAACTCACAGAGTTTCACCTTTCTTTTCATACAGCATTCTGGAAACCCTCTGTTTGTAAAGTCTGCAAGTGGATATTTGGACCTCTTAGATGCCTTCGTTGGAAACGGGATTTCTTCATATAATGCTAGAGGGAAGAATTCTTAGTAACTTCTTTGTGTTGTGTGTATTCAACTGACAGAGTTGAACCTTCCTTTAGACAGAGCAGATTTGAAAGTCTCTTTTTGTGGAATTTGCAAGTGGAGATTTCAAGCGCTTTGAGGCCAAAAGCAGAAAAGGAAATATTTTCCTATAAAAACTAGACAGAATCTTTCTCAGAAACTGCTCTGGGATGTGTGCGTTCAACTCACAGTAGTTTAACTTTTCTTTCCATTCAGCAGTTTGGAAACACTCTGTTTGGAAAGTCTGCACGTGGATATTTTGACCTCTTTGAGGCCTTCGTTGGAAACGGGTTTTTTTCTTGTAAGGCTAGACAGAAGAAATCTCAGTAACTTCCTTGTGTTGTGTGTATTCAACTGACAGAGTTGAACCTTCCTTTAGACAGAGCAGATTCGAAACACTCTTTTTCTGCAATTTGCAAGTGGAGACTTCAAGCGCTTTGAGGCCAAAGGCAGAAAAGGAAATATCTTCGTATAAAAACCCGACAGAATCATTCTCAGAAACTGCTCTGTGATGTGTGCGTTCAACTCACAGAGTTTAACTTTTCTTTTCATTCAGCAGTTTGGAAACACTCTGTTTGTAAAGTCTGCAAGTGGATATCTTGGCCTCTTAGAGGCCTTCGTTGGAAACGGGTTTTTTCATGTAAGGTTAGACAGAGGAATTCCCAGTAACTTCCTTGTGTTGTATGCATTCAACTCACAGAGTTGAATGATTCTTTACACAGAGCAGATTTGAGACACTCTTTTGGTGGAATTTGTAAGTGGAGAATTCAGCCGCTTTGAGGTCAACGGTAGAAAAGGAAATATCTTCGTATAAAAACTAGAAAGAATGATTCTCAGAAACTGTTTTGTGATGTGTGCTTTCAACTCACAGAGTTTAACCTTTCTTTTCAAAGAGCAGTTAGGAAACACTCTGTTTGTAAAGTCTGCAAGTGGATATTCAGACCTCTTTGAGGCCTTCGTTGGAAACGGGATTTCTTCATATTATGCTAGACAGATGAATTCTCAGTAACTTCCTTGTGTTGTGTGTATTCAACTCACAGAGTTAAACGATCCTTTACACAGAGCAGATTTGAAACACTGTTTTTCTGGAATTTGCAAGTGGAGATTTCAGCCGCTTTGAGGTCAATGGTAGAAAAGGAAATATCTTCGTATAAAAACTAGACAGAATGATTCTCAGAAACTCCTTTGTGATGTGTGCGTTCAACTCACAGAGTTTAACCTTTCTTTTCACAGAGCAGTTAGGAAACACTCTGTTTGTGAAGCCTGCCAGTGGATATTCGGACCTCTTTGAGGCCTTCGTTGGAAACGGGATTTCTTCATATTATGCTAGACAGAAGATTTCTCAGTAACTTCTTTGTGTTGTGTGTATGCAACTCACAGAGTTCAACCTTCCTTTAGACAGAGCAGATTTGAAACACTCTTTTTGTGGAATTTGCAAGTGGAGATTTCAAGCGCTTCGATGCCAATGGTAGAAAAGGAAATATCTTCGTAGAAAAACAAGACAAAATGATTCTCAGAAACTGTTTTGTGATGTGTGCGTTCAACTCACAGAGTTTAACCTTTCTTTTCAAAGAGCAGTTAGGAAACACTCTGTAAAGTCTGCAAGTGGATATTCAGACCCCTTTGAGGCCTTCGTTGGAAACGGGATTTCTTCATATAATGCTAGAGGGAAGAATTCTTAGTAACTTCTTTGTGTTGTGTGTATTCAACTGACAGAGTTGAACCTTCCTTTAGACAGAGCAGATTTGAAAGTCTCTGTTTCTGGAATTTGCAAGTGGAGATTTCAAGCGCTTTGAGGCCAAAAGCAGAAAAGGAAATATTTTCCTATAAAAACTAGAGAGAATCATTCTCAGAAACTGCTCTGTGACGTGTGTGTTCAACTCACAGAGTTTAACTTTCTTTTCATTCAGCAGTTTGGAAACACTCTGTTTGGAAAGTCTGCACGTGGATATTTTGACCTCTTTGAGGCCTTCGTTGGAAACGGGTTTTTTTCATGTAAGGCTAGACAGAAGAAATCTCAGTAACTTCCTTGTGTTGTGTGTATTTAACTGACAGAGTTGAACCTTCCTTTAGACAGAGCAGATTCGAAACGCTCTTTTTCTGCAATTTGCAAGTGGAGACTTCAAGCGCTTTGAGGCCAAGGCAGAAAAGGAAATATCTTCGTATAAAAACCCGACAGAATCATTCTCAGAAACTGCTCTATGATGTGTGCGTTCAACTCACAGAGTTTAACTTTTCTTTTCATTCAGCAGTTTGGAAACACTCTGTTTGTAAAGTCTGCAAGTGGATATCTTGGCCTCTTAGAGGCCTTCGTTGGAAACGCGTTTTTTCATGTAAGGTTAGACAGAGGAATTCCCAGTAACTTCCTTGTGTTGTGTGCATTCAACTCACAGAGTTGAATGATTCTTTACACAGAGCAGATTTGAGACACACTTTTGGTGGAATTTGTAAGTGGAGAATTCAGCCGCTTTGAGGTCAACGGTAGAAAAGGAAATATCTTCGTATAAAAACTAGAAAGAATGATTCTCAGAAACTGTTTTGTGATGTGTGCGTTCAACTCACAGAGTTTAACCTTTCTTTTCAAAGAGCAGTTAGGAAACACTCTGTTTGTAAAGTCTGCAAGTGGATATTCAGACCTCTTTGAAGCCTTCGTTGGAAACGGGATTTCATCATATTATGCTAGACAGATGAATTCTCAGTAACTTCCTTGTGTTGTGTGTATTCAACTCACAGAGTTGAACGATCCTTTACACAGAGCAGATTTGAAAGACTGTTTTTCTGGAATTTGCAAGTGGAGATTTCAGCCGCTTTGAGGTCAATGGTAGAAAAGGAAATATCTTCGTATAAAAACTGGACAGAATGATTCTCAGAAACTCCTTTGTGATGTGTGCGTTCAACTCACAGAGTTTAACCTTTCTTTTCACAGAGCAGTTAGGAAACACTCTGTTTGTGAAGCCTGCCAGTGGATATTCGGACCTCTTTGAGGCCTTCGTTGGAAACGGGATTTCTTCATATTTTGCTAGACAGAAGATTTCTCAGTAACTTCTTTGTGTTGTGTGTATGCAACTCACAGAGTTCAACCTTCCTTTAGACAGAGCAGATTTGAAACACTCTTTTTGTGGAATTTGCAAGTGGAAATTTCAAGCGCATCGATGCCAATGGTAGAAAAGGAAATATCTTCGTATAAAAACAAGACAAACTCGTTCCCAGACACTGCGTAGTGATGTGTGTGTTTAACTCACAGAGTTTCACCTTTCTTTTCATACAGCATTCTGGAAACCCTCTGTTTGTAAAGTCTGCAAGTGGATATTTGGACCTCTTAGATGCCTTCGTTGGAAACGGGATTTCTTCATATAATGCTAGAGGGAAGAATTCTTAGTAACTTCTTTGTGTTGTGTGTATTCAACTGACAGAGTTGAACCTTCCTTTAGACAGAGCAGATTTGAAAGTCTCTTTTTGTGGAATTTGCAAGTGGAGATTTCAAGCGCTTTGAGGCCAAAAGCAGAAAAGGAAATATTTTCCTATAAAAACTAGACAGAATCTTTCTCAGAAACTGCTCTGGGATGTGTGCGTTCAACTCACAGAGTTTAACTTTTCTTTTCATTCAGCAGTTTGGAAACACTCTGTTTGGAAAGTCTGCACGTGGATATTTTGACCTCTTTGAGGCCTTCGTTGGAAACGGGTTTTTTTCATGTAAGGCTAGACAGAAGAAATCTCAGTAACTTCCTTGTGTTGTGTGTATTCAACTGACAGAGTTGAACCTTCCTTTAGACAGAGCAGATTCGAAACACTCTTTTTCTGCAATTTGCAAGTGGAGACTTCAAGCGCTTTGAGGCCAAAGGCAGAAAAGGAAATATCTTCGTATAAAAACCCGACAGAATCATTCTCAGAAACTGCTCTGTGATGTGTGCGTTCAACTCACAGAGTTTAACTTTTCTTTTCATTCAGCAGTTTGGAAACACTCTGTTTGTAAAGTCTGCAAGTGGATATCTTGGCCTCTTAGAGGCCTTCGTTGGAAACGCGTTTTTTCATGTAAGGTTAGACAGAGGAATTCCCAGTAACTTTCCTTGTGTTGTGTGCATTCAACTCACAGAGTTGAATGATTCTTTTCACAGAGCAGATTTGAGACACTCTTTTGGTGGAATTTGTAAGTGGAGAATTCAGCCGCTTTGAGGTCAACGGTAGAAAAGGAAATATCTTCGTATAAAAACTAGACAGAATGATTCTCAGAAACTGTTTTGTGATGTGTGCGTTCAACTCACAGAGTTTAACCTTTCTTTTCAAAGAGCAGTTAGGAAACACTCTGTTTGTAAAGTCTGCAAGCGGATATTCAGACCTCTTTGAGACCTTCGTTGGAAACGGGATTTCTTCATATTATGCTAGACAGATGAATTCTCAGTAACTTCCTTGTGTTGTGTGTATTCAACTCACAGAGTTGAACGATCCTTTACACAGAGCAGATTTGAAACACTGTTTTTCTGGAATTTGCAAGTGGAGATGTCAGCCGCTTTGAGGTCAATGGTAGAAAAGGAAATATCTTCGTATAAAAACTAGACAGAATGATTCTCAGAAACTCCTTTGTGATGTGTGCGTTCAACTCACAGAGTTTAACCTTTCTTTTCACAGAGCAGTTAGGAAACACTCTGTTTGTGAAGCCTGCCAGTGGATATTCGGACCTCTTTGAGGCCTTCGTTGGAAACGGGATTTCTTCATATTATGCTAGACAGATTTCTCAGTAACTACTTTGTGTTGTGTATATGCAACTCACAGAGTTCAACCTTCCTTTAGAGAGAGCAGATTTGAAACACTCTTTTTGTGGAATTTGGAAGTGGAGATTTCAAGCGCTTCGATGCCAATGGTAGAAAAGGAAATATCTTCGTATAAAAACAAGACAAACTCGTTCCCAGAAACTGCGTAGTGATGTGTGTGTTTAACTCACAGAGTTTAACCTTTCTTTTCATACAGAATTCTGGAAACCCTCTGTTTGTAAAGTCTGCAAGTGGATATTTGGACCTCTTAGATGCCTTCTTTGGAAACGGGATTTCTTCATATAATGGTAGAGGGAAGAATTCTTAGTAACTTCTTTGTGTTGTGTGTATTCAACTGACAGAGTTGAACATTCCTTTAGACAGAGCAGATTTGAAAGTCTCTTTTTGTGGAATTTGCAAGTGGAGATTTCAAGCACTTTGAGGCCAAAAGCAGAAAAGGAAATATTTTCCTATAAAAACTAGACATAATCATTCTCAGAAACTGCTCTGTGATGTGTGCGTTCAACTCACAGAGTTTAACTTTTCTTTTCATTCAGCAGTTTGGAAACACTCTGTTTGAAAAGTCTGCCGTGGATATTTTGACCTCTTTGAGGCCTTCGTTGGAAACGGGTTTTTTTCATGTAAGGCTAGACAGAAGAAATCTCAGTAACTTCCTTGTGTTGTGTGTATTCAACTGACAGAGTTGAACCTTCCTTTAGACAGAGCAGATTCGAAACACTCTTTTTCTGCAATTTGCAAGTGGAGACTTCAAGCGCTTTGAGGCCAAAGGCAGAAAAGGAAATATCTTCGTATAAAAACCCGACAGAATCATTCTCAGAAACTGCTCTGTGATGTGTGCGTTCAACTCACAGAGTTTAACTTTTCTTTTCATTCAGCAGTTTGGAAACACTCTGTTTGTAAAGTCTGCAAGTGGATATCTTGGCCTCTTAGAGGCCTTCGTTGGAAACGGGTTTTTTCATGTAAGGTTAGACAGAGGAATTCCCAGTAACTTCCTTGTGTTGTGTGCATTCAACTCACAGAGTTGAATGATTCTTTACACAGAGCAGATTTGAGACACTCTTTTGGTGGAATTTGTTAGTGGAGAATTCAGCCGCTTTGAGGTCAACGGTAGAAAAGGAAATATCTTCGTATAAAAACTAGACAGAATGATTCTCAGAAACTGTTTTGTGATGTGTGCGTTCAACTCACAGAGTTTAACCTTTCTTTTCAAAGAGCAGTTAGGAAACACTCTGTTTGTAAAGTCTGCAAGTGGATATTCAGACCTCTTTGAGGCCTTCGTTGGAAACGGGATTTCTTCATATTATGCTAGACAGATGAATTCTCAGTAACTTCCTTGTGTTGTGTGTATTCAACTCACAGAGTTGAACGATCCTTTACACAGAGCAGATTTGAAACACTGTTTTTCTGGAATTTGCAAGTGGAGATTTCAGCCGCTTTGAGGTCAATGGTAGAAAAAGAAATATCTTCGTATAAAAACTAGACAGAATGATTATCAGAAACTCCTTTGTGATGTGTGCGTTCAACTCACAGAGTTTAACCTTTCTTTTCACAGAGCAGTTAGGAAACACTCTGTTTGTGAAGCCTGCCAGTGGATATTCGGACCTCTTTGAGGCCTTCGTTGGAAACGGGATTTCTTCATATTATGCTAGACAGAAGATTTCTCAGTAACTTCTTTGTGTTGTGTGTATGCAACTCACAGAGTTCAACCTTCCTTTAGACAGAGCAGATTTGAAACACTCTTTTTGTGGAATTTGCAAGTGGAGATTTCAAGCGCTTCGATGCCAATGGTAGAAAAGGAAATATCTTCGTATAAAAACAAGACAAACTCGTTCCCAGACACTGCGTAGTGATGTGTGTGTTTAACTCACAGAGTTTCACCTTTCTTTTCATACAGCATTCTGGAAACCCTCTGTTTGTAAAGTCTGCAAGTGGATATTTGGACCTCTTAGATGCCTTCGTTGGAAACGGGATTTCTTCATATAATGCTAGAGGGAAGAATTCTTAGTAACTTCTTTGTGTTGTGTGTATTCAACTGACAGAGTTGAACCTTCCTTTAGACAGAGCAGATTTGAAAGTCTCTTTTTGTGGAATTTGCAAGTGGAGATTTCAAGCGCTTTGAGGCCAAAAGCAGAAAAGGAAATATTTTCCTATAAAAACTCGACAGAATCTTTCTCAGAAACTGCTCTGGGATGTGTGCGTTCAACTCACAGAGTTTAACTTTTCTTTCCATTCAGCAGTTTGGAAACACTCTGTTTGGAAAGTCTGCACGTGGATATTTTGACCTCTTTGAGGCCTTCGTTGGAAACGGGTTTTTTTCATGTAAGGCTAGACAGAAGAAATCTCAGTAACTTCCTTGTGTTGTGTGTATTCAACTGACAGAGTTGAACCTTCCTTTAGACAGAGCAGATTCGAAACACTCTTTTTCTGCAATTTGCAAGTGGAGACTTCAAGCGCTTTGAGGCCAAAGGCAGAAAAGGAAATATCTTCGTATAAAAACCCGACAGAATCATTCTCAGAAACTGCTCTGTGATGTCTGCGTTCAACTCACAGAGTTTAACTTTTCTTTTCATTCAGCAGTTTGGAAACACTCTGTTTGTAAAGTCTGCAAGTGGATATCTTGGCCTCTTAGAGGCCTTCGTTGGAAACGGGTTTTTTCATGTAAGGATAGACAGAGGAATTCCCAGTAACTTCCTTGTGTTGTGTGCATTCAACTCACAGAGTTGAATGATTCTTTACACAGAGCAGATTTGAGACACTCTTTTGGTGGAATTTGTAAGTGGAGAATTCAGCCGCTTTGAGGTCAACGGTAGAAAAGGAAATATCTTCGTATAAAAACTAGACAGAATGATTCTCAGAAACTGTTTTTTGATGTGTGCGTTCAACTCACAGAGTTTAACCTTTCTTTTCAAAGAGCAGTTAGGAAACACTCTGTTTGTAAAGTCTGCAAGTGGATATTCAGACCTCTTTGAGGCCTTCGTTGGAAACGGGATTTCTTCATATTATGCTAGACAGATGAATTCTCAGTAACTTCCTTGTGTTGTGTGTATTCAACTCACAGAGTTGAACGATCCTTTACACAGAGCAGATTTGAAACACTGTTTTTCTGGAATTTGCAAGTGGAGATTTCAGCCGCTTTGAGGTCAATGGTAGAAAAGGAAATATCTTCGTATAAAAACTAGACAGAATGATTCTCAGAAACTCCTTTGTGATGTGTGCGTTCAACTCACAGGGTTTAACCTTTCTTTTCACAGAGCAGTTAGGAAACACTCTGTTTGTGAAGCCTGCCAGTGGATATTCGGACCTCTTTGAGGCCTTCGTTGGAAACGGGATTTCTTCATATTATGCTAGACAGAAGATTTCTCAGTAACTTCTTTGTGTTGTGTGTATGCAACTCACAGAGTTCAACCTTCCTTTAGACAGAGCAGATTTGAAACACTCTTTTTGTGGAATTTGCAAGTGGAGATTTCAAGCGCTTCGATGCCAATGGTAGAAAAGGAAATATCTTCGTATAAAAACAAGACAAACTCGTTCCCAGACACTGCGTAGTGATGTGTGTGTTTAACTCACAGAGTTTCACCTTTCTTTTCATACAGCATTCTGGAAACCCTCTGTTTGTAAAGTCTGCAAGTGGATATTTGGACCTCTTAGATGCCTTCGTTGCAAACGGGATTTCTTCATATAATGCTAGAGGGAAGAATTCTTAGTAACTTCTTTGTGTTGTGTGTATTCAACTGACAGAGTTGAACCTTCCTTTAGACAGAGCAGATTTGAAAGTCTCTTTTTGTGGAATTTGCAAGTGGAGATTTCAAGCGCTTTGAGGCCAAAAGCAGAAAAGGAAATATTTTCCTATAAAAACTAGACAGAATCTTTCTCAGAAACTGCTCTGGGATGTGTGCGTTCAACTCACAGAGTTTAACTTTTCTTTTCATTCAGCAGTTTGGAAACACTCTGTTTGGAAAGTCTGCACGTGGATATTTTGACCTCTTTGAGGCCTTCGTTGGAAACGGGTTTTTTTCATGTAAGGCTAGACAGAAGAAATCTCAGTAACTTCCTTGTGTTGTGTGTATTCAACTGACAGAGTTGAACCTTCCTTTAGACAGAGCAGATTCGAAACACTCTTTTTCTGCAATTTGCAAGTGGAAACTTCAAGCGCTTTGAGGCCAAAGGCAGAAAAGGAAATATCTTCGTATAAAAACCCGACAGAATCACTCTCAGAAACTGCTCTGTGATGTGTGCGTTCAACTCACAGAGTTTAACTTTTCTTTTCATTCAGCAGTTTGGAAACACTCTGTTTGTAAAGTCTGCAAGTGGATATCTTGGCCTCTTAGAGGCCTTCGTTGGAAACGGGTTTTTTCATGTAAGGATAGACAGAGGAATTCCCAGTAACTTCCTTGTGTTGTGTGCATTCAACTCACAGAGTTGAATGATTCTTTACACAGAGCAGATTTGAGACACTCTTTTGGTGGAATTTGTAAGTGGAGAATTCAGCCGCTTTGAGGTCAACGGTAGAAAAGGAAATATCTTCGTATAAAAACTAGACAGAATGATTCTCAGAAACTGTTTTGTGATGTGTGCGTTCAACTCACAGAGTTTAACCTTTCTTTTCAAAGAGCAGTTAGGAAACACTCTGTTTGTAAAGTCTGCAAGTGGATATTCAGACCTCTTTGAGGCCTTCGTTGGAAACGGGATTTCTTCATATTATGCTAGACAGATGAATTCTCAGTAACTTCCTTGTGTTGTGTGTATTCAACTCACAGAGTTGAACGATCCTTTACACAGAGCAGATTTGAAACACTGTTTTTCTGGAATTTGCAAGTGGAGATTTCAGCCGCTTTGAGGTCAATGGTAGAAAAGGAAATATCTTCGTATAAAAACTAGACAGAATGATTCTCAGAAACTCCTTTGTGATGTGTGCGTTCAACTCACAGAGTTTAACCTTTCTTTTCACAGAGCAGTTAGGAAACACTCTGTTTGTGAAGCCTGCCAGTGGATATTCGGACCTCTTTGAGGCCTTCGTTGGAAACGGGATTTCTTCATATTATGCTAGACAGAAGATTTCTCAGTAACTTCTTTGTGTTGTGTGTATGCAACTCACAGAGTTCAACCTTCCTTTAGACAGAGCAGATTTGAAACACTCTTTTTGTGGAATTTGCAAGTGGAGATTTCAAGCGCTTCGATGCCAATGGTAGAAAAGGAAATATCTTCGTATAAAAACAAGACAAACTCGTTCCCAGACACTGCGTAGTGATGAGTGTGTTTAACTCACAGAGTTTCACCTTTCTTTTCATACAGCATTCTGGAAACCCTCTGTTTGTAAAGTCTGCAAGTGGATATTTGGACCTCTTAGATGCCTTCGTTGGAAACGGGATTTCTTCATATAATGCTAGAGGGAAGAATTCTTAGTAACTTCTTTGTGTTGTGTGTATTCAACTGACAGAGTTGAACCTTCCTTTAGACAGAGCAGATTTGAAAGTCTCTTTTTGTGGAATTTGCAAGTGGAGATTTCAAGCGCTTTGAGGCCAAAAGCAGAAAAGGAAATGTTTTCCTATAAAAACTAGACAGAATCTTTCTCAGAAACTGCTCTGGGATGTGTGCGTTCAACTCACAGAGTTTAACTTTTCTTTTCATTCAGCAGTTTGGAAACACTCTGTTTGGAAAGTCTGCACGTGGATATTTTGACCTCTTTGAGGCCTTCGTTGGAAACGGGTTTTTTTCATGTAAGGCTAGACAGAAGAAATCTCAGTAACTTCCTTGTGTTGTGTGTATTCAACTGACAGAGTTGAACCTTCTTTTAGACAGAGCAGATTCGAAACACTCTTTTTCTGCAATTTGCAAGTGGAGACTTCAAGCGCTTTGAGGCCAAAGGCAGAAAAGGAAATATCTTCGTATAAAAACCCGACAGAATCATTCTCAGAAACTGCTCTGTGATGTGTGCGTTCAACTCACAGAGTTTAACTTTTCTTTTCATTCAGCAGTTTGGAAACACTCTGTTTGTAAAGTCTGCAAGTGGATATCTTGGCCTCTTAGAGGCCTTCGTTGGAAACGGGTTTTTTCATGTAAGGTTAGACAGAGGAATTCCCAGTAACTTCCTTGTGTTGTGTGCATTCAACTCACAGAGTTGAATGATTCTTTACACAGAGCAGATTTGAGACACTCTTTTGGTGGAATTTGTAAGTGGAGAATTCAGCTGCTTTGAGGTCAACGGTAGAAAAGGAAATATCTTCGTATAAAAACTAGACAGAATGATTCTCAGAAACTGTTTTGTGATGTGTGCGTTCAAGTCACAGAGTTTAACCTTTCTTTTCAAAGAGCAGTTAGGAAACACTCTGTTTGTAAAGTCTGCAAGTGGATATTCAGACCTCTTTGAGGCCTTCGTTGGAAACGGGATTTCTTCATATTATGCTAGACAGATGAATTCTCAGTAACTTCCTTGTGTTGTGTGTATTCAACTCACAGAGTTGAACGATCCTTTACACAGAGCAGATTTGAAACACTGTTTTTCTGGAATTTGCAAGTGGAGATTTCAGCTGCTTTGAGGTCAATGGTAGAAAAGGAAATATCTTCGTATAAAAACTAGACAGAATGATTCTCAGAAACTCCTTTGTGATGTGTGCGTTCAACTCACAGAGTTTAACCTTTCTTTTCACAGAGCAGTTAGGAAACACTCTGTTTGTGAAGCCTGCCAGTGGATATTCGGACCTCTTTGAGGCCTTCGTTGGAAACGGGATTTCTTCATATTATGCTAGACAGAAGATTTCTCAGTAACTTCTTTGTGTTGTGTGTATGCAACTCACAGAGTTCAACCTTCCTTTAGACAGAGCAGATTTGAAACACTCTTTTTGTGGAATTTGCAAGTGGAGATTTCAAGCGCTTTGAGGCCAAAAGGCAGAAAAGGAAATATTTTCCTATAAAAACTAGACAGAATCATTCTCAGAAACTGCTCTGTGATGTGTGTGTTCAACTCACAGAGTTTAACTTTCTTTTCATTCAGCAGTTTGGAAACACTCTGTTTGGAAAGTCTGCACGTGGATATTTTGACCTCTTTGAGGCCTTCGTTGGAAACGGGTTTTTTTCATGTAAGGCTAGACAGAAGAAATCTCAGTAACTTCCTTGTGTTGTGTGTATTTAACTGACAGAGTTGAACCTTCCTTTAGACAGAGCAGATTCGAAACGCTCTTTTTCTGCAATTTGCAAGTGGAGACTTCAAGCGCTTTGAGGCCAAGGCAGAAAAGGAAATATCTTCGTATAAAAACCCGACAGAATCATTCTCAGAAACTGCTCTGTGATGTGTGCGTTCAACTCACAGAGTTTAACTTTTCTTTTCATTCAGCAGTTTGGAAACACTCTGTTTGTAAAGTCTGCAAGTGGATATCTTGGCCTCTTAGAGGCCTTCGTTGGAAACGCGTTTTTTCATGTAAGGTTAGACAGAGGAATTCCCAGTAACTTCCTTGTGTTGTGTGCATTCAACTCACAGAGTTGAATGATTCTTTACACAGAGCAGATTTGAGACACACTTTTGGTGGAATTTGTAAGTGGAGAATTCAGCCGCTTTGAGGTCAACGGTAGAAAAGGAAATATCTTCGTATAAAAACTAGAAAGAATGATTCTCAGAAACTGTTTTGTGATGTGTGCGTTCAACTCACAGAGTTTAACCTTTCTTTTCAAAGAGCAGTTAGGAAACACTCTGTTTGTAAAGTCTGCAAGTGGATATTCAGACCTCTTTGAAGCCTTCGTTGGAAACGGGATTTCATCATATTATGCTAGACAGATGAATTCTCAGTAACTTCCTTGTGTTGTGTGTATTCAACTCACAGAGTTGAACGATCCTTTACACAGAGCAGATTTGAAACACTGTTTTTCTGGAATTTGCAAGTGGAGATTTCAGCCGCTTTGAGGTCAATGGTAGAAAAGGAAATATCTTCGTATAAAAACTGGACAGAATGATTCTCAGAAACTCCTTTGTGATGTGTGCGTTCAACTCACAGAGTTTAACCTTTCTTTTCACAGAGCAGTTAGGAAACACTCTGTTTGTGAAGCCTGCCAGTGGATATTCGGACCTCTTTGAGGCCTTCGTTGGAAACGGGATTTCTTCATATTTTGCTAGACAGAAGATTTCTCAGTAACTTCTTTGTGTTGTGTGTATGCAACTCACAGAGTTCAACCTTCCTTTAGACAGAGCAGATTTGAAACACTCTTTTTGTGGAATTTGCAAGTGGAAATTTCAAGCGCATCGATGCCAATGGTAGAAAAGGAAATATCTTCGTATAAAAACAAGACAAACTCGTTCCCAGACACTGCGTAGTGATGTGTGTGTTTAACTCACAGAGTTTAACCTTTCTTTTCATACAGCATTCTGGAAACCCTCTGTTTGTAAAGTCTGCAAGTGGATATTTGGACCTCTTAGATGCCTTCGTTGGAAACGGGATTTCCTCATATAATGCTAGAGGGAAGAATTCTTAGTAACTTCTTTGTGTTGTGTGTATTCAACTGACAGAGTTGAACCTTCCTTTAGACAGAGCAGATTTGAAAGTCTCTTTTTGTGGAATTTGCAAGTGGAGATTTCAAGCGCTTTGAGGCCAAAAGCAGAAAAGGAAATATTTTCCTATAAAAACTAGACAGAATCTTTCTCAGAAACTGCTCTGGGATGTGTGCGTTCAACTCACAGAGTTTAACTTTTCTTTTCATTCAGCAGTTTGGAAACACTCTGTTTGGAAAGTCTGCACGTGGATATTTTGACCTCTTTGAGGCCTTCGTTGGAAATGGGTGTTTTTCATGTAAGGCTAGACAGAAGAAATCTCAGTAACTTCCTTGTGTTGTGTGTATTCAACTGACAGAGTTGAACCTTCCTTTAGACAGAGCAGATTCGAAACACTCTTTTTCTGCAATTTGCAAGTGGAGACTTCAAGCGCTTTGAGGCCAAAGGCAGAAAAGGAAATATCTTCGTATAAAAACCCGACAGAATCATTCTCAGAAACTGCTCTGTGATGTGTGCGTTCAACTCACAGAGTTTAACTTTTCTTTTCATTCAGCAGTTTGGAAACACTCTGTTTGTAAAGTCTGCAAGTGGATATCTTGGCCTCTTAGAGGCCTTCGTTGGAAACGGGTTTTTTCATGTAAGGTTAGACAGAGGAATTCCCAGTAACTTCCTTGTGTTGTGTGCATTCAACTCACAGAGTTGAATGATTCTTTACACAGCGCAGATTTGAGACACTCTTTTGGTGGAATTTGTAAGTGGAGAATTCAGCTGCTTTGAGGTCAACGGTAGAAAAGGAAATATCTTCGTATAAAAACTAGACAGAATGATTCTCAGAAACTGTTTTGTGATGTGTGCGTTCAACTCACAGAGTTTAACCTTTCTTTTCAAAGAGCAGTTAGGAAACACTCTGTTTGTAAAGTCTGCAAGTGGATATTCAGACCTCTTTGAGGCCTTCGTTGGAAACGGGATTTCTTCATATTATGCTAGACAGATGAATTCTCAGTAACTTCCTTGTGTTGTGTGTATTCAACTCACAGAGTTGAACGATCCTTTACACAGAGCAGATTTGAAACACTGTTTTTCTGGAATTTGCAAGTGGAGATTTCAGCCGCTTTGAGGTCAATGGTAGAAAAGGAAATATCTTCGTATAAAAACTAGACAGAATGATTCTCAGAAACTCCTTTGTGATGTGTGCGTTCAACTCACAGAGTTTAACCTTTCTTTTCACAGAGCAGTTAGGAAACACTCTGTTTGTGAAGCCTGCCAGTGGATATTCGGACCTCTTTGAGGCCTTCGTTGGAAACGGGATTTCTTCATATTATGCTAGACAGAAGATTTCTCAGTAACTTCTTTGTGTTGTGTGTATGCAACTCACAGAGTTCAACCTTCCTTTAGACAGAGCAGATTTGAAACACTCTTTTTGTGGAATTTGCAAGTGGAGATTTCAAGCGCTTCGATGCCAATGGTAGAAAAGGAAATATCTTCGTATAAAAACAAGACAAACTCGTTCCCAGACACTGCGTAGTGATGTGTGTGTTTAACTCACAGAGTTTAACCTTTCTTTTCATACAGCATTCTGGAAACCCTCTGTTTGTAAAGTCTGCAAGTGGATATTTGGACCTCTTAGATGCCTTCGTTGGAAACGGGATTTCTTCATATAATGCTAGAGGGAAGAATTCTTAGTAACTTCTTTGTGTTGTGTGTATTCAACTGACAGAGTTGAACCTTCCTTTAGACAGAGCAGATTTGAAAGTCTCTTTTTGTGGAATTTGCAAGTGGAGATTTCAAGCGCTTTGAGGCCAAAAGCAGAAAAGGAAATATTTTCCTATAAAAACTCGACAGAATCTTTCTCAGAAACTGCTCTGGGATGTGTGCGTTCAACTCACAGAGTTTAACTTTTCTTTTCATTCAGCAGTTTGGAAACACTCTGTTTGGAAAGTCTGCACGTGGATATTTTGACCTCTTTGAGGCCTTCGTTGGAAACGGGTTTTTTTCATGTAAGGCTAGACAGAAGAAATCTCAGTAACTTCCTTGTGTTGTGTGTATTCAACTGACAGAGTTGAACCTTCCTTTAGACAGAGCAGATTCGAAACACTCTTTTTCTGCAATTTGCAAGTGGAGACTTCAAGCGCTTTGAGGCCAAAGGCAGAAAAGGAAATATCTTCGTATAAAAACCCGACAGAATCATTCTCAGAAACTGCTCTGTGATGTGTGCGTTCAACTCACAGAGTTTAACTTTTCTTTTCATTCAGCAGTTTGGAAACACTCTGTTTGTAAAGTCTGCAAGTGGATATCTTGGCCTCTTAGAGGCCTTCGTTGGAAACGGGTTTTTTCATGTAAGGTTAGACAGAGGAATTCCCAGTAACTTCCTTGTGTTGTGTGCATTCAACTCACAGAGTTGAATGATTCTTTACGCAGAGCAGTTTTGAGACACTCTTTTGGTGGAATTTGTAAGTGGAGAATTCAGCCGCTTTGAGGTCAACGGTAGAAAAGGAAATATCTTCGTATAAAAACTAGACAGAATGATTCTCAGAAACTGTTTTGTGATGTGTGCGTTCAAGTCACAGAGTTTAACCTTTCTTTTCAAAGAGCAGTTAGGAAACACTCTGTTTGTAAAGTCTGCAAGTGGATATTCAGACCTCTTTGAGGCCTTCGTTGGAAACGGGATTTCTTCATATTATGCTAGACAGATGAATTCTCAGTAACTTCCTTGTGTTGTGTGTATTCAACTCACAGAGTTGAACGATCCTTTACACAGAGCAGATTTGAAACACTGTTTTTCTGGAATTTGCAAGTGGAGATTTCAGCCGCTTTGAGGTCAATGGTAGAAAAAGAAATATCTTCGTATAAAAACTAGACAGAATGATTCTCAGAAACTCCTTTGTGATGTGTGCGTTCAACTCACAGAGTTTAACCTTTCTTTTCACAGAGCAGTTAGGAAACACTCTGTTTGTGAAGCCTGCCAGTGGATATTCGGACCTCTTTGAGGCCTTCGTTGGAAACGGGATTTCTTCATATTATGCTAGACAGAAGATTTCTCAGTAACTTCTTTGTGTTGTGTGTATGCAACTCACAGAGTTCAACCTTCCTTTAGACAGAGCAGATTTGAAACACTCTTTTTGTGGAATTTGCAAGTGGAGATTTCAAGCGCTTCGATGCCAATGGTAGAAAAGGAAATATCTTCGTATAAAAACAAGACAAACTCGTTCCCAGACACTGCGTAGTGATGTGTGTGTTTAACTCACAGAGTTTAACCTTTCTTTTCATACAGCATTCTGGAAACCCTGTGTTTGTAAAGTCTGCAAGTGGATATTTGGACCTCTTAGATGCCTTCGTTGGAAACGGGATTTCTTCATATAATGCTAGAGGGAAGAATTCTTAGTAACTTCTTTGTGTTGTGTGTATTCAACTGACAGAGTTGAACCTTCCTTTAGACAGAGCAGATTTGAAAGTCTCTTTTTGTGGAATTTGCAAGTGGAGATTTCAAGCGCTTTGAGGCCAAAAGCAGAAAAGGAAATATTTTCCTATAAAAACTAGACAGAATCTTTCTCAGAAACTGCTCTGGGATGTGTGCGTTCAACTCACAGAGTTTAACTTTTCTTTTCATTCAGCAGTTTGGAAACACTCTGTTTGGAAAGTCTGCACGTGGATATTTTGACCTCTTTGAGGCCTTCGTTGGAAACGGGTTTTTTTCATGTAAGGCTAGACAGAAGAAATCTCAGTAAATTCCCTTGTGTTGTGTGTATTCAACTGACAGAGTTGAACCTTCCTTTAGACAGAGCAGATTCGAAACACTCTTTTTCTGCAATTTGCAAGTGGAGACTTCAAGCGCTTTGAGGCCAAAGGCAGAAAAGGAAATATCTTCGTATAAAAACCCGACAGAATCATTCTCAGAAACTGCTCTGTGATGTGTGCGTTCAACTCACAGCAGTTTAACTTTTCTTTTCATTCAGCAGTTTGGAAACACTCTGTTTGTAAAGTCTGCAAGTGGATATCTTGGCCTCTTAGAGGCCTTCGTTGGAAACGGGTTTTTTCATGTAAGGTTAGACAGAGGAATTCCCAGTAACTTCCTTGTGTTGTGTGCATTCAACTCACAGAGTTGAATGATTCTTTACACAGAGCAGATTTGAGACACTCTTTTGGTGGAATTTGTTAGTGGAGAATTCAGCCGCTTTGAGGTCAACGGTAGAAAAGGAAATATCTTCGTATAAAAACTAGACAGAATGATTCTCAGAAACTGTTTTGTGATGTGTGCGTTCAACTCACAGAGTTTAACCTTTCTTTTCAAAGAGCAGTTAGGAAACACTCTGTTTGTAAAGTCTGCAAGTGGATATTCAGACCTCTTTGAGGCCTTCGTTGGAAACGGGATTTCTTCATATTATGCTAGACAGATGAATTCTCAGTAACTTCCTTGTGTTGTGTGTATTCAACTCACAGAGTTGAACGATCCTTTACACAGAGCAGATTTGAAACACTGTTTTTCTGGAATTTGCAAGTGGAGATTTCAGCCGCTTTGAGGTCAATGGTAGAAAAAGAAATATCTTCGTATAAAAACTAGACAGAATGATTCTCAGAAACTCCTTTGTGATGTGTGCGTTCAACTCACAGAGTTTAACCTTTCTTTTCACAGAGCAGTTAGGAAACACTCTGTTTGTGAAGCCTGCCAGTGGATATTCGGACCTCTTTGAGGCCTTCGTTGGAAACGGGATTTCTTCATATTATGCTAGACAGAAGATTTCTCAGTAACTTCTTTGTGTTGTGTGTATGCAACTCACAGAGTTCAACCTTCCTTTAGACAGAGCAGATTTGAAACACTCTTTTTGTGGAATTTGCAAGTGGAGATTTCAAGCGCTTCGATGCCAATGGTAGAAAAGGAAATATCTTCGTATAAAAACAAGACAAACTCGTTCCCAGACACTGCGTAGTGATGTGTGTGTTTAACTCACAGAGTTTAACCTTTCTTTTCATACAGCATTCTGGAAACCCTGTGTTTGTAAAGTCTGCAAGTGGATATTTGGACCTCTTAGATGCCTTCGTTGGAAACGGGATTTCTTCATATAATGCTAGAGGGAAGAATTCTTAGTAACTTCTTTGTGTTGTGTGTATTCAACTGACAGAGTTGAACCTTCCTTTAGACAGAGCAGATTTGAAAGTCTCTTTTTGTGGAATTTGCAAGTGGAGATTTCAAGCGCTTTGAGGCCAAAAGCAGAAAAGGAAATATTTTCCTATAAAAACTCGACAGAATCTTTCTCAGAAACTGCTCTGGGATGTGTGCGTTCAACTCACAGAGTTTAACTTTTCTTTCCATTCAGCAGTTTGGAAACACTCTGTTTGGAAAGTCTGCACGTGGATATTTTGACCTCTTTGAGGCCTTCGTTGGAAACGGGTTTTTTTCATGTAAGGCTAGACAGAAGAAATCTCAGTAACTTCCTTGTGTTGTGTGTATTCAACTGACAGAGTTGAACCTTCCTTTAGACAGAGCAGATTCGAAACACTCTTTTTCTGCAATTTGCAAGTGGAGACTTCAAGCGCTTTGAGGTCAAAGGCAGAAAAGGAAATATCTTCGTATAAAAACCCGACAGAATCATTCTCAGAAACTGCTCTGTGATGTGTGCGTTCAACTCACAGAGTTTAACTTTTCTTTTCATTCAGCAGTTTGGAAACACTCTGTTTGTAAAGTCTGCAAGTGGATATCTTGGCCTCTTAGAGGCCTTCGTTGGAAACGGGTTTTTTCATGTAAGGTTAGACAGAGGAATTCCCAGTAACTTCCTTGTGTTGTGTGCATTCAACTCACAGAGTTGAATGATTCTTTACACAGAGCAGATTTGAGACACTCTTTTGGTGGAATTTGTAAGTGGAGAATTCAGCCGCTTTGAGGTCAACGGTAGAAAAGGAAATATCTTCGTATAAAAACTAGACAGAATGATTCTCAGAAACTGTTTTGTGATGTGTGCGTTCAACTCACAGAGTTTAACCTTTCTTTTCAAAGAGCAGTTAGGAAACACTCTGTTTGTAAAGTCTGCAAGTGGATATTCAGACCTCTTTGAGGCCTTCGTTGGAAACGGGATTTCTTCATATTATGCTAGACAGATGAATTCTCAGTAACTTCCTTGTGTTGTGTGTATTCAACTCACAGAGTTGAACGATCCTTTACACAGAGCAGATTTGAAACACTGTTTTTCTGGAATTTGCAAGTGGAGATTTCAGCCGCTTTGAGGTCAATGGTAGAAAAGGAAATATCTTCGTATAAAAACTAGACAGAATGATTCTCAGAAACTCCTTTGTGATGTGTGCGTTCAACTCACAGAGTTTAACCTTTCTTTTCACAGAGCAGTTAGGAAACACTCTGTTTGTGAAGCCTGCCAGTGGATATTCGGACCTCTTTGAGGCCTTCGTTGGAAACGGGATTTCTTCATATTATGCTAGACAGAAGATTTCTCAGTAACTTCTTTGTGTTGTGTGTATGCAACTCACAGAGTTCAACCTTCCTTTAGACAGAGCAGATTTGAAACACTCTTTTTGTGGAATTTGCAAGTGGAGATTTCAAGCGCTTCGATGCCAATGGTAGAAAAGGAAATATCTTCGTATAAAAAGAAGACAAACTCGTTCCCAGACACTGCGTAGTGATGTGTGTGTTTAACTCACAGAGTTTCACCTTTCTTTTCATACAGCATTCTGGAAACCCTGTGTTTGTAAAGTCTGCAAGTGGATATTTGGACCTCTTAGATGCCTTCGTTGGAAACGGGATTTCTTCATATAATGCTAGAGGGAAGAATTCTTAGTAACTTCTTTGTGTTGTGTGTATTCAACTGACAGAGTTGAACCTTCCTTTAGACAGAGCAGATTTGAAAGTCTCTTTTTGTGGAATTTGCAAGTGGAGATTTCAAGCGCTTTGAGGCCAAAAGCAGAAAAGGAAATATTTTCCTATAAAAACTCGACAGAATATCTTTCTCAGAAACTGCTCTGGGATGTGTGCGTTCAACTCACAGAGTTTAACTTTTCTTTTCATTCAGCAGTTTGGAAACACTCTGTTTGGAAAGTCTGCACGTGGATATTTTGACCTCTTTGAGGCCTTCGTTGGAAACGGGTTTTTTTCATGTAACGCTAGACAGAAGAAATCTCAGTAACTTCCTTGTGTTGTGTGTATTCAACTGACAGAGTTGAACCTTCCTTTAGACAGAGCAGATTCGAAACACTCTTTTTCTGCAATTTGCAAGTGGAGACTTCAAGCGCTTTGAGGCCAAAGGCAGAAAAGGAAATATCTTCGTATAAAAACCCGACAGAATCATTCTCAGAAACTGCTCTGTGATGTGTGCGTTCAACTCACAGAGTTTAACTTTTCTTTTCATTCAGCAGTTTGGAAACACTCTGTTTGTAAAGTCTGCAAGTGGATATCTTGGCCTCTTAGAGGCCTTCGTTGGAAACGGGTTTTTTCATGTAAGGTTAGACAGAGGAATTCCCAGTAACTTCCTTGTGTTGTGTGCATTCAACTCACAGAGTTGAATGATTCTTTACACAGAGCAGATTTGAGACACTCTTTTGGTGGAATTTGTAAGTGGAGAATTCAGCCGCTTTGAGGTCAACGGTAGAAAAGGAAATATCTTCGTATAAAAACTAGACAGAATGATTCTCAGAAACTGTTTTGTGATGTGTGCGTTCAACTCACAGAGTTTAACCTTTCTTTTCAAAGAGCAGTTAGGAAACACTCTGTTTGTAAAGTCTGCAAGTGGATATTCAGACCTCTTTGAGGCCTTCGTTGGAAACGGGATTTCTTCATATTATGCTAGACAGATGAATTCTCAGTAACTTCCTTGTGTTGTGTGTATTCAACTCACAGAGTTGAACGATCCTTTACACAGAGCAGATTTGAAACACTGTTTTTCTGGAATTTGCAAGTGGAGATTTCAGCCGCTTTGAGGTCAATGGTAGAAAAGGAAATATCTTCGTATAAAAACTAGACAGAATGATTCTCAGAAACTCCTTTGTGATGTGTGCGTTCAACTCACAGAGTTTAACCTTTCTTTTCACAGAGCAGTTAGGAAACACTCTGTTTGTGAAGCCTGCCAGTGGATATTCGGACCTCTTTGAGGCCTTCGTTGGAAACGGGATTTCTTCATATTATGATAGACAGAAGATTTCTCAGTAACTTCTTTGTGTTGTGTGTATGCAACTCACAGAGTTCAACCTTCCTTTAGACAGAGCAGATTTGAAACACTCTTTTTGTGGAATTTGCAAGTGGAGATTTCAAGCGCTTCGATGCCAATGGTAGAAAAGGAAATATCTTCGTATAAAAACAAGACAAACTCGTTCCCAGACACTGCGTAGTGATGTGTGTGTTTAACTCACAGAGTTTAACCTTTCTTTTCATACAGCATTCTGGAAACCCTGTGTTTGTAAAGTCTGCAAGTGGATATTTGGACCTCTTAGATGCCTTCGTTGGAAACGGGATTTCTTCATATAATGCTAGAGGGAAGAATTCTTAGTAACTTCTTTGTGTTGTGTGTATTCAACTGACAGAGTTGAACCTTCCTTTAGACAGAGCAGATTTGAAAGTCTCTTTTTGTGGAATTTGCAAGTGGAGATTTCAAGCGCTTTGAGGCCAAAAGCAGAAAAGGAAATATTTTCCTATAAAAACTCGACAGAATCTTTCTCAGAAACTGCTCTGGGATGTGTGCGTTCAACTCACAGAGTTTAACTTTTCTTTTCATTCAGCAGTTTGGAAACACTCTGTTTGGAAAGTCTGCACGTGGATATTTTGACCTCTTTGAGGCCTTCGTTGGAAACGGGTTTTTTTCATGTAAGGCTAGACAGAAGAAATCTCAGTAAATTCCCTTGTGTTGTGTGTATTCAACTGACAGAGTTGAACCTTCCTTTAGACAGAGCAGATTCGAAACACTCTTTTTCTGCAATTTGCAAGTGGAGACTTCAAGCGCTTTGAGGCCAAAGGCAGAAAAGGAAATATCTTCGTATAAAAACCCGACAGAATCATTCTCAGAAACTGCTCTGTGATGTGTGCGTTCAACTCACAGAGTTTAACTTTTCTTTTCATTCAGCAGTTTGGAAACACTCTGTTTGTAAAGTCTGCAAGTGGATATCTTGGCCTCTTAGAGGCCTTCGTTGGAAACGGGTTTTTTCATGTAAGGTTAGACAGAGGAATTCCCAGTAACTTCCCTTGTGTTGTGTGCATTCAACTCACAGAGTTGAATGATTCTTTACACAGAGCAGATTTGAGACACTCTTTTGGTGGAATTTGTAAGTGGAGAATTCAGCCGCTTTGAGGTCAACGGTAGAAAAGGAAATATCTTCGTATAAAAACTAGACAGAATGATTCTCAGAAACTGTTTTGTGATGTGTGCGTTCAACTCACAGAGTTTAACCTTTCTTTTCAAAGAGCAGTTAGGAAACACTCTGTTTGTAAAGTCTGCAAGTGGATATTCAGACCTCTTTGAGGCCTTCGTTGGAAACGGGATTTCTTCATATTATGCTAGACAGATGAATTCTCAGTAACTTCCCTTGTGTTGTGTGTATTCAACTCACAGAGTTGAACGATCCTTTACACAGAGCAGATTTGAAACACTGTTTTTCTGGAATTTGCAAGTGGAGATTTCAGCCGCTTTGAGGTCAATGGTAGAAAAGGAAATATCTTCGTATAAAAACTAGACAGACTCGTTCCCAGACACTGCGTAGTGATGTGTGTGTTTAACTCACAGAGTTTAACCTTTCTTTTCACAGAGCAGTTAGGAAACACTCTGTTTGTGAAGCCTGCCAGTGGATAATCGGACCTCTTTGAGGCCTTCGTTGGAAACGGGATTTCTTCATATTATGCTAGACAGAAGATTTCTCAGTAACTTCTTTGTGTTGTGTGTATGCAACTTACAGAGTTCAACCTTCCTTTAGAGAGAGCATATTTGAAACACTCTTTTTGTGGAATTTGCAAGTGGAGATTTCAAGCGCTTCGATGCAAATGGTAGAAAAGGAAATATCTTCGTAGAAAAACAAGACAAACTCGTTCCCAGACACTGCGTAGTGATGTGTGTGTTTAACTCACAGAGTTTAACCTTTCTTTTCATACAGCATTCTGGAAACCCTGTGTTTGTAAAGTCTGCAAGTGGATATTTGGACCTCTTAGATGCCTTCGTTGGAAACGGGATTTCTTCATATAATGCTAGAGGGAAGAATTCTTAGTAACTTCTTTGTGTTGTGTGTATTCAACTGACAGAGTTGAACCTTCCTTTAGACAGAGCAGATTTGAAAGTCTCTTTTTGTGGAATTTGCAAGTGGAGATTTCAAGCGCTTTGAGGCCAAAAGCAGAAAAGGAAGTATTTTCCTATAAAAACTCGACAGAATCTTTCTCAGAAACTGCTCTGGGACGTGTGCGTTCAACTCACAGAGTTTAACTTTTCTTTTCATTCAGCAGTTTGGAAACACTCTGTTTGGAAAGTCTGCACGTGGATATTTTGACCTCTTTGAGGCCTTTGTTGGAAACGGGTTTTTTTCATGTAAGGCTAGACAGAAGAAATCTCAGTAACTTCCTTGTGTTGTGTGTATTCAACTGACAGAGTTGAACCTTCCTTTAGACAGAGCAGATTCGAAACACTCTTTTTCTGCAATTTGCAAGTGGAGACTTCAAGCGCTTTGAGGCCAAAGGCAGAAAAGGAAATATCTTCGTATAAAAACCCGACAGAATCATTCTCAGAAACTGCTCTGTGATGTGTGCGTTCAACACACAGAGTTTAACTTTTCTTTTCATTCAGCAGTTTGGAAACACTCTGTTTGTAAAGTCTGCAAGGGGATATATTGGCCTCTTAGAGGCCTTCGTTGGAAACGGGTTTTTTTCATGTAAGGTTAGACAGAGGAATTCCCAGTAACTTCCTTGTGTTGTGTGCATTCAACTCACAGAGTTGAATGATTCTTTACACAGAGCAGATTTGAGACACTCTTTTGGTGGAATTTGTAAGTGCAGAATTCAGCCGCTTTGAGGTCAACGGTAGAAAAGGAAATATCTTCGTATAAAAACTAGAAAGAATGATTCTCAGAAACTGTTTTGTGATGTGTGCGTTCAACTCACAGAGTTTAACCTTTCTTTTCAAAGAGCAGTTAGGAAACACTCTGTTTGTAAAGTCTGCAAGTGGATATTCAGACCTCTTTGAAGCCTTCGTTGGAAACGGGATTTCTTCATATTATGCTAGACAGATGAATTCTCAGTAACTTCCTTGTGTTGTGTGTATTCAACTCACAGAGTTGAACGATCCTTTACACAGAGCAGATTTGAAACACTGTTTTTCTGGAATTTGCAAGTGGAGATTTCAGCCGCTTTGAGGTCAATGGTAGAAAAGGAAATATCTTCGTATAAAAACTAGACAGAATGATTCTCAGAAACTCCTTTGTGATGTGTGCGTTCAACTCACAGGGTTTAACCTTTCTTTTCACAGAGCAGTTAGGAAACACTCTGTTTGTGAAGCCTGCCAGTGGATATTCGGACCTCTTTGAGGCCTTCGTTGGAAACGGGATTTCTTCATATTATGCTAGACAGAAGATTTCTCAGTAACTTCTTTGTGTTGTGTGTATGCAACTCACAGAGTTCAACCTTCCTTTAGACAGAGCAGATTTGAAACACTCTTTTTGTGGAATTTGCAAGTGGAGATTTCAAGCGCTTCGATGCCAATGGTAGAAAAGGAAATATCTTCGTATAAAAACAAGACAAACTCGTTCCCAGACACTGCGTAGTGATGTGTGTGTTTAACTCACAGAGTTTCACCTTTCTTTTCATACAGCCTTCTGGAAACCCTCTGTTTGTAAAGTCTGCAAGTGGATATTTGGACCTCTTAGATGCCTTCGTTGCAAACGGGATTTCTTCATATAATGCTAGAGGGAAGAATTCTTAGTAACTTCTTTGTGTTGTGTGTATTCAACTGACAGAGTTGAACCTTCCTTTAGACAGAGCAGATTTGAAAGTCTCTTTTTGTGGAATTTGCAAGTGGAGATTTCAAGCGCTTTGAGGCCAAAAGCAGAAAAGGAAATATTTTCCTATAAAAACTCGACAGAATCTTTCTCAGAAACTGCTCTGGGATGTGTGCGTTCAACTCACAGAGTTTAACTTTTCTTTTCATTCAGCAGTTTGGAAACACTCTGTTTGGAAAGTCTGCACGTGGATATTTTGACCTCTTTGAGGCCTTCGTTGGAAACGGGTTTTTTTCATGTAAGGCTAGACAGAAGAAATCTCAGTAACTTCCTTGTGTTGTGTGTATTCAACTGACAGAGTTGAACCTTCCTTTAGACAGAGCAGATTCAAAACACTCTTTTTCTGCAATTTGCAAGTGGAGACTTCAAGCGCTTTGAGGCCAAAGGCAGAAAAGGAAATATCTTCGTATAAAAACCCGACAGAATCATTCTCAGAAACTGCTCTGTGATGTGTGCGTTCAACTCACAGAGTTTAACTTTTCTTTTCATTCAGCAGTTTGGAAACACTCTGTTTGTAAAGTCTGCAAGTGGATATCTTGGCCTCTTAGAGGCCTTCGTTGGAAGCGGGTTTTTTCATGTAAGGATAGACAGAGGAATTCCCAGTAACTTCCTTGTGTTGTATGCATTCAACTCACAGAGTTGAATGATTCTTTACACAGAGCAGATTTGAGACACTCTTTTGGTGGAATTTGTAAGTGGAGAATTCAGCCGCTTTGAGGTCAACGGTAGAAAAGGAAATATCTTCGTATAAAAACTAGAAAGAATGATTCTCAGAAACTGTTTTGTGATGTGTGCTTTCAACTCACAGAGTTTAACCTTTCTTTTCAAAGAGCAGTTAGGAAACACTCTGTTTGTAAAGTCTGCAAGTGGATATTCAGACCTCTTTGAGGCCTTCGTTGGAAACGGGATTTCTTCATATTATGCTAGACAGATGAATTCTCAGTAACTTCCTTGTGTTGTGTGTATTCAACTCACAGAGTTGAACGATCCTTTACACAGAGCAGATTTGAAACACTGTTTTTCTGGAATTTGCAAGTGGAGATTTCAGCCGCTTTGAGGTCAATGGTAGAAAAGGAAATATCTTCGTATAAAAACTAGACAGAATGATTCTCAGAAACTCCTTTGTGATGTGTGCGTTCAACTCACAGAGTTTAACCTTTCTTTTCACAGAGCAGTTAGGAAACACTCTGTTTGTGAAGCCTGCCAGTGGATATTCGGACCTCTTTGAGGCCTTCGTTGGAAACGGGATTTCTTCATATTATGCTAGACAGAAGATTTCTCAGTAACTTCTTTGTGTTGTGTGTATGCAACTCACAGAGTTCAACCTTCCTTTAGACAGAGCAGATTTGAAACACTCTTTTTGTGGAATTTGCAAGTGGAGATTTCAAGCGCTTCGATGCCAATGGTAGAAAAGGAAATATCTTCGTATAAAAACAAGACAAACTCGTTCCCAGACACTGCGTAGTGATGTGTGTGTTTAACTCACAGAGTTTCACCTTTCTTTTCATACAGCATTCTGGAAACCCTCTGTTTGTAAAGTCTGCAAGTGGATATTTGGACCTCTTAGATGCCTTCGTTGGAAACGGGATTTCTTCATATAATGCTAGAGGGAAGAATTCTTAGTAACTTCTTTGTGTTGTGTGTATTCAACTGACAGAGTTGAACCTTCCTTTAGACAGAGCAGATTTGAAAGTCTCTTTTTGTGGAATTTGCAAGTGGAGATTTCAAGCGCTTTGAGGCCAAAAGCAGAAAAGGAAATATTTTCCTATAAAAACTAGACAGAATCTTTCTCAGAAACTGCTCTGGGATGTGTGCGTTCAACTCACAGAGTTTAACTTTTCTTTTCATTCAGCAGTTTGGAAACACTCTGTTTGGAAAGTCTGCACGTGGATATTTTGACCTCTTTGAGGCCTTCGTTGGAAACGGGTTTTTTTCATGTAAGGCTAGACAGAAGAAATCTCAGTAACTTCCTTGTGTTATGTGTATTCAACTGACAGAGTTGAACCTTCCTTTAGACAGAGCAGATTCGAAACACTCTTTTTCTGCAATTTGCAAGTGGAGACTTCAAGCGCTTTGAGGCCAAAGGCAGAAAAGGAAATATCTTCGTATAAAAACCCGACAGAATCATTCTCAGAAACTGCTCTGTGATGTGTGCGTTCAACTCACAGAGTTTAACTTTTCTTTTCATTCAGCAGTTTGGAAACACTCTGTTTGTAAAGTCTGCAAGTGGATATCTTGGCCTCTTAGAGGCCTTCGTTGGAAACGGGTTTTTTCATGTAAGGTTAGACAGAGGAATTCCCAGTAACTTCCTTGTGTTGTGTGCATTCAACTCACAGAGTTGAATGATTCTTTACACAGAGCAGATTTGAGACACTCTTTTGGTGGAATTTGTAAGTGGAGAATTCAGCCGCTTTGAGGTCAACGGTAGAAAAGGAAATATCTTCGTATAAAAACTAGACAGAATGATTCTCAGAAACTGTTTTGTGATGTGTGCGTTCAACTCACAGAGTTTAACCTTTCTTTTCAAAGAGCAGTTAGGAAACACTCTGTTTGTAAAGTCTGCAAGTGGATATTCAGACCTCTTTGAGGCCTTCGTTGGAAACGGGATTTCTTCATATTATGCTAGACAGATGAATTCTCAGTAACTTCCTTGTGTTGTGTGTATTCAACTCACAGAGTTGAACGATCCTTTACACAGAGCAGATTTGAAACACTGTTTTTCTGGAATTTGCAAGTGGAGATTTCAGCCGCTTTGAGGTCAATGGTAGAAAAGGAAATATCTTCGTATAAAAACTAGACAGAATGATTCTCAGAAACTCCTTTGTGATGTGTGCGTTCAACTCACAGAGTTTAACCTTTCTTTTCACAGAGCAGTTAGGAAACACTCTGTTTGTGAAGCCTGCCAGTGGATATTCGGACCTCTTTGAGGCCTTCGTTGGAAACGGGATTTCTTCATATTATGCTAGACAGAAGATTTCTCAGTAACTTCTTTGTGTTGTGTGTATGCAACTTACAGAGTTCAACCTTCCTTTAGAGAGAGCATATTTGAAACACTCTTTTTGTGGAATTTGCAAGTGGAGATTTCAAGCGCTTCGATGCAAATGGTAGAAAAGGAAATATCTTCGTATAAAAACAAGACAAACTCGTTCCCAGACACTGCGTAGTGATGTGTGTGTTTAACTCACAGAGTTTAACCTTTCTTTTCATACAGCATTCTGGAAACCCTGTGTTTGTAAAGTCTGCAAGTGGATATTTGGACCTTTTAGATGCCTTCGTTGGAAACGGGATTTCTTCATATAATGCTAGAGGGAAGAATTCTTAGTAACTTCTTTGTGTTGTGTGTATTCAACTGACAGAGTTGAACCTTCCTTTAGACAGAGCAGATTTGAAAGTCTCTTTTTGTGGAATTTGCAAGTGGAGATTTCAAGCGCTTTGAGGTCAAAAGCAGAAAAGGAAATATTTTCCTATAAAAACTCGACAGAATCTTTCTCAGAAACTGCTCTGGGATGTGTGCGTTCAACTCACAGAGTTTAACTTTTCTTTTCATTCAGCAGTTTGGAAACACTCTGTTTGGAAAGTCTGCACGTGGATATTTTGACCTCTTTGAGGCCTTCGTTGGAAACGGGTTTTTTTCATGTAAGGCTAGACAGAAGAAATCTCAGTAACTTCCTTGTGTTGTGTGTATTCAACTGACAGAGTTGAACCTTCCTTTAGACAGAGCAGATTCGAAACACTCTTTTTCTGCAATTTGCAAGTGGAAACTTCAAGCGCTTTGAGGCCAAAGGCAGAAAAGGAAATATCTTCGTATAAAAACCCGACAGAATCACTCTCAGAAACTGCTCTGTGATGTGTGCGTTCAACTCACAGAGTTTAACTTTTCTTTTCATTCAGCAGTTTGGAAACACTCTGTTTGTAAAGTCTGCAAGTGGATATCTTGGCCTCTTAGAGGCCTTCGTTGGAAACGGGTTTTTTCATGTAAGGTTAGACAGAGGAATTCCCAGTAACTTCCTTGTGTTGTGTGCATTCAACTCACAGAGTTGAATGATTCTTTACACAGAGCAGATTTGAGACACTCTTTTGGTGGAATTTGTAAGTGGAGAATTCAGCCGCTTTGAGGTCAACGGTAGAAAAGGAAATATCTTCGTATAAAAACTAGACAGAATGATTCTCAGAAACTGTTTTGTGATGTGTGAGTTCAACTCACAGAGTTTAACCTTTCTTTTCAAAGAGCAGTTAGGAAACACTCTGTTTGTAAAGTCTGCAAGTGGATATTCAGACCTCTTTGAGGCCTTCGTTGGAAACGGGATTTCTTCATATTATGCTAGACAGATGAATTCTCAGTAACTTCCTTGTGTTGTGTGTATTCAACTCACAGAGTTGAACGATCCTTTACACAGAGCAGATTTGAAACACTGTTTTTCTGGAATTTGCAAGTGGAGATTTCAGCCGCTTTGAGGTCAATGGTAGAAAAGGAAATATCTTCGTATAAAAACTAGACAGAATGATTCTCAGAAACTCCTTTGTGATGTGTGCGTTCAACTCACAGAGTTTAACCTTTCTTTTCACAGAGCAGTTAGGAAACACTCTGTTTGTGAAGCCTGCCAGTGGATATTCGGACCTCTTTGAGGCCTTCGTTGGAAACGGGATTTCTTCATATTATGCTAGACAGAAGATTTCTCAGTAACTTCTTTGTGTTGTGTGTATGCAACTCACAGAGTTCAACCTTCCTTTAGACAGAGCAGATTTGAAACACTCTTTTTGTGGAATTTGCAAGTGGAGATTTCAAGCGCTTCGATGCCAATGGTAGAAAAGGAAATATCTTCGTATAAAAACAAGACAAACTCGTTCCCAGACACTGCGTAGTGATGTGTGTGTTTAACTCACAGAGTTTCACCTTTCTTTTCATACAGCATTCTGGAAACCCTCTGTTTGTAAAGTCTGCAAGTGGATATTTGGACCTCTTAGATGCCTTCGTTGGAAACGGGATTTCTTCATATAATGCTAGAGGGAAGAATTCTTAGTAACTTCTTTGTGTTGTGTGTATTCAACTGACAGAGTTGAACCTTCCTTTAGACAGAGCAGATTTGAAAGTCTCTTTTTGTGGAATTTGCAAGTGGAGATTTCAAGCGCTTTGAGGCCAAAAGCAGAAAAGGAAATATTTTCCTATAAAAACTAGACAGAATCTTTCTCAGAAACTGCTCTGGGATGTGTGCGTTCAACTCACAGAGTTTAACTTTTCTTTTCATTCAGCAGTTTGGAAACACTCTGTTTGGAAAGTCTGCACGTGGATATTTTGACCTCTTTGAGGCCTTCGTTGGAAACGGGTTTTTTTCATGTAAGGCTATACAGAAGAAATCTCAGTAACTTCCTTGTGTTGTGGGTATTCAACAGACAGAGATGAACCTTCCTTTAGACAGAGCAGATTCGAAACACTCTTATTCTGCAATTTGTAAGTGGAGACTTCAAGCGCTTTGAGGCCAAAGGCAGAAAAGGAAATATCTTCGTATAAAAACCAGACAGAATCACTCTCAGAAACTGCTGTGTGATGTGTGCGTTCAACTCACAGAGTTTAACTTTTCTTTTCATTCAGCAGTTTGGAAACACTCTGTAAAGTCTGCAAGTGGATATCTTGGCCTCTTAGAGGCCTTCGTTGGAAACGCGTTTTTTCATGTAAGGTTAGACAGAGGAATTCCCAGTAACTTCCTTGTGTTGTGTGCATTCAACTCACAGAGTTGAATGATTCTTTACACAGAGCAGATTTGAGACACTCTTTTGGTGGAATTTGTAAGTGGAGAATTCAGCCGCTTTGAGGTCAACGGTAGAAAAGGAAATATCTTCGTATAAAAACTAGAAAGAATGATTCTCAGAAACTGTTTTGTGATGTGTGCGTTCAACTCACAGAGTTTAACCTTTCTTTTCAAAGAGCAGTTAGGAAACACTCTGTTTGTAAAGTCTGCAAGTGGATATTCAGACCTCTTTGAGGCCTTCGTTGGAAACGGGATTTCTTCATATTATGCTAGACAGATGAATTCTCAGTAACTTCCTTGTGTTGTGTGTATTCAACTCACAGAGTTAAACGATCCTTTACACAGAGCAGATTTGAAACACTGTTTTTCTGGAATTTGCAAGTGGAGATTTCAGCCGCTTTGAGGTCAATGGTAGAAAAGGAAATATCTTCGTATAAAAACTAGACAGAATGATTCTCAGAAACTCCTTTGTGATGTGTGCGTTCAACTCACAGAGTTTAACCTTTCTTTTCACAGAGCAGTTAGGAAACACTCTGTTTGTGAAGCCTGCCAGTGGATATTCGGACCTCTTTGAGGCCTTCGTTGGAAACGGGATTTCTTCATATTATGCTAGACAGAAGATTTCTCAGTAACTTCTTTGTGTTGTGTGTATGCAACTCACAGAGTTCAACCTTCCTTTAGACAGAGCAGATTTGAAACACTCTTTTTGTGGAATTTGCAAGTGGAGATTTCAAGCGCTTCGATGCCAATGGTAGAAAAGGAAATATCTTCGTATAAAAACAAGACAAACTCGTTCCCAGACACTGCGTAGTGATGTGTGTGTTTAACTCACAGAGTTTAACCTTTCTTTTCATACAGCATTCTGGGAACCCTCTGTTTGTAAAGTCTGCAAGTGGATATTTGGACCTCTTAGATGCCTTCGTTGGAAACGGGATTTCTTCATATAATGCTAGAGGGAAGAATTCTTAGTAACTTCTTTGTGTTGTGTGTATTCAACTGACAGAGTTGAACCTTCCTTTAGACAGAGCAGATTTGAAAGTCTCTTTTTGTGGAATTTGCAAGTGGAGATTTCAAGCGCTTTGAGGCCAAAAGCAGAAAAGGAAATATTTTCCTATAAAAACTAGAGAGAATCATTCTCAGAAACTGCTCTGTGATGTGTGTGTTCAACTCACAGAGTTTAACTTTCTTTTCATTCAGCAGTTTGGAAACACTCTGTTTGGAAAGTCTGCACGTGGATATTTTGACCTCTTTGAGGCCTTCGTTGGAAACGGGTTTTTTTCATGTAAGGCTAGACAGAAGAAATCTCAGTAACTTCCTTGTGTTGTGTGTATTCAACTGACAGAGTTGAACCTTCCTTTAGACAGAGCAGATTCGAAACACTCTTTTTCTGCAATTTGCAAGTGGAGACTTCAAGCGCTTTGAGGCCAAAGGCAGAAAAGGAAATATCTTCGTATAAAAACCCGACAGAATAATTCTCAGAAACTGCTCTGTGATGTGTGCGTTCAACTCACAGAGTTTAACTTTTCTTTTCATTCAGCAGTTTGGAAACACTCTGTTTGTAAAGTCTGCAAGTGGATATCTTGGCCTCTTAGAGGCCTTCGTTGGAAACGGGTTTTTTCATGTAAGGTTAGACAGAGGAATTCCCAGTAACTTCCTTGTGTTGTGTGCATTCAACTCACAGAGCTGAATGATTCTTTACACAGAGCAGATTTGAGACACTCTTTTGGTGGAATTTGTTAGTGGAGAATTCAGCCGCTTTGAGGTCAACGGTAGAAAAGGAAATATCTTCGTATAAAAACTAGACAGAATGATTCTCAGAAACTGTTTTGTGATGTGTGCGTTCAACTCACAGAGTTTAACCTTTCTTTTCAAAGAGCAGTTAGGAAACACTCTGTTTGTAAAGTCTGCAAGTGGATATTCAGACCTCTTTGAGGCCTTCGTTGGAAACGGGATTTCTTCATATTATGCTAGACAGATGAATTCTCAGTAACTTCCTTGTGTTGTGTGTATTCAACTCACAGAGTTGAACGATCCTTTACACAGAGCAGATTTGAAACACTGTTTTTCTGGAATTTGCAAGTGGAGATTTCAGCCGCTTTGAGGTCAATGGTAGAAAAAGAAATATCTTCGTATAAAAACTAGACAGAATGATTCTCAGAAACTCCTTTGTGATGTGTGCGTTCAACTCACAGAGTTTAACCTTTCTTTTCACAGAGCAGTTAGGAAACACTCTGTTTGTGAAGCCTGCCAGTGGATATTCGGACCTCTTTGAGGCCTTCGTTGGAAACGGGATTTCTTCATATTATGCTAGACAGAAGATTTCTCAGTAACTTCTTTGTGTTGTGTGTATGCAACTCACAGAGTTCAACCTTCCTTTAGACAGAGCAGATTTGAAACACTCTTTTTGTGGAATTTGCAAGTGGAGATTTCAAGCGCTTCGATGCCAATGGTAGAAAAGGAAATATCTTCGTATAAAAACAAGACAAACTCGTTCCCAGACACTGCGTAGTGATGTGTGTGTTTAACTCACAGAGTTTAACCTTTCTTTTCATACAGCATTCTGGAAACCCTGTGTTTGTAAAGTCTGCAAGTGGATATTTGGACCTCCTAGATGCCTTCGTTGGAAACGGGATTTCTTCATATAATGCTAGAGGGAAGAATTCTTAGTAACTTCTTTGTGTTGTGTGTATTCAACTGACAGAGTTGAACCTTCCTTTAGACAGAGCAGATTTGAAAGTCTCTTTTTGTGGAATTTGCAAGTGGAGATTTCAAGCGCTTTGAGGCCAAAAGCAGAAAAGGAAATATTTTCCTATAAAAACTCGACAGAATCTTTCTCAGAAACTGCTCTGGGATGTGTGCGTTCAACTCACAGAGTTTAACTTTTCTTTTCATTCAGCAGTTTGGAAACACTCTGTATGGAAAGTCTGCACGTGGATATTTTGACCTCTTTGAGGCCTTCGTTGGAAACGGGTTTTTTTCATGTAAGGCTAGACAGAGAAAATCTCAGTAACTTCCTTGTGTTGTGTGTATTCAACTGACAGAGTTGAACCTTCCTTTAGACAGAGCAGATTCGAAACACTCTTTTTCTGCAATTTGCAAGTGGAGACTTCAAGCGCTTTGAGGCCAAAGGCAGAAAAGGAAATATCTTCGTATAAAAACCCGACAGAATCATTCTCAGAAACTGCTCTGTGATGTGTGCGTTCAACTCACAGAGTTTAACTTTTCTTTTCATTCAGCAGTTTGGAAACACTCTGTTTGTAAAGTCTGCAAGTGGATATCTTGGCCTCTTAGAGGCCTTCGTTGGAAACGGGTTTTTTCATGTAAGGTTAGACAGAGGAATTCCCAGTAACTTCCTTGTGTTGTGTGCATTCAACTCACAGAGTTGAATGATTCTTTACACAGAGCAGATTTGAGACACTCTTTTGGTGGAATTTGTAAGTGGAGAATTCAGCCGCTTTGAGGTCAACGGTAGAAAAGGAAATATCTTCGTATAAAAACTAGACAGAATGATTCTCAGAAACTGTTTTGTGATGTGTGCGTTCAACTCACAGAGTTTAACCTTTCTTTTCAAAGAGCAGTTAGGAAACACTCTGTTTGTAAAGTCTGCAAGTGGATATTCAGACCTCTTTGAGGCCTTCGTTGGAAACGGGATTTCTTCATATTATGCTAGACAGATGAATTCTCAGTAACTTCCTTGTGTTGTGTGTATTCAACTCACAGAGTTGAACGATCCTTTACACAGAGCAGATTTGAAACACTGTTTTTCTGGAATTTGCAAGTGGAGATTTCAGCCGCTTTGAGGTCAATGGTAGAAAAGGAAATATCTTCGTATAAAAACTAGACAGATAATGATTCTCAGAAACTCCTTTGTGATGTGTGCGTTCAACTCACAGAGTTTAACCTTTCTTTTCACAGAGCAGTTAGGAAACACTCTGTTTGTGAAGCCTGCCAGTGGATATTCAGACCTCTTTGAGGCCTTCGTTGGAAACGGGATTTCTTCATATTATGCTAGACAGAAGATTTCTCAGTAACTTCTTTGTGTTGTGTGTATACAACTCACAGAGTTCAACCTTCCTTTAGACAGCGCAGATTTGAAACACTCTTTTTGTGGAATTTGCAAGTGGAGATTTCAAGCGCTTCGATGCCAATGGTAGAAAAGGAAATATCTTCGTATAAAAACAAGACAAACTCGTTCCCAGACACTGCGTAGTGATGTGTGTGTTTAACTCACAGAGTTTAACCTTTCTTTTCATACAGCATTCTGGAAACCCTCTGTTTGTAAAGTCTGCAAGTGGATATTTGGACCTCTTAGATGCCTTCGTTGGAAACGGGATTTCTTCATATAATGCTAGAGGGAAGAATTCTTAGTAACTTCTTTGTGTTGTGTGTATTCAACTGACAGAGTTGAACCTTCCTTTAGACAGAGCAGATTTGAAAATCTCTTTTTGTGGAATTTGCAAGTGGAGATTTCAAGCGCTTTGAGGCCAAAAGCAGAAAAGGAAATATTTTCCTATAAAAACTCGACAGAATCTTTCTCAGAAACTGCTCTGGGATGTGTGCGTTCAACTCACAGAGTTTAACTTTTCTTTTCATTCAGCAGTTTGGAAACACTCTGTTTGGAAAGTCTGCACGTGGATATTTTGACCTCTTTGAGGCCTTCGTTGGAAACGGGTTTTTTTCATGTAAGGCTAGACAGAAGAAATCTCAGTAACTTCCTTGTGTTGTGTGTATTCAACTGACAGAGTTGAACCTTCCTTTAGACAGAGCAGATTCGAAACACTCTTTTTCTGCAATTTGCAAGTGGAGACTTCAAGCGCTTTGAGGCCAAAGGCAGAAAAGGAAATATCTTCGTATAAAAACCCGACAGAATCATTCTCAGAAACTGCTCTGTGATGTGTGCGTTCAACTCACAGAGTTTAACTTTTCTTTTCATTCAGCAGTTTGGAAACACTCTGCTTGTAAAGTCTGCAAGTGGATATCTTGGCCTCTTAGAGGCCTTCGTTGGAAACGGGTTTTTTCATGTAAGGTTAGACAGAGGAATTCCCGGTAACTTCCTTGTGTTGTGTGCATTCAACTCACAGAGTTGAATGATTCTTTACACAGAGCAGATTTGAGACACTCTTTTGGTGGAATTTGTTAGTGGAGAATTCAGCCGCTTTGAGGTCAACGGTAGAAAAGGAAATATCTTCGTATAAAAACTAGACAGAATGATTCTCAGAAACTGTTTTGTGATGTGTGCGTTCAACTCACAGAGTTTAACCTTTCTTTTCAAAGAGCAGTTAGGAAACACTCTGTTTGTAAAGTCTGCAAGTGGATATTCAGACCTCTTTGAGGCCTTCGTTGGAAACGGGATTTCTTCATATTATGCTAGACAGATGAATTCTCAGTAACTTCCTTGTGTTGTGTGTATTCAACTCACAGAGTTGAACGATCCTTTACACAGAGCAGATTTGAAACACTGTTTTTCTGGAATTTGCAAGTGGAGATGTCAGCCGCTTTGAGGTCAATGGTAGAAAAGGAAATATCTTCGTATAAAAACTAGACAGAATGATTCTCAGAAACTCCTTTGTGATGTGTGCGTTCAACTCACAGAGTTTAACCTTTCTTTTCATACAGCATTCTGGAAACCCTCTGTTTGTAAAGTCTGCAAGTGGATATTTGGACCTCTTAGATGCCTTCGTTGGAAACGGGATTTCTTCATATAATGCTAGAGGGAAGAATTCTTAGTAACTTCTTTGTGTTGTGTGTATTCAACTGACAGAGTTGAACCTTCCTTTAGACAGAGCAGATTTGAAAGTCTCTTTTTGTGGAATTTGCAAGTGGAGATTTCAAGCGCTTTGAGGCCAAAAGCAGAAAAGGAAATATTTTCCTATAAAAACTCGACAGAATCTTTCTCAGAAACTGCTCTGGGATGTGTGCGTTCAACTCACAGAGTTTAACTTTTCTTTTCATTCAGCAGTTTGGAAACACTCTGTTTGGAAAGTCTGCACGTGGATATTTTGACCTCTTTGAGGCCTTCGTTGGAAACGGGTTTTTTTCATGTAAGGCTAGACAGAAGAAATCTCAGTAACTTCCTTGTGTTGTGTGTATTCAACTGACAGAGTTGAACCTTCCTTTAGACAGAGCAGATTCGAAACACTCTTTTTCTGCAATTTGCAAGTGGAGACTTCAAGCGCTTTGAGGCCAAAGGCAGAAAAGGAAATATCTTCGTATAAAAACCCGACAGAATCATTCTCAGAAACTGCTCTGTGATGTGTGCATTCAACTCACAGAGTTTAACTTTTCTTTTCATTCAGCAGTTTGGAAACACTCTGTTTGTAAAGTCTGCAAGTGGATATCTTGGCCTCTTAGAGGCCTTCGTTGGAAACGGGTTTTTTCATGTAAGGATAGACAGAGGAATTCCCAGTAACTTCCTTGTGTTGTGTGCATTCAACTCACAGAGTTGAACGATTCTTTACACAGAGCAGATTTGAGACACTCTTTTGGTGGAATTTGTAAGTGGAGAATTCAGCCGCTTTGAGGTCAACGGTAGAAAAGGAAATATCTTCGTATAAAAACTAGACAGAATGATTCTCAGAAACTGTTTTGTGATGTGTGCGTTCAACTCACAGAGTTTAACCTTTCTTTTCAGAGAGCAGTTAGGAAACACTCTGTAAAGTCTGCAAGTGGATATTCAGACCTCTTTGAGGCCTTCGTTGGAAACGGGATTTCTTCATATTATGCTAGACAGATGAATTCTCAGTAACTTCCTTGTGTTGTGTGTATTCAACTCACAGAGTTGAACGATCCTTTACACAGAGCAGATTTGAAACACTGTTTTTCTGGAATTTGCAAGTGGAGATTTCAGCCGCTTTGAGGTCAATGGTAGAAAAGGAAATATCTTCGTATAAAAACTAGACAGAATGATTCTCAGAAACTCCTTTGTGACGTGTGCGTTCAACTCACAGAGTTTAACCTTTCTTTTCACAGAGCAGTTAGGAAACACTCTGTTTGTGAAGCCTGCCAGTGGATATTCGGACCTCTTTGAGGCCTTCGTTGGAAACGGGATTTCTTCATATTATGCTAGACAGAAGATTTCTCAGTAACTTCTTTGTGTTGTGTGTATGCAACTCACAGAGTTCAACCTTCCTTTAGACAGAGCAGATTTGAAACACTCTTTTTGTGGAATTTGCAAGTGGAGATTTCAAGCGCTTCGATGCCAATGGTAGAAAAGGAAATATCTTCGTATAAAAACAAGACAAACTCGTTCCCAGACACTGCGTAGTGATGTGTGTGTTTAACTCACAGAGTTTAACCTTTCTTTTCATACAGCATTCTGGGAACCCTCTGTTTGTAAAGTCTGCAAGTGGATATTTGGACCTCTTAGATGCCTTCGTTGGAAACGGGATTTCTTCATATAATGCTAGAGGGAAGAATTCTTAGTAACTTCTTTGTGTTGTGTGTATTCAACTGACAGAGTTGAACCTTCCTTTAGACAGAGCAGATTTGAAAGTCTCTTTTTGTGGAATTTGCAAGTGGAGATTTCAAGCGCTTTGAGGCCAAAAGCAGAAAAGGAAATATTTTCCTATAAAAACTAGACAGAATCTTTCTCAGAAACTGCTCTGGGATGTGTGCGTTCAACTCACAGAGTTTAACTTTTCTTTTCATTCAGCAGTTTGGAAACACTCTGTTTGGAAAGTCTGCACGTGGATATTTTGACCTCTTTGAGGCCTTCGTTGGAAACGGGTTTTTTTCATGTAAGGCTAGACAGAAGAAATCTCAGTAACTTCCTTGTGTTGTGTGTATTCAACTGACAGAGTTGAACCTTCCTTTAGACAGAGCAGATTCGAAACACTCTTTTTCTGCAATTTGCAAGTGGAGACTTCAAGCGCTTTGAGGCCAAAGGCAGAAAAGGAAATATCTTCGTATAAAAACCCGACAGAATCATTCTCAGAAACTGCTCTGTGATGTGTGCGTTCAACTCACAGAGTTTAACTTTTCTTTTCATTCAGCAGTTTGGAAACACTCTGTTTGTAAAGTCTGCAAGTGGATATCTTGGCCTCTTAGAGGCCTTCGTTGGAAACGGGTTTTTTCATGTAAGGTTAGACAGAGGAATTCCCACTAACTTCCTTGTGTTGTGTGCATTCAACTCACAGAGTTGAATGATTCTTTACACAGAGCAGATTTGAGACACTCTTTTGGTGGAATTTGTAAGTGGAGAATTCAGCCGCTTTGATGTCAACGGTAGAAAAGGAAATATCTTCGTATAAAAACTAGACAGAATGATTCTCAGAAACTGTTTTGTGATGTGTGCGTTCAACTCACAGAGTTTAACCTTTCTTTTCAAAGAGCAGTTAGGAAACACTCTGTTTGTAAAGTCTGCAAGTGGATATTCAGACCTCTTTGAGGCCTTCGTTGGAAACGGGATTTCTTCATATTATGCTAGACAGATGAATTCTCAGTAACTTCCTTGTGTTGTGTGTATTCAACTCACAGAGTTGAACGATCCTTTACACAGAGCAGATTTGAAACACTGTTTTTCTGGAATTTGCAAGTGGAGATGTCAGCCGCTTTGAGGTCAATGGTAGAAAAGGAAATATCTTCGTATAAAAACTAGACAGAATGATTCTCAGAAACTCCTTTGTGATGTGTGCGTTCAACTCACAGAGTTTAACCTTTCTTTTCACAGAGCAGTTAGGAAACACTCTGTTTGTGAAGCCTGCCAGTGGATATTCGGACCTCTTTGAGGCCTTCGTTGGAAACGGGATTTCTTCATATTATGCTAGACAGAAGATTTCTCAGTAACTTCTTCGGGTTGTGTGTATGCAACTCACAGAGTTCAACCTTCCTTTAGACAGAGCAGATTTGAAACACTCTTTTTGTGGAATTTGCAAGTGGAGATTTCAAGCGCTTCGATGCCAATGGTAGAAAAGGAAATATCCTTCGTATAAAAACAAGACAAACTCGTTCCCAGAACACTGCGTAGTGATGTGTGTGTTTAACTCACAGAGTTTAACCTTTCTTTTCATACAGCATTCTGGAAACCCTCTGTTTGTAAAGTCTGCAAGTGGTTATTTGGACCTCTTAGATGCCTTCGTTGGAAACGGGATTTCTTCATATAATGCTAGAGGGAAGAATTCTTAGTAACTTCTTTGTGTTGTGTGTATTCAACTGACAGAGTTGAACCTTCCTTTAGACAGAGCAGATTTGAAAGTCTCTTTTTGTGGAATTTGCAAGTGGAGATTTCAAGCGCTTTGAGGCCAAAAGCAGAAAAGGAAATATTTTCCTATAAAAACTAGACAGAATCATTCTCAGAAACTGCTCTGTGATGTGTGTGTTCAACTCACAGAGTTTAACTTTCTTTTCATTCAGCAGTTTGGAAACACTCTGTTTGGAAAGTCTGCACGTGGATATTTTGACCTCTTTGAGGCCTTCGTTGGAAACGGGTTTTTTTCATGTAAGGCTAGACAGAAGAAATCTCAGTAACTTCCTTGTGTTGTGTGTATTCAACTGACAGAGTTGAACCTTCCTTTAGACAGAGCAGATTCGAAACACTCTTTTTCTGCAATTTGCAAGTGGAGACTTCAAGCGCTTTGAGGCCAAAGGCAGAAAAGGAAATATCTTCGTATAAAAACCCGACAGAGTCATTGTCAGAAACTGCTCTGTGATGTGTGCGTTCAACTCACAGAGTTTAACTTTTCTTTTCATTCAGCAGTTTGGAAACACTCTGTTTGTAAAGTCTGCAAGTGGATATCTTGGCCTCTTAGAGGCCTTCGTTGGAAACGGGTTTTTTCATGTAAGGTTAGACAGAGGAATTCCCAGTAACTTCCTTGTGTTGTGTGCATTCAACTCACAGAGTTGAATGATTCTTTACACAGAGCAGATTTGAGACACTCTTTTGGTGGAATTTGTTAGTGGAGAATTCAGCCGCTTTGAGGTCAACGGTAGAAAAGGAAATATCTTCGTATAAAAACTAGACAGAATGATTCTCAGAAACTGTTTTGTGATGTGTGCGTTCAACTCACAGAGTTTAACCTTTCTTTTCAAAGAGCAGTTAGGAAACACTCTGTTTGTAAAGTCTGCAAGCGGATATTCAGACCTCTTTGAGGCCTTCGTTGGAAACGGGATTTCTTCATATTATGCTAGACAGAAGAATTCTCAGTAACGTCCTTGTGTTGTGTGTATTCAACTCACAGAGTTGAACGATCCTTTACACAGAGCAGATTTGAAACACTGTTTTTCTGGAATTTGCAAGTGGAGATTTCAGCCGCTTTGAGGTCAATGGTAGAAAAGGAAATATCTTCGTATAAAAACTAGACAGAATGATTCTCAGAAACTCCTTTGTGATGTGTGCGTTCAACTCACAGAGTTTAACCTTTCTTTTCACAGAGCAGTTAGGAAACACTCTGTTTGTGAAGCCTGCCAGTGGATATTCGGACCTCTTTGAGGCCTTCGTTGGAAACGGGATTTCTTCATATTATGCTCGACAGAAGATTTCTCAGTAACTTCTTTGTGTTGTGTGTATGCAACTCACAGAGTTCAACCTTCCTTTAGACAGAGCAGATTTGAAACACTCTTTTTGTGGAATTTGCAAGTGGAGATTTCAAGCGCTTCGATGCCAATGGTAGAAAAGGAAATATCTTCGTATAAAAACAAGACAAACTCGTTCCCAGACACTGCGTAGTGATGTGTGTGTTTAACTCACAGAGTTTAACCTTTCTTTTCATACAGCATTCTGGAAACCCTCTGTTTGTAAAGTCTGCAAGTGGATATTTGGACCTCTTAGATGCCTTCGTTGGAAACGGGATTTCTTCATATAATGCTAGAGGGAAGAATTCTTAGTAACTTCTTTGTGTTGTGTGTATTCAACTGACAGAGTTGAACCTTCCTTTAGACAGAGCAGATTTGAAAGTCTCTTTTTGTGGAATTTGCAAGTGGAGATTTCAAGCGCTTTGAGGCCAAAAGCAGAAAAGGAAATGTTTTCCTATAAAAACTAGACAGAATCTTTCTCAGAAACTGCTCTGGGATGTGTGCGTTCAACTCACAGAGTTTAACTTTTCTTTTCATTCAGCAGTTTGGAAACACTCTGTTTGGAAAGTCTGCACGTGGATATTTTGACCTCTTTGAGGCCTTCATTGGAAACGGGTTTTTTTCATGTAACGCTAGACAGAAGAAATCTCAGTAACTTCCTTGTGTTGTGTGTATTCAACTGACAGAGTTGAACCTTCTTTTAGACAGAGCAGATTCGAAACACTCTTTTTCTGCAATTTGCAAGTGGAGACTTCAAGCGCTTTGAGGCCAAAGGCAGAAAAGGAAATATCTTCGTATAAAAACCCGACAGAATCATTCTCAGAAACTGCTCTGTGATGTGTGCGTTCAACTCACAGAGTTTAACTTTTCTTTTCATTCAGCAGTTTGGAAACACTCTGTTTGTAAAGTCTGCAAGTGGATATCTTGGCCTCTTAGAGGCCTTCATTGGAAACGGGTTTTTTCATGTAAGGTTAGACAGAGGAATTCCCAGTAACTTCCTTGTGTTGTGTGCATTCAACTCACAGAGTTGAATGATTCTTTACACAGAGCAGATTTGAGACACTCTTTTGGTGGAATTTGTAAGTGGAGAATTCAGCCGCTTTGAGGTCAACGGTAGAAAAGGAAATATCTTCGTATAAAAACTAGACAGAATGATTCTCAGAAACTGTTTTGTGATGTGTGCGTTCAACTCACAGAGTTTAACCTTTCTTTTCAAAGAGCAGTTAGGAAACACTCTGTTTGTAAAGTCTGCAAGTGGATATTCAGACCTCTTTGAGGCCTTCGTTGGAAACGGGATTTCTTCATATTATGCTAGACAGATGAATTCTCAGTAACTTCCTTGTGTTGTGTGTATTCAACTCACAGAGTTGAACGATCCTTTACACAGAGCAGATTTGAAACACTGTTTTTCTGGAATTTGCAAGTGGAGATTTCAGCCGCTTTGAGGTCAATGGTAGAAAAGGAAATATCTTCGTATAAAAACTAGACAGAATGATTCTCAGAAACTCCTTTGTGATGTGTGCGTTCAACTCACAGAGTTTAACCTTTCTTTTCACAGAGCAGTTAGGAAACACTCTGTTTGTGAAGCCTGCCAGTGGATATTCGGACCTCTTTGAGGCCTTCGTTGGAAACGGGATTTCTTCATATTATGCTAGACAGAAGATTTCTCAGTAACTTCTTTGTGTTGTGTGTATGCAACTCACAGAGTTCAACCTTCCTTTAGACAGAGCAGATTTGAAACACTCTTTTTGTGGAATTTGCAAGTGGAGATTTCAAGCGCTTCGATGCCAATGGTAGAAAAGGAAATATCTTCGTATAAAAACAAGACAAACTCGTTCCCAGACACTGCGTAGTGATGTGTGTGTTTAACTCACAGAGTTTAACCTTTCTTTTCATACAGCATTCTGGAAACCCTGTGTTTGTAAAGTCTGCAAGTGGATATTTGGACCTCTTAGATGCCTTCGTTGGAAACGGGATTTCTTCATATAATGCTAGAGGGAAGAATTCTTAGTAACTTCTTTGTGTTGTGTGTATTCAACTGACAGAGTTGAACCTTCCTTTAGACAGAGCAGATTTGAAAGTCTCTTTTTGTGGAATTTGCAAGTGGAGATTTCAAGCGCTTTGAGGCCAAAAGCAGAAAAGGAAATATTTTCCTATAAAAACTAGACAGAATCATTCTCAGAAACTGCTCTGTGATGTGTGTGTTCAACTCACAGAGTTTAACTTTCTTTTCATTCAGCAGTTTGGAAACACTCTGTTTGGAAAGTCTGCACGTGGATATTTTGACCTCTTTGAGGCCTTCGTTGGAAACGGGTTTTTTTCATGTAAGGCTAGACAGAAGAAATCTCAGTAACTTCCTTGTGTTGTGTGTATTCAACTGACAGAGTTGAACCTTCCTTTAGACAGAGCAGATTCGAAACACTCTTTTTCTGCAATTTGCAAGTGGAGACTTCAAGCGCTTTGAGGCCAAAGGCAGAAAAGGAAATATCTTCGTATAAAAACCCGACAGAATCATTCTCAGAAACTGCTCTGTGATGTGTGCGTTCAACTCACAGAGTTTAACTTTTCTTTTCATTCAGCAGTTTGGAAACACTCTGTTTGTAAAGTCTGCAAGTGGATATCTTGGCCTCTTAGAGGCCTTCGTTGGAAACGGGTTTTTTCATGTAAGGTTAGACAGAGGAATTCCCAGTAACTTCCTTGTGTTGTGTGCATTCAACTCACAGAGTTGAATGATTCTTTACACAGAGCAGATTTGAGACACTCTTTTGGTGGAATTTGTAAGTGGAGAATTCAGCCGCTTTGAGGTCAACGGTAGAAAAGGAAATATCTTCGTATAAAAACTAGACAGAATGATTCTCAGAAACTGTTTTGTGATGTGTGCGTTCAACTCACAGAGTTTAACCTTTCTTTTCAAAGAGCAGTTAGGAAACACTCTGTTTGTAAAGTCTGCAAGTGGATATTCAGACCTCTTTGAGGACTTCGTTGGAAACGGGATTTCTTCATATTATGCTAGACAGATGAATTCTCAGTAACTTCCTTGTGTTGTGTGTATTCAACTCACAGAGTTGAACGATCCTTTATACAGAGCAGATTTGAAACACTGTTTTTCTGGAATTTGCAAGTGGAGATTTCAGCCGCTTTGAGGTCAATGGTAGAAAAGGAAATATCTTCGTATAAAAACTGGACAGAATGATTCTCAGAAACTCCTTTGTGATGTGTGCGTTCAACTCACAGAGTTTAACCTTTCTTTTCACAGAGCAGTTAGGAAACACTCTGTGAAGCCTGCCAGTGGATATTCGGACCTCTTTGAGGCCTTCGTTGGAAACGGGATTTCTTCATATTATGCTAGACAGAAGATTTCTCAGTAACTTCTTTGGGTTGTGTGTATGCAACTCACAGAGTTCAACCTTCCTTTAGACAGAGCAGATTTGAAACACTCTTTTTGTGGAATTTGCAAGTGGAGATTTCAAGCGCTTCGATGCCAATGGTAGAAAAGGAAATATCTTCGTATAAAAACAAGACAAACTCGTTCCCAGACACTGCGTAGTGATGTGTGTGTTTAACTCACAGAGTTTAACCTTTCTTTTCATACAGCATTCTGGAAACCCTCTGTTTGTAAAGTCTGCAAGTGGATATTTGGACCTCTTAGATGCCTTCGTTGGAAACGGGATTTCTTCATATAATGCTAGAGGGAAGAATTCTTAGTAACTTCTTTGTGTTGTGTGTATTCAACTGACAGAGTTGAACCTTCCTTTAGACAGAGCAGATTTGAAAGTCTCTTTTTGTGGAATTTGCAAGTGGAGATTTCAAGCGCTTTGAGGCCAAAAGCAGAAAAGGAAATATTTTCCTATAAAAACTAGACAGAATCTTTCTCAGAAACTGCTCTGGGATGTGTGCGTTCAACTCACAGAGTTTAACTTTTCTTTTCATTCAGCAGTTTGGAAACACTCTGTTTGGAAAGTCTGCACGTGGATATTTTGACCTCTTTGAGGCCTTCGTTGGAAACGGGTGTTTTTCATGTAAGGCTAGACAGAAGAAATCTCAGTAACTTCCTTGTGTTGTGTGTATTCAACTGACAGAGTTGAACCTTCCTTTAGACAGAGCAGATTCGAAACACTCTTTTTCTGCAATTTGCAAGTGGAGACTTCAAGCGCTTTGAGGCCAAAGGCAGAAAAGGAAATATCTTCGTATAAAAACCCGACAGAATCATTCTCAGAAACTGCTCTGTGATGTGTGCGTTCAACTCACAGAGTTTAACTTTTCTTTTCATTCAGCAGTTTGGAAACACTCTGTTTGTAAAGTCTGCAAGTGGATATCTTGGCCTCTTAGAGGCCTTCGTTGGAAACGGGTTTTTTCATGTAAGGATAGACAGAGGAATTCCCAGTAACTTCCTTGTGTTGTGTGCATTCAACTCACAGAGTTGAATGATTCTTTACACAGAGCAGATTTGAGACACTCTTTTGGTGGAATTTGTAAGTGGAGAATTCAGCCGCTTTGAGGTCAACGGTAGAAAAGGAAATATCTTCGTATAAAAACTAGACAGAATGATTCTCAGAAACTGTTTTGTGATGTGTGCGTTCAACTCACAGAGTTTAACCTTTCTTTTCAAAGAGCAGTTAGGAAACACTCTGTTTGTAAAGTCTGCAAGTGGATATTCAGACCTCTTTGAGGCCTTCGTTGGAAACGGGATTTCTTCATATTATGCTAGACAGATGAATTCTCAGTAACTTCCTTGTGTTGTGTGTATTCAACTCACAGAGTTGAACGATCCTTTACACAGAGCAGATTTGAAACACTGTTTTTCTGGAATTTGCAAGTGGAGATGTCAGCCGCTTTGAGGTCAATGGTAGAAAAGGAAATATCTTCGTATAAAAACTAGACAGAATGATTCTCAGAAACTCCTTTGTGATGTGTGCGTTCAACTCACAGAGTTTAACCTTTCTTTTCACAGAGCAGTTAGGAAACACTCTGTTTGTGAAGCCTGCCAGTGGATATTCGGACCTCTTTGAGGCCTTCGTTGGAAACGGGATTTCTTCATATTATGCTAGACAGAAGATTTCTCAGTAACTTCTTTGTGTTGTGTGTATGCAACTCACAGAGTTCAACCTTCCTTTAGACAGAGCAGATTTGAAACACTCTTTTTGTGGAATTTGCAAGTGGAGATTTCAAGCGCTTCGATGCCAATGGTAGAAAAGGAAATATCTTCGTATAAAAACAAGACAAACTCGTTCCCAGACACTGCGTAGTGATGTGTGTGTTTAACTCACAGAGTTTAACCTTTCTTTTCATACAGCATTCTGGAATCCCTCTGTTTGTAAAGTCTGCAAGTGGATATTTGGACCTCTTAGATGCCTTCGTTGGAAACGGGATTTCTTCATATAATGCTAGAGGGAAGAATTCTTAGTAACTTCTTTGTGTTGTGTGTATTCAACTGACAGAGTTGAACCTTCCTTTAGACAGAGCAGATTTGAAAGTCTCTTTTTGTGGAATTTGCAAGTGGAGATTTCAAGCGCTTTGAGGCCAAAAGCAGAAAAGGAAATATTTTCCTATAAAAACTAGACAGAATCTTTCTCAGAAACTGCTCTGGGATGTGTGCGTTCAACTCACAGAGTTTAACTTTTCTTTTCATTCAGCAGTTTGGAAACACTCTGTTTGGAAAGTCTGCACGTGGATATTTTGACCTCTTTGAGGCCTTCGTTGGAAACGGGTTTTTTTCATGTAAGGCTAGACAGAAGAAATCTCAGTAACTTCCTTGTGTTGTGTGTATTCAACTGACAGAGTTGAACCTTCCTTTAGACAGAGCAGATTCGAAACACTCTTTTTCTGCAATTTGCAAGTGGAGACTTCAAGCGCTTTGAGGCCAAAGGCAGAAAAGGAAATATCTTCGTATAAAAACCCGACAGAATCATTCTCAGAAACTGCTCTGTGATGTGTGCGTTCAACTCACAGAGTTTAACTTTTCTTTTCATTCAGCAGTTTGGAAACACTCTGTAAAGTCTGCAAGTGGATATCTTGGCCTCTTAGAGGCCTTCGTTGGAAGCGGGTTTTTTCATGTAAGGTTAGACAGAGGAATTCCCAGTAACTTCCTTGTGTTGTGTGCATTCAACTCACAGAGTTGAATGATTCTTTACACAGAGCAGATTTGAGACACTCTTTTGGTGGAATTTGTAAGTGGAGAATTCAGCCGCTTTGAGGTCAACGGTAGAAAAGGAAATATCTTCGTATAAAAACTAGACAGAATGATTCTCAGAAACTGTTTTGTGATGTGTGCGTTCAACTCACAGAGTTTAACCTTTCTTTTCAAAGAGCAGTTAGGAAGCACTCTGTTTGTAAAGTCTGCAAGTGGATATTCAGACCTCTTTGAGGCCTTCGTTGGAAACGGGATTTCTTCATATTATGCTAGACAGATGAATTCTCAGTAACTTCCTTGTGTTGTGTGTATTCAACTCACAGAGTTGAACGATCCTTTACACAGAGCAGATTTGAAACACTGTTTTTCTGGAATTTGCAAGTGGAGATTTCAGCCGCTTTGAGGTCAATGGTAGAAAAGGAAATATCTTCGTATAAAAACTAGACAGAATGATTCTCAGAAACTCCTTTGTGATGTGTGCGTTCAACTCACAGAGTTTAACCTTTCTTTTCACAGAGCAGTTAGGAAACACTCTGTTTGTGAAGCCTGCCAGTGGATATTCGGACCTCTTTGAGGCCTTCGTTGGAAACGGGATTTCTTCATATTATGCTAGACAGAAGATTTCTCAGTAACTTCTTTGTGTTGTGTGTATGCAACTCACAGAGTTCAACCTTCCTTTAGACAGAGCAGATTTGAAACACTCTTTTTGTGGAATTTGCAAGTGGAGATTTCAAGCGCTTCGATGCCAATGGTAGAAAAGGAAATATCTTCGTATAAAAACAAGACAAACTCGTTCCCAGACACTGCGTAGTGATGTGTGTGTTTAACTCACAGAGTTTAACCTTTCTTTTCATACAGCATTCTGGAAACCCTGTGTTTGTAAAGTCTGCAAGTGGATATTTGGACCTCTTAGATGCCTTCGTTGGAAACGGGATTTCTTCATATAATGCTAGAGGGAAGAATTCTTAGTAACTTCTTTGTGTTGTGTGTATTCAACTGACAGAGTTGAACCTTCCTTTAGACAGAGCAGATTTGAAAGTCTCTTTTTGTGGAATTTGCAAGTGGAGATTTCAAGCGCTTTGAGGCCAAAAGCAGAAAAGGAAATATTTTCCTATAAAAACTCGACAGAATCTTTCTCAGAAACTGCTCTGGGATGTGTGCGTTCAACTCACAGAGTTTAACTTTTCTTTTCATTCAGCAGTTTGGAAACACTCTGTTTGGAAAGTCTGCACGTGGATATTTTGACCTCTTTGAGGCCTTCGTTGGAAACGGGTTTTTTTCATGTAAGGCTAGACAGAAGAAATCTCAGTAACTTCCTTGTGTTGTGTGTATTCAACTGACAGAGTTGAACCTTCCTTTAGACAGAGCAGATTCGAAACACTCTTTTTCTGCAATTTGCAAGTGGAGACTTCAAGCGCTTTGAGGCCAAAGGCAGAAAAGGAAATATCTTCGTATAAAAACCCGACAGAATCATTCTCAGAAACTGCTCTGTGATGTGTGCGTTCAACTCACAGAGTTTAACTTTTCTTTTCATTCAGCAGTTTGGAAACACTCTGTTTGTAAAGTCTGCAAGTGGATATCTTGGCCTCTTAGAGGCCTTCGTTGGAAACGGGTTTTTTCATGTAAGGTTAGACAGAGGAATTCCCAGTAACTTCCTTGTGTTGTGTGCATTGAACTCACAGAGTTGAATGATTCTTTACACAGAGCAGATTTGAGACACTCTTTTGGTGGAATTTGTAAGTGGAGAATTCAGCCGCTTTGGGGTCAACGGTAGAAAAGGAAATATCCTTCGTATAAAAACTAGACAGAATGATTCTCAGAAACTGTTTTGTGATGTGTGCGTTCAACTCACAGAGTTTAACCTTTCTTTTCAGAGAGCAGTTAGGAAACACTCTGTTTGTAAAGTCTGCAAGTGGATATTCAGACCTCTTTGAGGCCTTCGTTGGAAACGGGATTTCTTCATATTATGCTAGACAGATGAATTCTCAGTAACTTCCTTGTGTTGTGTGTATTCAACTCACAGAGTTGAACGATCCTTTACACAGAGCAGATTTGAAACACTGTTTTTCTGGAATTTGCAAGTGGAGATTTCAGCCGCTTTGAGGTCAATGGTAGAAAAGGAAATATCTTCGTATAAAAACTGGACAGAATGATTCTCAGAAACTCCTTTGTGATGTGTGCGTTCAACTCACAGAGTTTAACCTTTCTTTTCACAGAGCAGTTAGGAAACACTCTGTTTGTGAAGCCTGCCAGTGGATAATCGGACCTCTTTGAGGCCTTCGTTGGAAACGGGATTTCTTCATATTATGCTAGACAGAAGATTTCTCAGTAACTTCTTTGGGTTGTGTGTATGCAACTCACAGAGTTCAACCTTCCTTTAGAGAGAGCATATTTGAAACACTCTTTTTGTGGAATTTGCAAGTGGAGATTTGAAGCGCTTCGATGCCAATGGTAGAAAAGGAAATATCTTCGTATAAAAACAAGACAAACTCGTTCCCAGACACTGCGTAGTGATGTGTGTGTTTAACTCACAGAGTTTAACCTTTCTTTTCATACAGCATTCTGGAAACCCTCTGTTTGTAAAGTCTGCAAGTGGATATTTGGACCTCTTAGATGCCTTCGTTGGGAACGGGATTTCTTCATATAATGCTAGAGGGAAGAATTCTTAGTAACTTCTTTGTGTTGTGTGTATTCAACTGACAGAGTTGAACCTTCCTTTAGACAGAGCAGATTTGAAAGTCTCTTTTTGTGGAATTTGCAAGTGGAGATTTCAAGCGCTTTGAGGCCAAAAGCAGAAAAGGAAATATTTTCCTATAAAAACTAGACAGAATCTTTCTCAGAAACTGCTCTGGGATGTGTGCGTTCAACTCACAGAGTTTAACTTTTCTTTTCATTCAGCAGTTTGGAAACACTCTGTTTGGAAAGTCTGCACGTGGATATTTTGACCTCTTTGAGGCCTTCGTTGGAAACGGGTTTTTTTCATGTAAGGCTAGACAGAAGAAATCTCAGTAACTTCCTTGTGTTGTGTGTATTCAACTGACAGAGTTGAACCTTCCTTTAGACAGAGCAGATTCGAAACACTCTTTTTCTGCAATTTGCAAGTGGAAACTTCAAGCGCTTTGAGGCCAAAGGCAGAAAAGGAAATATCTTCGTATAAAAACCCGACAGAATCACTCTCAGAAACTGCTCTGTGATGTGTGCGTTCAACTCACAGAGTTTAACTTTTCTTTTCATTCAGCAGTTTGGAAACACTCTGTTTGTAAAGTCTGCAAGTGGATATCTTGGCCTCTTAGAGGCCTTCGTTGGAAACGGGTTTTTTCATGTAAGGATAGACAGAGGAATTCCCAGTAACTTCCTTGTGTTGTGTGCATTCAACTCACAGAGTTGAATGATTCTTTACACAGAGCAGATTTGAGACACTCTTTTGGTGGAATTTGTAAGTGGAGAATTCAGCCGCTTTGAGGTCAACGGTAGAAAAGGAAATATCTTCGTATAAAAACTAGACAGAATGATTCTCAGAAACTGTTTTGTGATGTGTGCGTTCAACTCACAGAGTTTAACCTTTCTTTTCAAAGAGCAGTTAGGAAACACTCTGTTTGTAAAGTCTGCAAGTGGATATTCAGACCTCTTTGAGGCCTTCGTTGGAAACGGGATTTCTTCATATTATGCTAGACAGATGAATTCTCAGTAACTTCCTTGTGTTGTGTGTATTCAACTCACAGAGTTGAACGATCCTTTACACAGAGCAGATTTGAAACACTGTTTTTCTGGAATTTGCAAGTGGAGATTTCAGCCGCTTTGAGGTCAATGGTAGAAAAGGAAATATCTTCGTATAAAAACTAGACAGAATGATTCTCAGAAACTCCTTTGTGATGTGTGCGTTCAACTCACAGAGTTTAACCTTTCTTTTCACAGAGCAGTTAGGAAACACTCTGTTTGTGAAGCCTGCCAGTGGATATTCGGACCTCTTTGAGGCCTTCGTTGGAAACGGGATTTCTTCATATTATGCTAGACAGAAGATTTCTCAGTAACTTCTTTGTGTTGTGTGTATGCAACTCACAGAGTTCAACCTTCCTTTAGACAGAGCAGATTTGAAACACTCTTTTTGTGGAATTTGCAAGTGGAGATTTCAAGCGCTTCGATGCCAATGGTAGAAAAGGAAATATCTTCGTATAAAAACAAGACAAACTCGTTCCCAGACACTGCGTAGTGATGTGTGTGTTTAACTCACAGAGTTTAACCTTTCTTTTCATACAGCATTCTGGAAACCCTGTGTTTGTAAAGTCTGCAAGTGGATATTTGGACCTCTTAGATGCCTTCGTTGGAAACGGGATTTCTTCATATAATGCTAGAGGGAAGAATTCTTAGTAACTTCTTTGTGTTGTGTGTATTCAACTGACAGAGTTGAACCTTCCTTTAGACAGAGCAGATTTGAAAGTCTCTTTTTGTGGAATTTGCAAGTGGAGATTTCAAGCGCTTTGAGGCCAAAAGCAGAAAAGGAAATATTTTCCTATAAAAACTAGACAGAATCTTTCTCAGAAACTGCTCTGGGATGTGTGCGTTCAACTCACAGAGTTTAACTTTTCTTTTCATTCAGCAGTTTGGAAACACTCTGTTTGGAAAGTCTGCACGTGGATATTTTGACCTCTTTGAGGCCTTCGTTGGAAACGGGTTTTTTTCATGTAAGGCTAGACAGAAGAAATCTCAGTAACTTCCTTGTGTTGTGTGTATTCAACTGACAGAGTTGAACCTTCCTTTAGACAGAGCAGATTCGAAACACTCTTTTTCTGCAATTTGCAAGTGGAGACTTCAAGCGCTTTGAGGCCAAAGGCAGAAAAGGAAATATCTTCGTATAAAAACCCGACAGAATCATTCTCAGAAACTGCTCTGTGATGTGTGCGTTCAACTCACAGAGTTTAACTTTTCTTTTCATTCAGCAGTTTGGAAACACTCTGTTTGTAAAGTCTGCAAGTGGATATCTTGGCCTCTTAGAGGCCTTCGTTGGAAGCGGGTTTTTTCATGTAAGGATAGACAGAGGAATTCCCAGTAACTTCCTTGTGTTGTATGCATTCAACTCACAGAGTTGAATGATTCTTTACACAGAGCAGATTTGAGACACTCTTTTGGTGGAATTTGTAAGTGGAGAATTCAGCCGCTTTGAGGTCAACGGTAGAAAAGGAAATATCTTCGTATAAAAACTAGAAAGAATGATTCTCAGAAACTGTTTTGTGATGTGTGCTTTCAACTCACAGAGTTTAACCTTTCTTTTCAAAGAGCAGTTAGGAAACACTCTGTTTGTAAAGTCTGCAAGTGGATATTCAGACCTCTTTGAGGCCTTCGTTGGAAACGGGATTTCTTCATATTATGCTAGACAGATGAATTCTCAGTAACTTCCTTGTGTTGTGTGTATTCAACTCACAGAGTTAAACGATCCTTTACACAGAGCAGATTTGAAACACTGTTTTTCTGGAATTTGCAAGTGGAGATTTCAGCCGCTTTGAGGTCAATGGTAGAAAAGGAAATATCTTCGTATAACAACTAGACAGATAATGATTCTCAGAAACTCCTTTGTGATGTGTGCGTTCAACTCACAGAGTTTAACCTTTCTTTTCACAGAGCAGTTAGGAAACACTCTGTTTGTGAAGCCTGCCAGTGGATATTCAGACCTCTTTGAGGCCTTCGTTGGAAACGGGATTTCTTCATATTATGCTAGACAGAAGATTTCTCAGTAACTTCTTTGTGTTGTGTGTATGCAACTCACAGAGTTCAACCTTCCTTTAGACAGAGCAGATTTGAAACACTCTTTTTGTGGAATTTGCAAGTGGAGATTTCAAGCGCTTCGATGCCAATGGTAGAAAAGGAAATATCTTCGTATAAAAACAAGACAAACTCGTTCCCAGACACTGCGTAGTGATGTGTGTGTTTAACTCACAGAGTTTCACCTTTCTTTTCATACAGCATTCTGGAAACCCTCTGTTTGTAAAGTCTGCAAGTGGATATTTGGACCTCATAGATGCCTTCGTTGGAAACGGGATTTCTTCATATAATGCTAGAGGGAAGAATTCTTAGTAACTTCTTTGTGTTGTGTGTATTCAACTGACAGAGTTGAACCTTCCTTTAGACAGAGCAGATTTGAAAGTCTCTTTTTGTGGAATTTGCAAGTGGAGATTTCAAGCGCTTTGAGGCCAAAAGCAGAAAAGGAAATATTTTCCTATAAAAACTAGACAGAATCTTTCTCAGAAACTGCTCTGGGACGTGTGCGTTCAACTCACAGAGTTTAACTTTTCTTTTCATTCAGCAGTTTGGAAACACTCTGTTTGGAAAGTCTGCACGTGGATATTTTGACCTGCTTTGAGGCCTTTGTTGGAAACGGGTTTTTTTCATGTAAGGCTAGACAGAAGAAATCTCAGTAACTTCCTTGTGTTGTGTGTATTCAACTGACAGAGTTGAACCTTCTTTTAGACAGAGCAGATTCGAAACACTCTTTTTCTGCAATTTGCAAGTGGAGACTTCAAGCGCATTGAGGCCAAAGGCAGAAAAGGAAATATCTTCGTATAAGAACCCGACAGAAATCATTCTCAGGAAACTGCTCTGTGATGTGTGCGTTCAACTCACAGAGTTTAACTTTTCTTTTCATTCAGCAGTTTGGAAACACTCTGTTTGTAAAGTCTGCAAGTGGATATCTTGGCCTCTTAGAGGCCTTCGTTGGAAACGGGTTTTTTCATGTAAGGATAGACAGAGGAATTCCCAGTAACTTCCTTGTGTTGTGTGCATTCAACTCACAGAGTTGAATGATTCTTTACACAGAGCAGATTTGAGACACTCTTTTGGTGGAATTTGTAAGTGGAGAATTCAGCCGCTTTGAGGTCAACGGTAGAAAAGGAAATATCTTCGTATAAAAACTAGACAGAATGATTCTCAGAAACTGTTTTGTGATGTGTGCGTTCAACTCACAGAGTTTAACCTTTCTTTTCAAAGAGCAGTTAGGAAACACTCTGTTTGTAAAGTCTGCAAGTGGATATTCAGACCTCTTTGAGGCCTTCGTTGGAAACGGGATTTCTTCATATTATGCTAGACAGATGAATTCTCAGTAACTTCCTTGTGTTGTGTGTATTCAACTCACAGAGTTGAACGATCCTTTACACAGAGCAGATTTGAAACACTGTTTTTCTGGAATTTGCAAGTGGAGATGTCAGCCGCTTTGAGGTCAATGGTAGAAAAGGAAATATCTTCGTATAAAAACTAGACAGAATGATTCTCAGAAACTCCTTTGTGATGTGTGCGTTCAACTCACAGAGTTTAACCTTTCTTTTCACAGAGCAGTTAGGAAACACTCTGTTTGTGAAGCCTGCCAGTGGATATTCGGACCTCTTTGAGGCCTTCGTTGGAAACGGGATTTCTTCATATTATGCTAGACAGAAGATTTCTCAGTAACTTCTTTGTGTTGTGTGTATGCAACTCACAGAGTTCAACCTTCCTTTAGACAGAGCAGATTTGAAACACTCTTTTTGTGGAATTTGCAAGTGGAGATTTCAAGCGCTTCGATGCCAATGGTAGAAAAGGAAATATCTTCGTATAAAAACAAGACAAACTCGTTCCCAGACACTGCGTAGTGATGTGTGTGTTTAACTCACAGAGTTTAACCTTTCTTTTCATACAGCATTCTGGAAACCCTGTGTTTGTAAAGTCTGCAAGTGGATATTTGGACCTCTTAGATGCCTTCGTTGGAAACGGGATTTCTTCATATAATGCTAGAGGGAAGAATTCTTAGTAACTTCTTTGTGTTGTGTGTATTCAACTGACAGAGTTGAACCTTCCTTTAGACAGAGCAGATTTGAAAGTCTCTTTTTGTGGAATTTGCAAGTGGAGATTTCAAGCGCTTTGAGGCCAAAAGCAGAAAAGGAAATATTTTCCTATAAAAACTAGACAGAATCTTTCTCAGAAACTGCTCTGGGATGTGTGCGTTCAACTCACAGAGTTTAACTTTCTTTTCATTCAGCAGTTTGGAAACACTCTGTTTGGAAAGTCTGCACGTGGATATTTTGACCTCTTTGAGGCCTTCGTTGGAAACGGGTTTTTTTCATGTAAGGCTAGACAGAAGAAATCTCAGTAACTTCCTTGTGTTGTGTGTATTCAACTGACAGAGTTGAACCTTCCTTTAGACAGAGCAGATTCGAAACACTCTTTTTCTGCAATTTGCAAGTGGAGACTTCAAGCGCTTTGAGGCCAAAGGCAGAAAAGGAAATATCTTCGTATAAAAACCCGACAGAATCATTCTCAGAAACTGCTCTGTGATGTGTGCGTTCAACTCACAGAGTTTAACTTTTCTTTTCATTCAGCAGTTTGGAAACACTCTGTTTGTAAAGTCTGCAAGTGGATATCTTGGCCTCTTAGAGGCCTTCGTTGGAAACGGGTTTTTTCATGTAAGGATAGACAGAGGAATTCCCAGTAACTTCCTTGTGTTGTGTGCATTCAACTCACAGAGTTGAATGATTCTTTACACAGAGCAGATTTGAGACACTCTTTTGGTGGAATTTGTAAGTGGAGAATTCAGCCGCTTTGAGGTCAACGGTAGAAAAGGAAATATCTTCGTATAAAAACTAGACAGAATGATTCTCAGAAACTGTTTTGTGATGTGTGCGTTCAACTCACAGAGTTTAACCTTTCTTTTCAAAGAGCAGTTAGGAAACACTCTGTTTGTAAAGTCTGCAAGAGGATATTCAGACCTCTTTGAGGCCTTCGTTGGAAACGGGATTTCTTCATATTATGCTAGACAGATGAATTCTCAGTAACTTCCTTGTGTTGTGTGTATTCAACTCACAGAGTTGAACGATCCTTTACACAGAGCAGATTTGAAACACTGTTTTTCTGGAATTTGCAAGTGGAGATTTCAGCCGCTTTGAGGTCAATGGTAGAAAAGGAAATATCTTCGTATAAAAACTAGACAGAATGATTCTCAGAAACTCCTTTGTGATGTGTGCGTTCAACTCACAGAGTTTAACCTTTCTTTTCACAGAGCAGTTAGGAAACACTCTGTTTGTGAAGCCTGCCAGTGGATATTCGGACCTCTTTGAGGCCTTCGTTGGAAACGGGATTTCTTCATATTATGCTATTCAGAAGATTTCTCAGTAACTTCTTTGTGTTGTGTGTATGCAACTCACAGAGTTCAACCTTCCTTTAGACAGAGCAGATTTGAAACACTCTTTTTGTGGAATTTGCAAGTGGAGATTTCAAGCGCTTCGATGCCAATGGTAGAAAAGGAAATATCTTCGTATAAAAACAAGACAAACTCGTTCCCAGACACTGCGTAGTGATGTGTGTGTTTAACTCACAGAGTTTAACCTTTCTTTTCATACAGCATTCTGGAAACCCTGTGTTTGTAAAGTCTGCAAGTGGATATTTGGACCTCTTAGATGCCTTCGTTGGAAACGGGATTTCTTCATATAATGCTAGAGGGAAGAATTCTTAGTAACTTCTTTGTGTTGTGTGTATTCAACTGACAGAGTTGAACCTTCCTTTAGACAGAGCAGATTTGAAAGTCTCTTTTTGTGGAATTTGCAAGTGGAGATTTCAAGCGCTTTGAGGCCAAAAGCAGAAAAGGAAATATTTTCCTATTAAAAACTCGACAGAATCATTCTCAGAAACTGCTCTGTGATGTGTGCGTTCAACTCACAGAGTTTAACTTTTCTTTTCATTCAGCAGTTTGGAAACACTGTTTGGAAAGTCTGCACGTGGATATTTTGACCTCTTTGAGGCCTTCGTTGGAAACGGGTTTTTTTCATGTAAGGCTAGACAGAAGAAATCTCAGTAACTTCCTTGTGTTGTGTGTATTCAACTGACAGAGTTGAACCTTCCTTTAGACAGAGCAGATTCGAAACAATCTTTTTCTGCAATTTGCAAGTGGAGACTTCAAGCGCTTTGAGGCCAAAGGCAGAAAAGGGAATATCTTCGTATAAAAACCCGACAGAATCATTCTCAGAAACTGCTCTGTGATGTGTGCGTTCAACTCACAGAGTTTAACTTTTCTTTTCATTCAGCAGTTTGGAAACACTCTGTTTGTAAAGTCTGCAAGTGGATATCTTGGCCTCTTAGAGGCCTTCGTTGGAAACGGGTTTTTTCATGTAAGGATAGACAGAGGAATTCCCAGTAACTTCCTTGTGTTGTGTGCATTCAACTCACAGAGTTGAATGATTCTTTACACAGAGCAGATTTGAGACACTCTTTTGGTGGAATTTGTAAGTGGAGAATTCAGCCGCTTTGAGGTCAACGGTAGAAAAGGAAATATCTTCGTATAAAAACTAGACAGAATGATTCTCAGAAACTGTTTTGTGATGTGTGCGTTCAACTCACAGAGTTTAACCTTTCTTTTCAAAGAGCAGTTAGGAAACACTCTGTTTGTAAAGTCTGCAAGTGGATATTCAGACCTCTTTGAGGCCTTCGTTGGAAACGGGATTTCTTCATATTATGCTAGACAGATGAATTCTCAGTAACTTCCTTGTGTTGTGTGTATTCAACTCACAGAGTTGAACGATCCTTTACACAGAGCAGATTTGAAACACTGTTTTTCTGGAATTTGCAAGTGGAGATTTCAGCCGCTTTGAGGTCAATGGTAGAAAAGGAAATATCTTCGTATAAAAACTAGACAGAATGATTCTCAGAAACTCCTTTGTGATGTGTGCGTTCAACTCACAGAGTTTAACCTTTCTTTTCACAGAGCAGTTAGGAAACACTCTGTTTGTGAAGCCTGCCAGTGGATATTCGGACCTCTTTGAGGCCTTCGTTGGAAACGGGATTTCTTCATATTATGCTAGACAGAAGATTTCTCAGTAACTTCTTTGTGTTGTGTGTATGCAACTCACAGAGTTCAACCTTCCTTTAGACAGAGCAGATTTGAAACACTCTTTTTGTGGAATTTGCAAGTGGAGATTTCAAGCGCTTCGATGCCAATGGTAGAAAAGGAAATATCTTCGTATAAAAACAAGACAAACTCGTTCCCAGACACTGCGTAGTGATGTGTGTGTTTAACTCACAGAGTTTCACCTTTCTTTTCATACAGCATTCTGGAAACCCTGTGTTTGTAAAGTCTGCAAGTGGATATTTGGACCTCTTAGATGCCTTCGTTGGAAACGGGATTTCTTCATATAATGCTAGAGGGAAGAATTCTTAGTAACTTCTTTGTGTTGTGTGTATTCAACTGACAGAGTTGAACCTTCCTTTAGACAGAGCAGATTTGAAAGTCTCTTTTTGTGGAATTTGCAAGTGGAGATTTCAAGCGCTTTGAGGCCAAAAGCAGAAAAGGAAATATTTTCCTATAAAAACTCGACAGAATCTTTCTCAGAAACTGCTCTGGGATGTGTGCGTTCAACTCACAGAGTTTAACTTTTCTTTTCATTCAGCAGTTTGGAAACACTCTGTTTGGAAAGTCTGCACGTGGATATTTTGACCTCTTTGAGGCCTTCGTTGGAAACGGGTTTTTTTCATGTAAGGCTAGACAGAAGAAATCTCAGTAACTTCCTTGTGTTGTGTGTATTCAACTGACAGAGTTGAACCTTCCTTTAGACAGAGCAGATTCGAAACACTCTTTTTCTGCAATTTGCAAGTGGAGACTTCAAGCGCTTTGAGGCCAAAGGCAGAAAAGGAAATATCTTCGTATAAAAACCCGACAGAATCATTCTCAGAAACTGCTCTGTGATGTGTGCGTTCAACTCACAGAGTTTAACTTTTCTTTTCATTCAGCAGTTTGGAAACACTCTGTTTGTAAAGTCTGCAAGTGGATATCTTGGCCTCTTAGAGGCCTTCGTTGGAAACGGGTTTTTTCATGTAAGGTTAGACAGAGGAATTCCCAGTAACTTCCTTGTGTTGTGTGCATTCAACTCACAGAGTTGAATGATTCTTTACACAGAGCAGATTTGAGACACTCTTTTGGTGGAATTTGTAAGTGGAGAATTCAGCCGCTTTGAGGTCAACGGTAGAAAAGGAAATATCTTCGTATAAAAACTAGACAGAATGATTCTCAGAAACTGTTTTGTGATGTGTGCGTTCAACTCACAGAGTTTAACCTTTCTTTTCAAAGAGCAGTTAGGAAACACTCTGTTTGTAAAGTCTGCAAGTGGATATTCAGACCTCTTTGAGGCCTTCGTTGGAAACGGGATTTCTTCATATTATGCTAGACAGATGAATTCTCAGTAACTTCCTTGTGTTGTGTGTATTCAACTCACAGAGTTGAACGATCCTTTACACAGAGCAGATTTGAAACACTGTTTTTCTGGAATTTGCAAGTGGAGATTTCAGCCGCTTTGAGGTCAATGGTAGAAAAGGAAATATCTTCGTATAAAAACTAGACAGAATGATTCTCAGAAACTCCTTTGTGATGTGTGCGTTCAACTCACAGGGTTTAACCTTTCTTTTCACAGAGCAGTTAGGAAACACTCTGTTTGTGAAGCCTGCCAGTGGATATTCGGACCTCTTTGAGGCCTTCGTTGGAAACGGGATTTCTTCATATTATGCTAGACAGAAGATTTCTCAGTAACTTCTTTGTGTTGTGTGTATGCAACTCACAGAGTTCAACCTTCCTTTAGACAGAGCAGATTTGAAACACTCTTTTTGTGGAATTTGCAAGTGGAGATTTCAAGCGCTTCGATGCCAATGGTAGAAAAGGAAATATCTTCGTATAAAAACAAGACAAACTCGTTCCCAGACACTGCGTAGTGATGTGTGTGTTTAACTCACAGAGTTTCACCTTTCTTTTCATACAGCATTCTGGAAACCCTCTGTTTGTAAAGTCTGCAAGTGGATATTTGGACCTCTTAGATGCCTTCGTTGCAAACGGGATTTCTTCATATAATGCTAGAGGGAAGAATTCTTAGTAACTTCTTTGTGTTGTGTGTATTCAACTGACAGAGTTGAACCTTCCTTTAGACAGAGCAGATTTGAAAGTCTCTTTTTGTGGAATTTGCAAGTGGAGATTTCAAGCGCTTTGAGGCCAAAAGCAGAAAAGGAAATATTTTCCTATAAAAACTCGACAGAATCTTTCTCAGAAACTGCTCTGGGATGTGTGCGTTCAACTCACAGAGTTTAACTTTTCTTTTCATTCAGCAGTTTGGAAACACTCTGTTTGGAAAGTCTGCACGTGGATATTTTGACCTCTTTGAGGCCTTCGTTGGAAACGGGTTTTTTTCATGTAAGGCTAGACAGAAGAAATCTCAGTAACTTCCTTGTGTTGTGTGTATTCAACTGACAGAGTTGAACCTTCCTTTAGACAGAGCAGATTCGAAACACTCTTTTTCTGCAATTTGCAAGTGGAGACTTCAAGCGCTTTGAGGCCAAAGGCAGAAAAGGAAATATCTTCGTATAAAAACCCGACAGAATCATTCTCAGAAACTGCTCTGTGATGTGTGCGTTCAACTCACAGAGTTTAACTTTTCTTTTCATTCAGCAGTTTGGAAACACTCTGTTTGTAAAGTCTGCAAGTGGATATCTTGGCCTCTTAGAGGCCTTCGTTGGAAACGGGTTTTTTCATGTAAGGTTAGACAGAGGAATTCCCAGTAACTTCCTTGTGTTGTGTGCATTCAACTCACAGAGTTGAATGATTCTTTACACAGAGCAGATTTGAGACACTCTTTTGGTGGAATTTGTAAGTGGAGAATTCAGCCGCTTTGAGGTCAACGGTAGAAAAGGAAATATCTTCGTATAAAAACTAGACAGAATGATTCTCAGAAACTGTTTTGTGATGTGTGCGTTCAACTCACAGAGTTTAACCTTTCTTTTCAAAGAGCAGTTAGGAAACACTCTGTTTGTAAAGTCTGCAAGTGGATATTCAGACCTCTTTGAGGCCTTCGTTGGAAACGGGATTTCTTCATATTATGCTAGACAGATGAATTCTCAGTAACTTCCTTGTGTTGTGTGTATTCAACTCACAGAGTTGAACGATCCTTTACACAGAGCAGATTTGAAACACTGTTTTTCTGGAATTTGCAAGTGGAGATTTCAGCCGCTTTGAGGTCAATGGTAGAAAAGGAAATATCTTCGTATAAAAACTAGACAGAATGATTCTCAGAAACTCCTTTGTGATGTGTGCGTTCAACTCACAGAGTTTAACCTTTCTTTTCACAGAGCAGTTAGGAAACACTCTGTTTGTGAAGCCTGCCAGTGGATATTCGGACCTCTTTGAGGCCTTCGTTGGAAACGGGATTTCTTCATATTATGCTAGACAGAAGATTTCTCAGTAACTTCTTTGTGTTGTGTGTATGCAACTCACAGAGTTCAACCTTCCTTTAGACAGAGCAGATTTGAAACACTCTTTTTGTGGAATTTGCAAGTGGAGATTTCAAGCGCTTCGATGCCAATGGTAGAAAAGGAAATATCTTCGTATAAAAACAAGACAAACTCGTTCCCAGACACTGCGTAGTGATGTGTGTGTTTAACTCACAGAGTTTAACCTTTCTTTTCATACAGCATTCTGGAAACCCTGTGTTTGTAAAGTCTGCAAGTGGATATTTGGACCTCTTAGATGCCTTCGTTGGAAACGGGATTTCTTCATATAATGCTAGAGGGAAGAATTCTTAGTAACTTCTTTGTGTTGTGTGTATTCAACTGACAGAGTTGAACCTTCCTTTAGACAGAGCAGATTTGAAAGTCTCTTTTTGTGGAATTTGCAAGTGGAGATTTCAAGCGCTTTGAGGCCAAAAGCAGAAAAGGAAATATTTTCCTATAAAAACTCGACAGAATCTTTCTCAGAAACTGCTCTGGGATGTGTGCGTTCAACTCACAGAGTTTAACTTTTCTTTTCATTCAGCAGTTTGGAAACACTCTGTTTGGAAAGTCTGCACGTGGATATTTTGACCTCTTTGAGGCCTTCGTTGGAAACGGGTTTTTTTCATGTAAGGCTAGACAGAAGAAATCTCAGTAACTTCCTTGTGTTGTGTGTATTCAACTGACAGAGTTGAACCTTCCTTTAGACAGAGCAGATTCGAAACACTCTTTTTCTGCAATTTGCAAGTGGAAACTTCAAGCGCTTTGAGGCCAAAGGCAGAAAAGGAAATATCTTCGTATAAAAACCCGACAGAATCACTCTCAGAAACTGCTCTGTGATGTGTGCGTTCAACTCACAGAGTTTAACTTTTCTTTTCATTCAGCAGTTTGGAAACACTCTGTTTGTAAAGTCTGCAAGTGGATATCTTGGACTCTTAGAGGCCTTCGTTGGAAACGGGTTTTTTCATGTAAGGTTAGACAGAGGAATTCCCAGTAACTTCCTTGTGTTGTGTGCATTCAACTCACAGAGTTGAATGATTCTTTACACAGAGCAGATTTGAGACACTCTTTTGGTGGAATTTGTAAGTGGAGAATTCAGCCGCTTTGAGGTCAACGGTAGAAAAGGAAATATCTTCGTATAAAAACTAGACAGAATGATTCTCAGAAACTGTTTTGTGATGTGTGCATTCAACTCACAGAGTTTAACCTTTCTTTTCAGAGAGCAGTTAGGAAACACTCTGTTTGTAAAGTCTGCAAGTGGATATTCAGACCTCTTTGAGGCCTTCGTTGGAAACGGGATTTCTTCATATTATGCTAGACAGATGAATTCTCAGTAACTTCCTTGTGTTGTGTGTATTCAACTCACAGAGTTGAACGATCCTTTACACAGAGCAGATTTGAAACACTGTTTTTCTGGAATTTGCAAGTGGAGATTTCAGCCGCTTTGAGGTCAATGGTAGAAAAGGAAATATCTTCGTATAAAAACTAGACAGAATGATTCTCAGAAACTCCATTGTGATGTGTGCGTTCAACTCACAGAGTTTAACCTTTCTTTTCACAGAGCAGTTAGGAAACACTCTGTTTGTGAAGCCTGCCAGTGGATATTCGGACCTCTTTGAGGCCTTCGTTGGAAACGGGATTTCTTCATATTATGCTAGACAGAAGATTTCTCAGTAACTTCTTTGTGTTGTGTGTATGCAACTCACAGAGTTCAACCTTCCTTTAGACAGAGCAGATTTGAAACACTCTTTTTGTGGAATTTGCAAGTGGAGATTTCAAGCGCTTCGATGCCAATGGTAGAAAAGGAAATATCTTCGTAGAAAAACAAGACAAACTCGTTCCCAGACACTGCGTAGTGATGTGTGTGTTTAACTCACAGCAGTTTCACCTTTCTTTTCATACAGCATTCTGGAAACCCTCTGTTTGTAAAGTCTGCAAGTGGATATTTGGACCTCTTAGATGCCTTCGTTGGAAACGGGATTTCTTCATATAATGCTAGAGGGAAGAATTCTTAGTAACTTCTTTGTGTTGTGTGTATTCAACTGACAGAGTTGAACCTTCCTTTAGACAGAGCAGATTTGAAAGTCTCTTTTTGTGGAATTTGCAAGTGGAGATTTCAAGCGCTTTGAGGCCAAAAGCAGAAAAGGAAATATTTTCCTATAAAAACTAGACAGAATCTTTCTCAGAAACTGCTCTGGGATGTGTGCGTTCAACTCACAGAGTTTAACTTTTCTTTTCATTCAGCAGTTTGGAAACACTCTGTTTGGAAAGTCTGCACGTGGATATTTTGACCTCTTTGAGGCCTTCGTTGGAAACGGGTTTTTTTCATGTAACGCTAGACAGAAGAAATCTCAGTAACTTCCTTGTGTTGTGTGTATTCAACTGACAGAGTTGAACCTTCTTTTAGACAGAGCAGATTCGAAACACTCTTTTTCTGCAATTTGCAAGTGGAGACTTCAAGCGCTTTGAGGCCAAAGGCAGAAAAGGAAATATCTTCGTATAAAAACCCGACAGAATCATTCTCAGAAACTGCTCTGTGATGTGTGCGTTCAACTCACAGAGTTTAACTTTTCTTTTCATTCAGCAGTTTGGAAACACTCTGTTTGTAAAGTCTGCAAGTGGATATCTTGGCCTCTTAGAGGCCTTCGTTGGAAAAGGGTTTTTTCATGTAAGGTTAGACAGAGGAATTCCCAGTAACTTCCTTGTGTTGTGTGCATTCAACTCACAGAGTTGAATGATTCTTTACAGAGAGCAGATTTGAGACACTCTTTTGGTGGAATTTGTTAGTGGAGAATTCAGCCGCTTTGAGGTCAACGGTAGAAAAGGAAATATCTTCGTATAAAAACTAGACAGAATGATTCTCAGAAACTGTTTTGTGATGTGTGCGTTCAACTCACAGAGTTTAACCTTTCTTTTCAAAGAGCAGTTAGGAAACACTCTGTTTGTAAAGTCTGCAAGTGGATATTCAGACCTCTTTGAGGCCTTCGTTGGAAACGGGATTTCTTCATATTATGCTAGACAGATGAATTCTCAGTAACTTCCTTGTGTTGTGTGTATTCAACTCACAGAGTTGAACGATCCTTTACACAGAGCAGATTTGAAACACTGTTTTTCTGGAATTTGCAAGTGGAGATTTCAGCCGCTTTGAGGTCAATGGTAGAAAAGGAAATATCTTCGTATAAAAACTAGACAGAATGATTCTCAGAAACTCCTTTGTGATGTGTGCGTTCAACTCACAGAGTTTAACCTTTCTTTTCACAGAGCAGTTAGGAAACACTCTGTTTGTGAAGCCTGCCAGTGGATAATCGGACCTCTTTGAGGCCTTCGTTGGAAACGGGATTTCTTCATATTATGCTAGACAGAAGATTTCTCAGTAACTTCTTTGTGTTGTGTGTATGCAACTCACAGAGTTCAACCTTCCTTTAGACAGAGCAGATTTGAAACACTCTTTTTGTGGAATTTGCAAGTGGAGATTTCAAGCGCTTCGATGCCAATGGTAGAAAACGAAATATCTTCGTATAAAAACAAGACAAACTCGTTCCCAGACACTGCGTAGTGATGTGTGTGTTTAACTCACAGAGTTTAACCTTTCTTTTCATACAGCATTCTGGAAACCCTGTGTTTGTAAAGTCTGCAAGTGGATATTTGGACCTCTTAGATGCCTTCGTTGGAAACGGGATTTCTTCATATAATGCTAGAGGGAAGAATTCTTAGTAACTTCTTTGTGTTGTGTGTATTCAACTGACAGAGTTGAACCTTCCTTTAGACAGAGCAGATTTGAAAGTCTCTTTTTGTGGAATTTGCAAGTGGAGATTTCAAGCGCTTTGAGGCCAAAAGCAGAAAAGGAAATATTTTCCTATAAAAACTCGACAGAATCTTTCTCAGAAACTGCTCTGGGATGTGTGCGTTCAACTCACAGAGTTTAACTTTTCTTTTCATTCAGCAGTTTGGAAACACTCTGTTTGGAAAGTCTGCACGTGGATATTTTGACCTCTTTGAGGCCTTCGTTGGAAACGGGTTTTTTTCATGTAAGGCTAGACAGAAGAAATCTCAGTAACTTCCTTGTGTTGTGTGTATTCAACTGACAGAGTTGAACCTTCCTTTAGACAGAGCAGATTCGAAACACTCTTTTTCTGCAATTTGCAAGTGGAGACTTCAAGCGCTTTGAGGCCAAAGGCAGAAAAGGAAATATCTCGTATAAAAACCCGACAGAATCATTCTCAGAAACTGCTCTGTGATGTGTGCGTTCAACTCACAGAGTTTAACTTTTCTTTTCATTCAGCAGTTTGGAAACACTCTGTTTGTAAAGTCTGCAAGTGGATATCTTGGCCTCTTAGAGGCCTTCGTTGGAAACGGGTTTTATCATGTAAGGTTAGACAGAGGAATTCCCAGTAACTTCCTTGTGTTGTGTGCATTCAACTCACAGAGTTGAATGATTCTTTACACAGAGCAGATTTGAGACACTCTTTTGGTGGAATTTGTAAGTGGAGAATTCAGCCGCTTTGAGGTCAACGGTAGAAAAGGAAATATCTTCGTATAAAAACTAGACAGAATGATTCTCAGAAACTGTTTTGTGATGTGTGCGTTCAACTCACAGAGTTTAACCTTTCTTTTCAAAGAGCAGTTAGGAAACACTCTGTTTGTAAAGTCTGCAAGTGGATATTCAGACCTCTTTGAGGCCTTCGTTGGAAACGGGATTTCTTCATATTATGCTAGACAGATGAATTCTCAGTAACTTCCTTGTGTTGTGTGTATTCAACTCACAGAGTTGAACGATCCTTTACACAGAGCAGATTTGAAACACTGTTTTTCTGGAATTTGCAAGTGGAGATTTCAGCCGCTTTGAGGTCAATGGTAGAAAAGGAAATATCTTCGTATAAAAACTAGACAGAATGATTCTCAGAAACTCCTTTGTGATGTGTGCGTTCAACTCACAGAGTTTAACCTTTCTTTTCACAGAGCAGTTAGGAAACACTCTGTTTGTGAAGCCTGCCAGTGGATATTCGGACCTCTTTGAGGCCTTCGTTGGAAACGGGATTTCTTCATATTATGCTAGACAGAAGATTTCTCAGTAACTTCTTTGTGTTGTGTGTATGCAACTCACAGAGTTCAACCTTCCTTTAGACAGAGCAGATTTGAAACACTCTTTTTGTGGAATTTGCAAGTGGAGATTTCAAGCGCTTCGATGCCAATGGTAGAAAAGGAAATATCTTCGTATAAAAACAAGACAAACTCGTTCCCAGACACTGCGTAGTGATGTGTGTGTTTAACTCACAGAGTTTCACCTTTCTTTTCATACAGCATTCTGGAAACCCTCTGTTTGTAAAGTCTGCAAGTGGATATTTGGACCTCTTAGATGCCTTCGTTGGAAACGGGATTTCTTCATATAATGCTAGAGGGAAGAATTCTTAGTAACTTCTTGGTGTTGTGTGTATTCAACTGACAGAGTTGAACCTTCCTTTAGACAGAGCAGATTTGAAAGTCTCTTTTTGTGGAATTTGCAAGTGGAGATTTCAAGCGCTTTGAGGCCAAAAGCAGAAAAGGAAATATTTTCCTATAAAAACTCGACAGAATCATTCTCAGAAACTGCTCTGTGATGTGTGTGTTCAACTCACAGAGTTTAACTTTCTTTTCATTCAGCAGTTTGGAAACACTCTGTTTGGAAAGTCTGCACGTGGATATTTTGACCTCTTTGAGGCCTTCGTTGGAAACGGGTTTTTTTCATGTAAGGCTAGACAGAAGAAATCTCAGTAACTTCCTTGTGTTGTGTGTATTCAACTGACAGAGTTGAACCTTCTTTTAGACAGAGCAGATTCGAAACACTCTTTTTCTGCAATTTGCAAGTGGAGACTTCAAGCGCTTTGAGGCCAAAGGCAGAAAAGGAAATATCTTCGTATAAAAACCCGACAGAATCATTCTCAGAAACTGCTCTGTGATGTGTGCGTTCAACTCACAGAGTTTAACTTTTCTTTTCATTCAGCAGTTTGGAAACACTCTGTTTGTAAAGTCTGCAAGTGGATATCTTGGCCTCTTAGAGGCCTTCGTTGGAAACGGGTTTTTTCATGTAAGGTTAGACAGAGGAATTCCCAGTAACTTCCTTGTGTTGTGTGCATTCAACTCACAGAGTTGAATGATTCTTTACACAGAGCAGATTTGAGACACTCTTTTGGTGGAATTTGTAAGTGGAGAATTCAGCCGCTTTGAGGTCAACGGTAGAAAAGGAAATATCTTCGTATAAAAACTAGACAGAATGATTCTCAGAAACTGTTTTGTGATGTGTGCGTTCAACTCACAGAGTTTAACCTTTCTTTTCAAAGAGCAGTTAGGAAACACTCTGTTTGTAAAGTCTGCAAGTGGATATTCAGACCTCTTTGAGGCCTTCGTTGGAAACGGGATTTCTTCATATTATGCTAGACAGATGAATTCTCAGTAACTTCCTTGTGTTGTGTGTATTCAACTCACAGAGTTGAACGATCCTTTACACAGAGCAGATTTGAAACACTGTTTTTCTGGAATTTGCAAGTGGAGATTTCAGCCGCTTTGAGGTCAATGGTAGAAAAGGAAATATCTTCGTATAAAAACTAGACAGAATGATTCTCAGAAACTCCTTTGTGATGTGTGCGTTCAACTCACAGAGTTTAACCTTTCTTTTCACAGAGCAGTTAGGAAACACTCTGTTTGTGAAGCCTGCCAGTGGGTATTCGGACCTCTTTGAGGCCTTCGTTGGAAACGGGATTTCTTCATATTATGCTAGACAGAAGATTTCTCAGTAACTTCTTTGTGTTGTGTGTATGCAACTCACAGAGTTCAACCTTCCTTTAGACAGAGCAGATTTGAAACACTCTTTTTGTGGAATTTGCAAGTGGAGATTTCAAGCGCTTCGATGCCAATGGTAGAAAAGGAAATATCTTCGTATAAAAACAAGACAAACTCGTTCCCAGACACTGCGTAGTGATGTGTGTGTTTAACTCACAGAGTTTAACCTTTCTTTTCATACAGCATTCTGGAAACCCTGTGTTTGTAAAGTCTGCAAGTGGATATTTGGACCTCTTAGATGCCTTCGTTGGAAACGGGATTTCTTCATATAATGCTAGAGGGAAGAATTCTTAGTAACTTCTTTGTGTTGTGTGTATTCAACTGACAGAGTTGAACCTTCCTTTAGACAGAGCAGATTTGAAAGTCTCTTTTTGTGGAATTTGCAAGTGGAGATTTCAAGCGCTTTGAGGCCAAAAGCAGAAAAGGAAGTATTTTCCTATAAAAACTCGACAGAATCTTTCTCAGAAACTGCTCTGGGATGTGTGCGTTCAACTCACAGAGTTTAACTTTTCTTTTCATTCAGCAGTTTGGAAACACTCTGTTTGGAAAGTCTGCACGTGGATATTTTGACCTCTTTGAGGCCTTCGTTGGAAACGGGTTTTTTTCATGTAAGGCTAGACAGAAGAAATCTCAGTAACTTCCTTGTGTTGTGTGTATTCAACTGACAGAGTTGAACCTTCCTTTAGACAGAGCAGATTCGAAACACTCTTTTTCTGCAATTTGCAAGTGGAGACTTCAAGCGCTTTGAGGCCAAAGGCAGAAAAGGAAATATCTTCGTATAAAAACCCGACAGAATCATTCTCAGAAACTGCTCTGTGATGTGTGCGTTCAACTCACAGAGTTTAACTTTTCTTTTCATTCAGCAGTTTGGAAACACTCTGTTTGTAAAGTCTGCAAGTGGATATCTTGGCCTCTTAGAGGCCTTCGTTGGAAACGGGTTTTTTCATTTAAGGTTAGACAGAGGAATTCCCAGTAACTTCCTTGTGTTGTGTGCATTCAACTCACAGAGTTGAATGATTCTTTACACAGAGCAGATTTGAGACACTCTTTGGGTGGAATTTGTAAGTGGAGAATTCAGCCGCTTTGAGGTCAACGGTAGAAAAGGAAATATCTTCGTATAAAAACTAGACAGAATGATTCTCAGAAACTGTTTTGTGATGTGTGCGTTCAACTCACAGAGTTTAACCTTTCTTTTCAAAGAGCAGTTAGGAAACACTCTGTAAAGTCTGCAAGTGGATATTCAGACCTCTTTGAGGCCTTCGTTGGAAACGGGATTTCTTCATATTATGCTAGACAGATGAATTCTCAGTAACTTCCTTGTGTTGTGTGTATTCAACTCACAGAGTTGAACGATCCTTTACACAGAGCAGATTTGAAACACTGTTTTTCTGGAATTTGCAAGTGGAGATGTCAGCCGCTTTGAGGTCAATGGTAGAAAAGGAAATATCTTCGTATAAAAACTAGACAGAATGATTCTCAGAAACTCCTTTGTGATGTGTGCGTTCAACTCACAGAGTTTAACCTTTCTTTTCACAGAGCAGTTAGGAAACACTCTGTTTGTGAAGCCTGCCAGTGGATATTCGGACCTCTTTGAGGCCTTCGTTGGAGACGGGATTTCTTCATATTATGCTAGACAGAAGATTTCTCAGTAACTTCTTTGTGTTGTGTGTATGCAACTCACAGAGTTCAACCTTCCTTTAGACAGAGCAGATTTGAAACACTCTTTTTGTGGAATTTGCAAGTGGAGATTTCAAGCGCTTCGATGCCAATGGTAGAAAAGGAAATATCTTCGTATAAAAACAAGACAAACTCGTTCCCAGACACTGCGTAGTGATGTGTGTGTTTAACTCACAGAGTTTCACCTTTCTTTTCATACAGCATTCTGGAAACCCTCTGTTTGTAAAGTCTGCAAGTGGATATTTGGACCTCTTAGATGCCTTCGTTGGAAACGGGATTTCTTCATATAATGCTAGAGGGAAGAATTCTTAGTAACTTCTTTGTGTTGTGTGTATTCAACTGACAGAGTTGAACCTTCCTTTAGACAGAGCAGATTTGAAAGTCTCTTTTTGTGGAATTTGCAAGTGGAGATTTCAAGCGCTTTGAGGCCAAAAGCAGAAAAGGAAATATTTTCCTATAAAAACTCGACAGAATCTTTCTCAGAAACTGCTCTGGGATGTGTGCGTTCAACTCACAGAGTTTAACTTTTCTTTTCATTCAGCAGTTTGGAAACACTCTGTTTGGAAAGTCTGCACGTGGATATTTTGACCTCTTTGAGGCCTTCGTTGGAAACGGGTTTTTTTCATGTAAGGCTAGACAGAAGAAATCTCAGTAACTTCCTTGTGTTGTGTGTATTCAACTGACAGAGTTGAACCTTCCTTTAGACAGAGCAGATTCGAAACACTCTTTTTCTGCAATTTGCAAGTGGAGACTTCAAGCGCTTTGAGGCCAAAGGCAGAAAAGGAAATATCTTCGTATAAAAACCCGACAGAATCATTCTCAGAAACTGCTCTGTGATGTGTGCGTTCAACTCACAGAGTTTAACTTTTCTTTTCATTCAGCAGTTTGGAAACACTCTGTTTGTAAAGTCTGCAAGTGGATATCTTGGCCTCTTAGAGGCCTTCGTTGGAAACGGGTTTTTTCATGTAAGGTTAGACAGAGGAATTCCCAGTAACTTCCTTGTGTTGTGTGCACTCAACTCACAGAGTTGAATGATTCTTTACACAGAGCAGATTTGAGACACTCTTTTGGTGGAATTTGTAAGTGGAGAATTCAGACGATTTGAGGTCAACGGTAGAAAAGGAAATATCTTCGTATAAAAACTAGACAGAATGATTCTCAGAAACTTTTTTGTGATGTGTGCGTACAACTCACAGAGTTTAACCTTTCTTTTCAAAGAGCAGTTAGGAAACACTCTGTTTGTAAAGTCTGCAAGTGGATATTCAGACCTCTTTGAGGCCTTCGTTGGAAACGGGATTTCTTCATATTATGCTAGACAGATGAATTCTCAGTAACTTCCTTGTGTTGTGTGTATTCAACTCACAGAGTTGAACGATCCTTTACACAGAGCAGATTTGAAACACTGTTTTTCTGGAATTTGCAAGTGGAGATTTCAGCCGCTTTGAGGTCAATGGTAGAAAAGGAAATATCTTCGTATAAAAACTAGACAGAATGATTCTCAGAAACTCCTTTGTGATGTGTGCGTTCAACTCACAGAGTTTAACCTTTCTTTTCACAGAGCAGTTAGGAAACACTCTGTTTGTGAAGCCTGCCAGTGGATATTCGGACCTCTTTGAGGCCTTCGTTGGAAACGGGATTTCTTCATATTATGCTAGACAGAAGATTTCTCAGTAACTTCTTTGTGTTGTGTGTATGCAACTCACAGAGTTCAACCTTCCTTTAGACAGAGCAGATTTGAAACACTCTTTTTGTGGAATTTGCAAGTGGAGATTTCAAGCGCTTCGATGCCAATGGTAGAAAAGGAAATATCTTCGTATAAAAACAAGACAAACTCGTTCCCAGACACTGCGTAGTGATGTGTGTGTTTAACTCACAGAGTTTCACCTTTCTTTTCATACAGCATTCTGGAAACCCTCTGTTTGTAAAGTCTGCAAGTGGATATTTGGACCTCTTAGATGCCTTCGTTGGAAACGGGATTTCTTCGTATAATGCTAGAGGGAAGAATTCTTAGTAACTTCTTTGTGTTGTGTGTATTCAACTGACAGAGTTGAACCTTCCTTTAGACAGAGCAGATTTGAAAGTCTCTTTTAGTGGAATTTGCAAGTGGAGATTTCAAGCGCTTTGAGGCCAAAAGCAGAAAAGGAAATATTTTCCTATAAAAACTAGACAGAATCTTTCTCAGAAACTGCTCTGTGATGTGTGCGTTCAACTCACAGAGTTTAACTTTTCTTTTCATTCAGCAGTTTGGAAACACTCTGTTTGGAAAGTCTGCACGTGGATATTTTGACCTCTTTGAGGCCTTCGTTGGAAACGGGTTTTTTTCATGTAAGGCTAGACAGAAGAAATCTCAGTAACTTCCTTGTGTTGTGTGTATTCAACTGACAGAGTTGAACCTTCCTTTAGACAGAGCAGATTCGAAACACTCTTTTTCTGCAATTTGCAAGTGGAGACTTCAAGCGCTTTGAGGCCAAAGGCAGAAAAGGAAATATCTTCGTATAAAAACCCGACAGAATCATTCTCAGAAACTGCTCTGTGATGTGTGCGTTCAACTCACAGAGTTTAACTTTTCTTTTCATTCAGCAGTTTGGAAACACTCTGTTTGTAAAGTCTGCAAGTGGATATCTTGGCCTCTTAGAGGCCTTCGTTGGAAGCGGGTTTTTTCATGTAAGGATAGACAGAGGAATTCCCAGTAACTTCCTTGTGTTGTGTGCATTCAACTCACAGAGTTGAATGATTCTTTACACAGAGCAGATTTGAGACACTCTTTTGGTGGAATTTGTAAGTGGAGAATTCAGCCGCTTTGAGGTCAACGGTAGAAAAGGAAATATCTTCGTATAAAAACTAGACAGAATGATTCTCAGAAACTGTTTTGTGATGTGTGCGTTCAACTCACAGAGTTTAACCTTTCTTTTCAAAGAGCAGTTAGGAAACACTCTGTTTGTAAAGTCTGCAAGTGGATATTCAGACCTCTTTGAGGCCTTCGTTGGAAACGGGATTTCTTCATATTATGCTAGACAGATGAATTCTCAGTAACTTCCTTGTGTTGTGTGTATTCAACTCAGAGAGTTGAACGATCCTTTACACAGAGCAGATTTGAAACACTGTTTTTCTGGAATTTGCAAGTGGAGATTTCAGCCGCTTTGAGGTCAATGGTAGAAAAAGAAATATCTTCGTATAAAAACTAGACAGAATGATTCTCAGAAACTCCTTTGTGATGTGTGCGTTCAACTCACAGAGTTTAACCTTTCTTTTCACAGAGCAGTTAGGAAACACTCTGTTTGTGAAGCCTGCCAGTGGATATTCGGACCTCTTTGAGGCCTTCGTTGGAAACGGGATTTCTTCATATTATGCTAGACAGAAGATTTCTCAGTAACTTCTTTGTGTTGTGTGTATGCAACTCACAGAGTTCAACCTTCCTTTAGACAGAGCAGATTTGAAACACTCTTTTTGTGGAATTTGCAAGTGGAGATTTCAAGCGCTTCGATGCCAATGGTAGAAAAGGAAATATCTTCGTATAAAAACAAGACAAACTCGTTCCCAGACACTGCGTAGTGATGTGTGTGTTTAACTCACAGAGTTTCACCTTTCTTTTCATACAGCATTCTGGAAACCCTCTGTTTGTAAAGTCTGCAAGTGGATATTTGGACCTCTTAGATGCCTTCGTTGGAAACGGGATTTCTTCATATAATGCTAGAGGGAAGAATTCTTAGTAACTTCTTTGTGTTGTGTGTATTCAACTGACAGAGTTGAACCTTCCTTTAGACAGAGCAGATTTGAAAGTCTCTTTTTGTGGAATTTGCAAGTGGAGATTTCAAGCGCTTTGAGGCCAAAAGCAGAAAAGGAAATATTTTCCTATAAAAACTAGACAGAATCATTCTCAGAAACTGCTCTGTGATGTGTGTGTTCAACTCACAGAGTTTAACTTTCTTTTCATTCAGCAGTTTGGAAACACTCTGTTTGGAAAGTCTGCACGTGGATATTTTGACCTCTTTGAGGCCTTCGTTGGAAACGGGTTTTTTTCATGTAACGCTAGACAGAAGAAATCTCAGTAACTTCCTTGTGTTGTGTGTATTCAACTGACAGAGTTGAACCTTCCTTTAGACAGAGCAGATTCGAAACACTCTTTTTCTGCAATTTGCAAGTGGAGACTTCAAGCGCTTTGAGGCCAAAGGCAGAAAAGGAAATATCTTCGTATAAAAACCCGACAGAATCATTCTCAGAAACTGCTCTGTGATGTGTGCGTTCAACTCACAGAGTTTAACTTTTCTTTTCATTCAGCAGTTTGGAAACACTCTGTTTGTAAAGTCTGCAAGTGGATATCTTGGCCTCTTAGAGGCCTTCGTTGGAAACGGGTTTTGTCATGTAAGGTTAGACAGAGGAATTCCCAGTAACTTCCTTGTGTTGTGTGCATTCAACTCACAGAGTTGAATGATTCTTTACACAGAGCAGATTTGAGACACTCTTTTGGTGGAATTTGTTAGTGGAGAATTCAGCCGCTTTGAGGTCAACGGTAGAAAAGGAAATATCTTCGTATAAAAACTAGACAGAATGATTCTCAGAAACTGTTTTGTGATGTGTGCGTTCAACTCACAGAGTTTAACCTTTCTTTTCAAAGAGCAGTTAGGAAACACTCTGTTTGTAAAGTCTGCAAGTGGATATTCAGACCTCTTTGAGGCCTTCGTTGGAAACGGGATTTCTTCATATTATGCTAGACAGATGAATTCTCAGTAACTTCCTTGTGTTGTGTGTATTCAACTCACAGAGTTGAACGATCCTTTACACAGAGCAGATTTGAAACACTCTTTTTCTGGAATTTGCAAGTGGAGATTTCAGCCGCTTTGAGGTCAATGGTAGAAAAGGAAATATCTTCGTATAAAAACTAGACAGAATGATTCTCAGAAACTCCTTTGTGATGTGTGCGTTCAACTCACAGAGTTTAACCTTTCTTTTCACAGAGCAGTTAGGAAACACTCTGTTTGTGAAGCCTGCCAGTGGATATTCGGACCTCCTTGAGGCCTTCGTTGGAAACGGGATTTCTTCATATTATGCTAGACAGAAGATTTCTCAGTAACTTCTTTGTGTTGTGTGTATGCAACTCACAGAGTTCAACCTTCCTTTAGACAGAGCAGATTTGAAACACTCTTTTTGTGGAATTTGCAAGTGGAGATTTCAAGCGCTTCGATGCCAATGGTAGAAAAGGAAATATCTTCGTATAAAAACAAGACAAACTCGTTCCCAGACACTGCGTAGTGATGTGTGTGTTTAACTCACAGAGTTTAACCTTTCTTTTCATACAGCATTCTGGAAACCCTCTGTTTGTAAAGTCTGCAAGTGGTTATTTGGACCTCTTAGATGCCTTCGTTGGAAACGGGATTTCTTCATATAATGCTAGAGGGAAGAATTCTTAGTAACTTCTTTGTGTTGTGTGTATTCAACTGACAGAGTTGAACCTTCCTTTAGACAGAGCAGATTTGAAAGTCTCTTTTTGTGGAATTTGCAAGTGGAGATTTCAAGCGCTTTGAGGCCAAAAGCAGAAAAGGAAATATTTTCCTATAAAAACTAGACAGAATCATTCTCAGAAACTGCTCTGTGATGTGTGTGTTCAACTCACAGAGTTTAACTTTCTTTTCATTCAGCAGTTTGGAAACACTCTGTTTGGAAAGTCTGCACGTGGATATTTTGACCTCTTTGAGGCCTTCGTTGGAAACGGGTTTTTTTCATGTAAGGCTAGACAGAAGAAATCTCAGTAACTTCCTTGTGTTGTGTGTATTCAACTGACAGAGTTGAACCTTCCTTTAGACAGAGCAGATTCGAAACACTCTTTTTCTGCAATTTGCAAGTGGAGACTTCAAGCGCTTTGAGGCCAAAGGCAGAAAAGGAAATATCTTCGTATAAAAACCCGACAGAATCATTCTCAGAAACTGCTCTGTGATGTGTGCGTTCAACTCACAGAGTTTAACTTTTCTTTTCATTCAGCAGTTTGGAAACACTCTGTTTGTAAAGTCTGCAAGTGGATATCTTGGCCTCTTAGAGGCCTTCGTTGGAAACGCGTTTTTTCATGTAAGGTTAGACAGAGGAATTCCCAGTAACTTCCTTGTGTTGTGTGCATTCAACCTCACAGAGTTGAATGATTCTTTACACAGAGCAGATTTGAGACACACTTTTGGTGGAATTTGTAAGTGGAGAATTCAGCCGCTTTGAGGTCAACGGTAGAAAAGGAAATATCTTCGTATAAAAACTAGAAAGAATGATTCTCAGAAACTGTTTTGTGATGTGTGCGTTCAACTCACAGAGTTTAACCTTTCTTTTCAAAGAGCAGTTAGGAAACACTCTGTTTGTAAAGTCTGCAAGTGGATATTCAGACCTCTTTGAGGCCTTCGTTGGAAACGGGATTTCTTCATATTATGCTAGACAGATGAATTCTCAGTAACTTCCTTGTGTTGTGTGTATTCAACTCACAGAGTTGAACGATCCTTTACACAGAGCAGATTTGAAACACTGTTTTTCTGGAATTTGCAAGTGGAGATTTCAGCTGCTTTGAGGTCAATGGTAGAAAAGGAAATATCTTCGTATAAAAACTAGACAGAATGATTCTCAGAAACTCCTTTGTGATGTGTGCGTTCAACTCACAGAGTTTAACCTTTCTTTTCACAGAGCAGTTAGGAAACACTCTGTTTGTGAAGCCTGCCAGTGGATATTCGGACCTCCTTTGAGGCCTTCGTTGGAAACGGGATTTCTTCATATTATGCTAGACAGAAGATTTCTCAGTAACTTCTTTGTGTTGTGTGTATGCAACCTCACAGAGTTCAACCTTCCTTTAGACAGAGCAGATTTGAAACACTCTTTTTGTGGAATTTGCAAGTGGAGATTTCAAGCGCTTCGATGCCAATGGTAGAAAAGGAAATATCTTCGTATAAAAACAAGACAAAATCATTCCCAGAAACTGTGTAGTGATGTGTGTGTTTAACTCACAGAGTTTAACCTTTCTTTTCATAAAACATTCTGGAAACACTCTGTTTGTAAAGTCTGCAAGTGCATATTTAGACCTCTTAGATGCCTTCGTTGGAAACGGGATTTCTTCATATTATGCTAGACAGAAGAATTCTCAGTAACTTCCTTGTGTTGTGTGTATTCAAGTCACAGAGTTGAACGATCCTTTACACAGAGCAGATTTGAAACACTCTTTTTCTGGAATTTGCAAGTGGAGATTTCAGCCGCTTTGAGGTCAATGGTAGAAAAGGAAATATCTTCGTATAAAAACTAGACAGAATGATTCTCAGAAACTCCTTTGTGATGTGTGCGTTCAACTCACAGAGTTTAACCTTTCTTTTCATAGAGCAGTTAGGAAACACTCTGTTTGTGAAGTCTGCCAGTGGATATTCGGACCTCTTTGAGGCCTTCGTTAGAAACGGGATTTCTTCATATTATGCTAGACAGAAGATTTCTCAGTAACTACTTTGTGTTGTGTGTATGCCACTCACAGAGTTCAACCTTCCTTTAGACAGAGCAGATTTGAAACACTCTTTTTGTGGAATTTGCAAGTGGAGATTTCAAGCGCTTCGATGCCAATGGTAGAAAAGGAAATATCTTCGTATAAAAACAAGACAAAATCATTCCCAGAAACTGCGTAGTGATGTGTGTGTTTAACTCACAGATTTTAACCTTTCTTTTCATACAGCATTCTGGAAACACTCTGTTTGTAATGTCTACAAGTGGATATTTGGAGCTCTTAGATGCCTTCGTTGGAAACGGGATTTCTTCATATAATTCTAGAGGGAAGAATTCTTAGTAACCTCTTTGTGTTATGTGTATTCAACTGATGCAGTTGAACCTTCCTTTAGACAGAGCAGATTCGAAACACTCTTTTTCTGGAATTTCCAAGTGGAGACTTCAAGCCCTTTCAGGCCAAAGGCAGAAAAGGCATTATCCTCGTATAAAAACCAGACATAATCATTCTCAGAAACTGCTCTGTGATGTGTGCGTTCAACTCACAGAGTTTAACTTTTCTTTTCATTCAGCAGTTTGGAAACACTCTGTTTATAAAGTCTGCAAGTGGATATATTGGCCTCTTAGAGGCCTTCGTTGGAAACGGGTTTTTATCATGTAAGGTTATTCAGAGGAATTCCCAGTAACTTCCTTGTGTTGTGTGCATTCAACTCACAGAGTTGAATGATTCTTTACACAGAGCAGATTTGAGACACTCTTTTAGTGGAATTTGTATGTGGAGAATTCAGCCGCTTTGAGGTCAATGGTAGAAAAGGAAATATCTTCGTATAAAAACTAGACAGAATGATTCTCAGAAACTGTTTTGTGATGTGTGCGTTCAACTCACAGAGTTTAACCTTTCTTTTCAAAGAGCAGTTAGGAAACACTCTGTTTGTAAAGTCTGCCAGTGGATATTCAGACCTCTTTGAGGCCTTCGTTGGAAACGGGATTTCTTCATATTATGCTAGACAGAAGAATTCTCAGTAACTTCCTTGTGTTGTGTGTATTCAACTCACACAGTTGAACGATCCTTTACACAGAGCAGATTTCAAACACTCTTTTTCTGGAATTTGCAAGTGGAGATTTCAGCCGCTTTGGGGTCAATGGTAGAAAAGGAAATATCTTCGTATAAAAACTAGACAGAATAATTCTCAGAAACTCCTTTGTGATGTGTGCGTTCAACTCACAGAGTTTAACCTTTCTTTACACAGACCAGTTAGGAAACACTCTGTTTGTGAAGTCTGCCAGTGGATATTCGGACCTCTTTGAGGCCTTCGTTGGAAACGGGATTTCTTCATATTATGCTAGACAGATTTCTCAGTAACTACTTTGTGTTGTGTGTATGCAACTCACAGAGTTCAACCTTCCTTTAGACAGAGCAGATTTGAAACACTCTTTTTGTGGAATTTGCAAGTGGAGATTTCAAGCACTTGGACGCCAATGGTCGAAAAGAAAATATCTTCGTATAAAAACAAGACAAACTCGTTCCCAGACACTGCGTAGTGATGTGTGTGTTTAACTCACAGAGTTTAACCTTTCTTTTCATACAGCATTCTGGAAACCCTGTGTTTGTAAAGTCTGCAAGTGGATATTTGGACCTCTTAGATGCCTTCGTTGGAAACGGGATTTCTTCATATAATGCTAGAGGGAAGAATTCTTAGTAACTTCTTTGTGTTGTGTGTATTCAACTGACAGAGTTGAACCTTCCTTTAGACAGAGCAGATTTGAAAGTCTCTTTTTGTGGAATTTGCAAGTGGAGATTTCAAGCGCTTTGAGGCCAAAAGCAGAAAAGGAAATATTTTCCTATAAAAACTAGACAGAATCTTTCTCAGAAACTGCTCTGGGATGTGTGCGTTCAACTCACAGAGTTTAACTTTTCTTTTCATTCAGCAGTTTGGAAACACTCTGTTTGGAAAGTCTGCACGTGGATATTTTGACCTCTTTGAGGCCTTCGTTGGAAACGGGTTTTTTTCATGTAAGGCTAGACAGAAGAAATCTCAGTAACTTCCTTGTGTTGTGTGTATTCAACTGACAGAGTTGAACCTTCCTTTAGACAGAGCAGATTCGAAACACTCTTTTTCTGCAATTTGCAAGTGGAGACTTCAAGCGCTTTGAGGCCAAAGGCAGAAAAGGAAATATCTTCGTATAAAAACCCGACAGAATCATTCTCAGAAACTGCTCTGTGATGTGTGCGTTCAACTCACAGAGTTTAACTTTTCTTTTCATTCAGCAGTTTGGAAACACTCTGTTTGTAAAGTCTGCAAGTGGATATCTTGGCCTCTTAGAGGCCTTCATTGGAAACGGGTTTTTTCATGTAAGGTTAGACAGAGGAATTCCCACTAACTTCCTTGTGTTGTGTGCATTCAACTCACAGAGTTGAATGATTCTTTACACAGAGCAGATTTGAGACACTCTTTTGGTGGAATTTGTAAGTGGAGAATTCAGCCGCTTTGATGTCAACGGTAGAAAAGGAAATATCTTCGTATAAAAACTAGACAGAATGATTCTCAGAAACTGTTTTGTGATGTGTGCTTTCAACTCACAGAGTTTAACCTTTCTTTTCAAAGAGCAGTTAGGAAACACTCTGTTTGTAAAGTCTGCAAGTGGATATTCAGACCTCTTTGAGGCCTTCGTTGGAAACGGGATTTCTTCATATTATGCTAGACAGATGAATTCTCAGTAACTTCCTTGTGTTGTGTGTATTCAACTCACAGAGTTGAACGATCCTTTACACAGAGCAGATTTGAAACACTGTTTTTCTGGAATTTGCAAGTGGAGATTTCAGCCGCTTTGAGGTCAATGGTAGAAAAGGAAATATCTTCGTATAAAAACTAGACAGAATGATTCTCAGAAACTCCTTTGTGATGTGTGCGTTCAACTCACAGAGTTTAACCTTTCTTTTCACAGAGCAGTTAGGAAACACTCTGTTTGTGAAGCCTGCCAGTGGATATTCGGACCTCTTTGAGGCCTTCGTTGGAAACGGGATTTCTTCATATTATGCTAGACAGAAGATTTCTCAGTAACTTCTTTGTGTTGTGTGTATGCAACTCACAGAGTTCAACCTTCCTTTAGACAGAGCAGATTTGAAACACTCTTTTTGTGGAATTTGCAAGTGGAGATTTCAAGCGCTTCGATGCCAATGGTAGAAAAGGAAATATCTTCGCATAAAAACAAGACAAACTCGTTCCCAGACACTGCGTAGTGATGTGTGTGTTTAACTCACAGAGTTTAACCTTTCTTTTCATACAGCATTCTGGAAACCCTCTGTTTGTAAAGTCTGCAAGTGGATATTTGGACCTCTTAGATGCCTTCGTTGGAAACGGGATTTCTTCATATAATGCTAGAGGGAAGAATTCTTAGTAACTTCTTTGTGTTGTGTGTATTCAACTGACAGAGTTGAACCTTCCTTTAGACAGAGCAGATTTGAAAGTCTCTTTTTGTGGAATTTGCAAGTGGAGATTTCAAGCGCTTTGAGGCCAAAAGCAGAAAAGGAAATATTTTCCTATAAAAACTAGACAGAATCATTCTCAGAAACTGCTCTGGGATGTGTGTGTTCAACTCACAGAGTTTAACTTTCTTTTCATTCAGCAGTTTGGAAACACTCTGTTTGGAAAGTCTGCACGTGGATATTTTGACCTCTTTGAGGCCTTCGTTGGAAACGGGTTTTTTTCATGTAAGGCTAGACAGAAGAAATCTCAGTAACTTCCTTGTGTTGTGTGTATTCAACTGACAGAGTTGAACCTTCCTTTAGACAGAGCAGATTCGAAACACTCTTTTTCTGCAATTTGCAAGTGGAGACTTCAAGCGCTTTGAGGCCAAAGGCAGAAAAGGAAATATCTTCGTATAAAAACCCGACAGAAATCATTCTCAGAAACTGCTCTGTGATGTGTGCGTTCAACTCACAGGAGTTTAACTTTTCTTTTCATTCAGCAGTTTGGAAACACTCTGTTTGTAAAGTCTGCAAGTGGATATCTTGGCCTCTTAGAGGCCTTCGTTGGAAACGGGTTTTTTCATTTAAGGTTAGACAGAGGAATTCCCAGTAACTTCCTTGTGTTGTGTGCATTCAACTCACAGAGTTGAATGATTCTTTACACAGAGCAGATTTGAGACACTCTTTTGGTGGAATTTGTAAGTGGAGAATTCAGCCGCTTTGAGGTCAACGGTAGAAAAGGAAATATCTTCGTATAAAAACTAGACAGAATGATTCTCAGAAACTCCTTTGTGATGTGTGCGTTCAACTCACAGAGTTTAACCTTTCTTTTCACAGAGCAGTTAGGAAACACTCTGTTTGTGAAGCCTGCCAGTGGATATTCGGACCTCTTTGAGGCCTTCGTTGGAAACGGGATTTCTTCATATTATGCTAGACAGAAGATTTCTCAGTAACTTCTTTGTGTTGTGTGTATGCAACTCACAGAGTTCAACCTTCCTTTAGAGAGAGCATATTTGAAACACTCTTTTTGTGGAATTTGCAAGTGGAGATTTCAAGCGCTTCGATGCCAATGGTAGAAAAGGAAATATCTTCGTATAAAAACAAGACAAACTCGTTCCCAGACACTGCGTAGTGATGTGTGTGTTTAACTCACAGAGTTTAACCTTTCTTTTCATACAGCATTCTTGAAACCCTGTGTTTGTAAAGTCTGCAAGTGGATATTTGGACCTCTTAGATGCCTTCGTTGGAAACGGGATTTCTTCATATAATGCTAGAGGGAAGAATTCTTAGTAACTTCTTTGTGTTGTGTGTATTCAACTGACAGAGTTGAACCTTCCTTTAGACAGAGCAGATTTGAAAGTCTCTTTTTGTGGAATTTGCAAGTGGAGATTTCAAGCGCTTTGAGGCCAAAAGCAGAAAAGGAAATATTTTCCTATAAAAACTAGACAGAATCTTTCTCAGAAACTGCTCTGGGATGTGTGCGTTCAACTCACAGAGTTTAACTTTTCTTTTCATTCAGCAGTTTGGAAACACTCTGTTTGGAAAGTCTGCACGTGGATATTTTGACCTCTTTGAGGCCTTCGTTGGAAACGGGTTTTTTTCATGTAAGGCTAGACAGAAGAAATCTCAGTAACTTCCTTGTGTTGTGTGTATTCAACTGACAGAGTTGAACCTTCCTTTAGACAGAGCAGATTCGAAACACTCTTTTTCTGCAATTTGCAAGTGGAGACTTCAAGCGCTTTGAGGCCAAAGGCAGAAAAGGAAATATCTTCGTATAAAAACCCGACAGAATCATTCTCAGAAACTGCTCTGTGATGTGTGCGTTCAACTCACAGAGTTTAACTTTTCTTTTCATTCAGCAGTTTGGAAACACTCTGTTTGTAAAGTCTGCAAGTGGATATCTTGGCCTCTTAGAGGCCTTCGTTGGAAACGGGTTTTTTCATGTAAGGTTAGACAGAGGAATTCCCAGTAACTTCCTTGTGTTGTGTGCATTCAACTCACAGAGTTGAATGATTCTTTACACAGAGCAGATTTGAGACACTCTTTTGGTGGAATTTGTAAGTGGAGAATTCAGCCGCTTTGAGGTCAACGGTAGAAAAGGAAATATCTTCGTATAAAAACTAGACAGAATGATTCTCAGAAACTGTTTTGTGATGTGTGCGTTCAACTCACAGAGTTTAACCTTTCTTTTCAAAGAGCAGTTAGGAAACACTCTGTTTGTAAAGTCTGCAAGTGGATATTCAGACCTCTTTGAGGCCTTCGTTGGAAACGGGATTTCTTCATATTATGCTAGACAGATGAATTCTCAGTAACTTCCTTGTGTTGTGTGTATTCAACTCACAGAGTTGAACGATCCTTTACACAGAGCAGATTTGAAACACTGTTTTTCTGGAATTTGCAAGTGGAGATTTCAGCCGCTTTGAGGTCAATGGTAGAAAAGGAAATATACTTCGTATAAAAACTAGACAGAATGATTCTCAGAAACTCCTTTGTGATGTGTGCTTTCAACTCACAGAGTTTATCCTTTCTTTTCATAGAGTAGTTAGGAAACACTCTGTTTGTGAAGTCTGCCAGTGGATATTCAGACCTCTTTGAGGCCTTCCTTGGAAACGGGATTTCTTCATATTATGCTAGACAGAAGAATTCTCAGCAACTTCCTTGTGTTGTGTGCATTCAGCTCGCAGAGTTGAAAGATCCTTTACACAGAGCAGATTAGAAACAATATTTTTGTGGATTTTGCAAGTGGAGATTTCAGCCGCTTTGAGGTCAATGGTAGAAAAGGAAATATCTTCGTATAAAAACTAGACAGAATGATTCTCAGAAACTCCTTTGTGATGTGTGCGTTCAACTCACAGAGTTTAACCTTTCTTTTCATAGAGTAGTTAGGAAACACTCTGTTTGTGAAGTCTGCCAGTGGATATTCAGACCTCTTTGAGGCCTTCGTTGGAAACGGGGTTTCTTCATATTATGCTAGACAGAAGAATTCTCAATAACTTCCCTTGTGTTGTGTGCATTCAACTCACAGAGTTGAATGATCCTTTACACACAGCAGATTAGAAACACTCTTTTTGTGGAATTTGCAAGTGGAGATTTCAGCCGCTTTGAGGTCAATGGTAGAAAAGGAAATATCTTCGTATAAAAACTAGACAGAAATGATTCTCAGAAACTCCTTTGTGATGTGTGCGTTCAACTCACAGAGTTTAACCTTTCTTTTCACAGAGCAGTTAGGAAACACTCTGTTTGTGAAGCCTGCCAGTGGATAATCGGACCTCTTTGAGGCCTTCGTTGGAAACGGGATTTCTTCATATTATGCTAGACAGAAGATTTCTCAGTAACTTCTTTGTGTTGTGTGTATGCAACTCACAGAGTTCAACCTTCCTTTAGACAGAGCAGATTTGAAACACTCTTTTTGTGGAATTTGCAAGTGGAGATTTCAAGCGCTTCGATGCCAATGGTAGAAAAGGAAATATCTTCGTATAAAAACAAGACAAACTCGTTCCCAGACACTGCGTAGTGATGTGTGTGTTTAACTCACAGAGTTTAACCTTTCTTTTCATACAGCATTCTGGAAACCCTCTGTTTGTAAAGTCTGCAAGTGGATATTTGGACCTCTTAGATGCCTTCGTTGGAAACGGGATTTCTTCATATAATGCTAGAGGGAAGAATTCTTAGTAACTTCTTTGTGTTGTGTGTATTCAACTGACAGAGTTGAACCTTCCTTTAGACAGAGCAGATTTGAAAGTCTCTTTTTGTGGAATTTGCAAGTGGAGATTTCAAGCGCTTTGAGGCCAAAAGCAGAAAAGGAAATATTTTCCTATAAAAACTAGAGAGAATCATTCTCAGAAACTGCTCTGCGATGTGTGTGTTCAACTCACAGAGTTTAACTTTCTTTTCATTCAGCAGTTTGGAAACACTCTGTTTGGAAAGTCTGCACGTGGATATTTTGACCTCTTTGAGGCCTTCGTTGGAAACGGGTTTTTTTCATGTAAGGCTAGACAGAAGAAATCTCAGTAACTTCCTTGTGTTGTGTGTATTCAACTGACAGAGTTGAACCTTCCTTTAGACAGAGCAGATTCGAAACGCTCTTTTTCTGCAATTTGCAAGTGGAGACTTCAAGCGCTTTGAGGCCAAAGGCAGAAAAGGAAATATCTTCGTATAAAAACCCGACAGAATCATTCTCAGAAACTGCTCTGTGATGTGTGCGTTCAACTCACAGAGTTTAACTTTTCTTTTCATTCAGCAGTTTGGAAACACTCTGTTTGTAAAGTCTGCAAGTGGATATCTTGGCCTCTTAGAGGCCTTCGTTGGAAACGGGTTTTTTCATGTAAGGTTAGACAGAGGAATTCCCAGTAACTTCCTTGTGTTGTGTGCATTCAACTCACAGAGTTGAATGATTCTTTACACAGAGCAGATTTGAGACACACTTTTGGTGGAATTTGTAAGTGGAGAATTCAGCCGCTTTGAGGTCAACGGTAGAAAAGGAAATATCTTCGTATAAAAACTAGAAAGAATGATTCTCAGAAACTGTTTTGTGATGTGTGCGTTCAACTCACAGAGTTTAACCTTTCTTTTCAAAGAGCAGTTAGGAAACACTCTGTTTGTAAAGTCTGCAAGTGGATATTCAGACCTCTTTGAAGCCTTCGTTGGAAACGGGATTTCATCATATTATGCTAGACAGATGAATTCTCAGTAACTTCCTTGTGTTGTGTGTATTCAACTCACAGAGTTGAACGATCCTTTACACAGAGCAGATTTGAAACACTGTTTTTCTGGAATTTGCAAGTGGAGATTTCAGCCGCTTTGAGGTCAATGGTAGAAAAGGAAATATCTTCGTATAAAAACTGGACAGAATGATTCTCAGAAACTCCTTTGTGATGTGAGCGTTCAACTCACAGAGTTTAACCTTTCTTTTCACAGAGCAGTTAGGAAACACTCTGTTTGTGAAGCCTGCCAGTGGATATTCGGACCTCTTTGAGGCCTTCGTTGGAAACGGGATTTCTTCATATTTTGCTAGACAGAGATTTCTCAGTAACTTCTTTGTGTTGTGTGTATGCAACTCACAGAGTTCAACCTTCCTTTAGACAGAGCAGATTTGAAACACTCTTTTTGTGGAATTTGCAAGTGGAGATTTCAAGCGCTTCGATGCCAATGGTAGAAAAGGAAATATCTTCGTATAAAAACAAGACAAACTCGTTCCCAGACACTGCGTAGTGATGTGTGTGTTTAACTCACAGAGTTTCACCTTTCTTTTCATACAGCATTCTGGAAACCCTGTGTTTGTAAAGTCTGCAAGTGGATATTTGGACCTCTTAGATGCCTTCGTTGGAAACGGGATTTCTTCATATAATGCTAGAGGGAAGAATTCTTAGTAACTTCTTTGTGTTGTGTGTATTCAACTGACAGAGTTGAACCTTCCTTTAGACAGAGCAGATTTGAAAGTCTCTTTTTGTGGAATTTGCAAGTGGAGATTTCAAGCGCTTTGAGGCCAAAAGCAGAAAAGGAAATATTTTCCTATAAAAACTCGACAGAATCTTTCTCAGAAACTGCTCTGGGATGTGTGCGTTCAACTCACAGAGTTTAACTTTTCTTTTCATTCAGCAGTTTGGAAACACTCTGTTTGGAAAGTCTGCACGTGGATATTTTGACCTCTTTGAGGCCTTCGTTGGAAACGGGTTTTTTTCATGTAAGGCTAGACAGAAGAAATCTCAAGTAACTTCCTTGTGTTGTGTGTATTCAACTGACAGAGTTGAACCTTCCTTTAGACAGAGCAGATTCGAAACACTCTTTTTCTGCAATTTGCAAGTGGAGACTTCAAGCGCTTTGAGGCCAAAGGCAGAAAAGGAAATATCTTCGTATAAAAACCCGACAGAATCATTCTCAGAAACTGCTCTGTGATGTGTGCGTTCAACTCACAGAGTTTAACTTTTCTTTTCATTCAGCAGTTTGGAAACACTCTGTTTGTAAAGTCTGCAAGTGGATATCTTGGCCTCTTAGAGGCCTTCGTTGGAAACGGGTTTTTTCATGTAAGGTTAGACAGAGGAATTCCCAGTAACTTCCTTGTGTTGTGTGCATTCAACTCACAGAGTTGAATGATTCTTTACACAGAGCAGATTTGAGACACTCTTTTGGTGGAATTTGTAAGTGGAGAATTCAGCTGCTTTGAGGTCAACGGTAGAAAAGGAAATATCTTCGTATAAAAACTAGACAGAATGATTCTCAGAAACTGTTTTGTGATGTGTGCGTTCAACTCACAGAGTTTAACCTTTCTTTTCAAAGAGCAGTTAGGAAACACTCTGTTTGTAAAGTCTGCAAGTGGATATTCAGACCTCTTTGAGGCCTTCGTTGGAAACGGGATTTCTTCATATTATGCTAGACAGATGAATTCTCAGTAACTTCCTTGTGTTGTGTGTATTCAACTCACAGAGTTGAACGACCCTTTACACAGAGCAGATTTGAAACACTGTTTTTCTGGAATTTGCAAGTGGAGATTTCAGCTGCTTTGAGGTCAATGGTAGAAAAGGAAATATCTTCGTATAAAAACTAGACAGAATGATTCTCAGAAACTCCTTTGTGATGTGTGCGTTCAACTCACAGAGTTTAACCTTTCTTTTCACAGAGCAGTTAGGAAACACTCTGTTTGTGAAGCCTGCCAGTGGATATTCGGACCTCTTTGAGGCCTTCGTTGGAAACGGGATTTCTTCATATTATGCTAGACAGAAGATTTCTCAGTAACTTCTTTGTGTTGTGTGTATGCAACCTCACAGAGTTCAACCTTCCTTTAGACAGAGCAGATTTGAAACACTCTTTTTGTGGAATTTGCAAGTGGAGATTTCAAGCGCTTCGATGCCAATGGTAGAAAAGGAAATATCTTCGTATAAAAACAAGACAAACTCGTTCCCAGACACTGCGTAGTGATGTGTGTGTTTAACTCACAGAGTTTAACCTTTCTTTTCATACAGCATTCTGGAAACCCTGTGTTTGTAAAGTCTGCAAGTGGATATTTGGACCTCTTAGATGCCTTCGTTGGAAACGGGATTTCTTCATATAATGCTAGAGGGAAGAATTCTTAGTAACTTCTTTGTGTTGTGTGTATTCAACTGACAGAGTTGAACCTTCCTTTAGACAGAGCAGATTTGAAAGTCTCTTTTTGTGGAATTTGCAAGTGGAGATTTCAAGCGCTTTGAGGCCAAAAGCAGAAAAGGAAATATTTTCCTATAAAAACTAGACAGAATCTTTCTCAGAAACTGCTCTGGGATGTGTGCGTTCAACTCACAGAGTTTAACTTTTCTTTTCATTCAGCAGTTTGGAAACACTCTGTATGGAAAGTCTGCACGTGGATATTTTGACCTCTTTGAGGCCTTCGTTGGAAACGGGTTTTTTTCATGTAAGGCTAGACAGAAGAAATCTCAGTAACTTCCTTGTGTTGTGTGTATTCAACTGACAGAGTTGAACCTTCCTTTAGACAGAGCAGATTCGAAACACTCTTTTTCTGCAATTTGCAAGTGGAGACTTCAAGCGCTTTGAGGCCAAAGGCAGAAAAGGAAATATCTTCGTATAAAAACCCGACAGAATCATTCTCAGAAACTGCTCTGTGATGTGTGCGTTCAACTCACAGAGTTTAACTTTTCTTTTCATTCAGCAGTTTGGAAACACTCTGTTTGTAAAGTCTGCAAGTGGATATCTTGGCCTCTTAGAGGCCTTCGTTGGAAACGGGTTTTTTCATGTAAGGTTAGACAGAGGAATTCCCAGTAACTTCCTTGTGTTGTGTGCATTCAACTCACAGAGTTGAATGATTCTTTACACAGAGCAGATTTGAGACACTCTTTTGGTGGAATTTGTAAGTGGAGAATTCAGCCGCTTTGAGGTCAACGGTAGAAAAGGAAATATCTTCGTATAAAAACTAGACAGAATGATTCTCAGAAACTGTTTTGTGATGTGTGCGTTCAACTCACAGAGTTTAACCTTTCTTTTCAAAGAGCAGTTAGGAAACACTCTGTTTGTAAAGTCTGCAAGTGGATATTCAGACCTCTTTGAGGCCTTCGTTGGAAACGGGATTTCTTCATATTATGCTAGACAGATGAATTCTCAGTAACTTCCTTGTGTTGTGTGTATTCAACTCACAGAGTTGAACGATCCTTTACACAGAGCAGATTTGAAACACTGTTTTTCTGGAATTTGCAAGTGGAGATTTCAGCCGCTTTGAGGTCAATGGTAGAAAAGGAAATATCTTCGTATAAAAACTAGACAGAATGATTCTCAGAAACTCCTTTGTGATGTGTGCGTTCAACTCACAGAGTTTAACCTTTCTTTTCACAGAGCAGTTAGGAAACACTCTGTTTGTGAAGCCTGCCAGTGGATATTCGGACCTCTTTGAGGCCTTCCTTGGAAACGGGATTTCTTCATATTATGCTAGACAGAAGATTTCTCAGTAACTTCTTTGTGTTGTGTGTATGCAACTCACAGAGTTCAACCTTCCTTTAGACAGAGCAGATTTGAAACACTCTTTTTGTGGAATTTGCAAGTGGAGATTTCAAGCGCTTCGATGCCAATGGTAGAAAAGGAAATATCTTCGTAGAAAAACAAGACAAACTCGTTCCCAGACACTGCGTAGTGATGTGTGTGTTTAACTCACAGAGTTTCACCTTTCTTTTCATACAGCATTCTGGAAACCCTCTGTTTGTAAAGTCTGCAAGTGGATATTTGGACCTCTTAGATGCCTTCGTTGGAAACGGGATTTCTTCATATAATGCTAGAGGGAAGAATTCTCTAGTAACTTCTTTGTGTTGTGTGTATTCAACTGACAGAGTTGAACCTTCCTTTAGACAGAGCAGATTTGAAAGTCTCTTTTTGTGGAATTTGCAAGTGGAGATTTCAAGCGCTTTGAGGCCAAAAGCAGAAAAGGAAATATTTTCCTATAAAAACTCGACAGAATCTTTCTCAGAAACTGCTCTGGGATGTGTGCGTTCAACTCACAGAGTTTAACTTTTCTTTTCATTCAGCAGTTTGGAAACACTCTGTTTGGAAAGTCTGCACGTGGATATTTTGACCTCTTTGAGGCCTTCGTTGGAAACGGGTTTTTTTCATGTAAGGCTAGACAGAAGAAATCTCAGTAAATTCCCTTGTGTTGTGTGTATTCAACTGACAGAGTTGAACCTTCCTTTAGACAGAGCAGATTCGAAACACTCTTTTTCTGCAATTTGCAAGTGGAGACTTCAAGCGCTTTGAGGCCAAAGGCAGAAAAGGAAATATCTTCGTATAAAAACCCGACAGAATCATTCTCAGAAACTGCTCTGTGATGTGTGCGTTCAACTCACAGAGTTTAACTTTTCTTTTCATTCAGCAGTTTGGAAACACTCTGTTTGTAAAGTCTGCAAGTGGATATCTTGGCCTCTTAGAGGCCTTCGTTGGAAACGGGTTTTTTCATGTAAGGTTAGACAGAGGAATTCCCAGTAACTTCCCTTGTGTTGTGTGCATTCAACTCACAGAGTTGAATGATTCTTTACACAGAGCAGATTTGAGACACTCTTTTGGTGGAATTTGTTAGTGGAGAATTCAGCCGCTTTGAGGTCAACGGTAGAAAAGGATATATCTTCGTATAAAAACTAGACAGAATGATTCTCAGAAACTGTTTTGTGCTGTGTGCGTTCAACTCACAGAGTTTAACCTTTCTTTTCAAAGAGCAGTTAGGAAACACTCTGTTTGTAAAGTCTGCAAGTGGATATTCAGACCTCTTTGAGGCCTTCGTTGGAAACGGGATTTCTTCATATTATGCTAGACAGATGAATTCTCAGTAACTTCCTTGTGTTGTGTGTATTCAACTCACAGAGTTGAACGATCCTTTACACAGAGCAGATTTGAAACACTGTTTTTCTGGAATTTGCAAGTGGAGATTTCAGCCGCTTTGAGGTCAATGGTAGAAAAGGAAATATCTTCGTATAAAAACTAGACAGAATGATTCTCAGAAACTCCTTTGTGATGTGTGCGTTCAACTCACAGAGTTTAACCTTTCTTTTCACAGAGCAGTTAGGAAACACTCTGTTTGTGAAGCCTGCCAGTGGATATTCGGACCTCTTTGAGGCCTTCGTTGGAAACGGGATTTCTTCATATTATGCTAGACAGAAGATTTCTCAGTAACTTCTTTGGGTTGTGTGTATGCAACTCACAGAGTTCAACCTTCCTTTAGACAGAGCAGATTTGAAACACTCTTTTTGTGGAATTTGCAAGTGGAGATTTCAAGCGCTTCGATGCCAATGGTAGAAAAGGAAATATCTTCGTATAAAAACAAGAGAAACTCGTTCCCAGACACTGCGTAGTGATGTGTGTGTTTAACTCACAGAGTTTCACCTTTCTTTTCATACAGCATTCTGGAAACCCTCTGTTTGTAAAGTCTGCAAGTGGATATTTGGACCTCTTAGATGCCTTCGTTGGAAACGGGATTTCTTCATATAATGCTAGAGGGAAGAATTCTTAGTAACTTCTTTGTGTTGTGTGTATTCAACTGACAGAGTTGAACCTTCCTTTAGACAGAGCAGATTTGAAAGTCTCTTTTTGTGGAATTTGCAAGTGGAGATTTCAAGCGCTTTGAGGCCAAAAGCAGAAAAGGAAATATTTTCCTATAAAAACTCGACAGAATCTTTCTCAGAAACTGCTCTGGGATGTGTGCGTTCAACTCACAGAGTTTAACTTTTCTTTTCATTCAGCAGTTTGGAAACACTCTGTTTGGAAAGTCTGCACGTGGATATTTTGACCTCTTTGAGGCCTTCGTTGGAAACGGGTTTTTTTCATGTAAGGCTTGACAGAAGAAATCTCAGTAACTTCCTTGTGTTGTGTGTATTCAACTGACAGAGTTGAACCTTCCTTTAGACAGAGCAGATTCGAAACACTCTTTTTCTGCAATTTGCAAGTGGAGACTTCAAGCGCTTTGAGGCCAAAGGCAGAAAAGGAAATATCTTCGTATAAAAACCCGACAGAATCATTCTCAGAAACTGCTCTGTGATGTGTGCGTTCAACTCACAGAGTTTAACTTTTCTTTTCATTCAGCAGTTTGTAAACACTCTGTTTGTAAAGTCTGCAAGTGGATATCTTGGCCTCTTAGAGGCCTTCGTTGGAAACGGGTTTTTTCATGTAAGGTTAGACAGAGGAATTCCCAGTAACTTCCTTGTGTTGTGTGCATTCAACTCACAGAGTTGAATGATTCTTTACACAGAGCAGATTTGAGACACTCTTTTGGTGGAATTTGTAAGTGGAGAATTCAGCCGCTTTGAGGTCAACGGTAGAAAAGGAAATATCTTCGTATAAAAACTAGACAGAATGATTCTCAGAAACTGTTTTGTGATGTGTGCGTTCAACTCACAGAGTTTAACCTTTCTTTTCAAAGAGCAGTTAGGAAACACTCTGTTTGTAAAGTCTGCAAGTGGATATTCAGACCTCTTTGAGGCCTTCGTTGGAAACGGGATTTCTTCATATTATGCTAGACAGATGAATTCTCAGTAACTTCCTTGTGTTGTGTGTATTCAACTCACAGAGTTGAACGATCCTTTACACAGAGCAGATTTGAAACACTGTTTTTCTGGAATTTGCAAGTGGAGATTTCAGCCGCTTTGAGGTCAATGGTAGAAAAAGAAATATCTTCGTATAAAAACTAGACAGAATGATTCTCAGAAACTCCTTTGTGATGTGTGCGTTCAACTCACAGAGTTTAACCTTTCTTTTCACAGAGCAGTTAGGAAACACTCTGTTTGTGAAGCCTGCCAGTGGATATTCGGACCTCTTTGAGGCCTTCGTTGGAAACGGGATTTCTTCATATTATGCTAGACAGAAGATTTCTCAGTAACTTCTTTGTGTTGTGTGTATGCAACTCACAGAGTTCAACCTTCCTTTAGACAGAGCAGATTTGAAACACTCTTTTTGTGGAATTTGCAAGTGGAGATTTCAAGCGCTTCGATGCCAATGGTAGAAAAGGAAATATCTTCGTATAAAAACAAGACAAACTCGTTCCCAGACACTGCGTAGTGATGTGTGTGTTTAACTCACAGAGTTTAACCTTTCTTTTCATACAGCATTCTGGAAACCCTGTGTTTGTAAAGTCTGCAAGTGGATATTTGGACCTCTTAGATGCCTTCGTTGGAAACGGGATTTCTTCATATAATGCTAGAGGGAAGAATTCTTAGTAACTTCTTTGTGTTGTGTGTATTCAACTGACAGAGTTGAACCTTCCTTTAGACAGAGCAGATTTGAAAGTCTCTTTCTGTGGAATTTGCAAGTGGAGATTTCAAGCGCTTTGAGGCCAAAAGCAGAAAAGGAAATATTTTCCTATAAAAACTCGACAGAATCTTTCTCAGAAACTGCTCTGGGATGTGTGCGTTCAACTCACAGAGTTTAACTTTTCTTTTCATTCAGCAGTTTGGAAACACTCTGTTTGGAAAGTCTGCACGTGGATATTTTGACCTCTTTGAGGCCTTCGTTGGAAACGGGTTTTTTTCATGTAAGGCTAGACAGAAGAAATCTCAGTAACTTCCTTGTGTTGTGTGTATTCAACTGACAGAGTTGAACCTTCCTTTAGACAGAGCAGATTCGAAACACTCTTTTTCTGCAATTTGCAAGTGGAGACTTCAAGCGCTTTGAGGCCAAAGGCAGAAAAGGAAATATCTTCGTATAAAAACCCGACAGAATCATTCTCAGAAACTGCTCTGTGATGTGTGCGTTCAACTCACAGAGTTTAACTTTTCTTTTCATTCAGCAGTTTGGAAACACTCTGTTTGTAAAGTCTGCAAGTGGATATCTTGGCCTCTTAGAGGCCTTCGTTGGAAACGGGTTTTTTCATGTAAGGTTAGACAGAGGAATTCCCAGTAACTTCCTTGTGTTGTGTGCATTCAACTCACAGAGTTGAATGATTCTTTACACAGAGCAGATTTGAGACACTCTTTTGGTGGAATTTGTAAGTGGAGAATTCAGCCGCTTTGAGGTCAACGGTAGAAAAGGAAATATCTTCGTATAAAAACTAGACAGAATGATTCTCAGAAACTGTTTTGTGATGTGTGCGTTCAACTCACAGAGTTTAACCTTTCTTTTCAAAGAGCAGTTAGGAAACACTCTGTTTGTAAAGTCTGCAAGTGGATATTCAGACCTCTTTGAGGCCTTCGTTGGAAACGGGATTTCTTCATATTATGCTAGACAGATGAATTCTCAGTAACTTCCTTGTGTTGTGTGTATTCAACTCACAGAGTTGAACGATCCTTTACACAGAGCAGATTTGAAACACTGTTTTTCTGGAATTTGCAAGTGGAGATTTCAGCCGCTTTGAGGTCAATGGTAGAAAAGGAAATATCTTCGTATAAAAACTAGACAGAATGATTCTCAGAAACTCCTTTGTGATGTGTGCGTTCAACTCACAGAGTTTAACCTTTCTTTTCACAGAGCAGTTAGGAAACACTCTGTTTGTGAAGCCTGCCAGTGGATATTCGGACCTCTTTGAGGCCTTCGTTGGAAACGGGATTTCTTCATATTATGCTAGACAGAAGATTTCTCAGTAACTTCTTTGTGTTGTGTGTATACAACTCACAGAGTTCAACCTTCCTTTAGACAGCGCAGATTTGAAACACTCTTTTTGTGGAATTTGCAAGTGGAGATTTCAAGCGCTTCGATGCCAATGGTAGAAAAGGAAATATCTTCGTATAAAAACAAGACAAACTCGTTCCCAGACACTGCGTAGTGATGTGTGTGTTTAACTCACAGAGTTTAACCTTTCTTTTCATACAGCATTCTGGAAACCCTCTGTTTGTAAAGTCTGCAAGTGGATATTTGGACCTCTTAGATGCCTTCGTTGGAAACGGGATTTCTTCATATAATGCTAGAGGGAAGAATTCTTAGTAACTTCTTTGTGTTGTGTGTATTCAACTGACAGAGTTGAACCTTCCTTTAGACAGAGCAGATTTGAAAGCCTCTTTCTATGGAATTTGCAAGTGGAGATTTCAAGCGCTTTGAGGCCAAAAGCAGAAAAGGAAATATTTTCCTATAAAAACTCGACAGAATCTTTCTCAGAAACTGCTCTGGGATGTGTGCGTTCAACTCACAGAGTTTAACTTTTCTTTTCATTCAGCAGTTTGGAAACACTCTGTTTGGAAAGTCTGCACGTGGATATTTTGACCTCTTTGAGGCCTTCGTTGGAAACGGGTTTTTTTCATGTAAGGCTAGACAGAAGAAATCTCAGTAACTTCCTTGTGTTGTGTGTATTCAACTGACAGAGTTGAACCTTCCTTTAGACAGAGCAGATTCGAAACACTCTTTTTCTGCAATTTGCAAGTGGAGACTTCAAGCGCCTTGAGGCCAAAGGCAGAAAAGGAAATATCTTCGTATAAAAACCCGACAGAATCATTCTCAGAAACTGCTCTGTGATGTGTGCGTTCAACTCACAGAGTTTAACTTTTCTTTTCATTCAGCAGTTTGGAAACACTCTGTTTGTAAAGTCTGCAAGTGGATATCTTGGCCTCTTAGAGGCCTTCGTTGGAAGCGGGTTTTTTCATGTAAGGATAGACAGAGGAATTCCCAGTAACTTCCTTGTGTTGTGTGCATTCAACTCACAGAGTTGAATGATTCTTTACACAGAGCAGATTTGAGACACTCTTTTGGTGGAATTTGTAAGTGGAGAATTCAGCCGCTTTGAGGTCAACGGTAGAAAAGGAAATATCTTCGTATAAAAACTAGACAGAATGATTCTCAGAAACTGTTTTGTGATGTGTGCGTTCAACTCACAGAGTTTAACCTTTCTTTTCAAAGAGCAGTTAGGAAACACTCTGTTTGTAAAGTCTGCAAGTGGATATTCAGACCTCTTTGAGGCCTTCGTTGGAAACGGGATTTATTCATATTATGCTAGACAGATGAATTCTCAGTAACTTCCTTGTGTTGTGTGTATTCAACTCACAGAGTTAAACGATCCTTTACACAGAGCAGATTTGAAACACTGTTTTTCTGGAATTTGCAAGTGGAGATTTCAGCCGCTTTGAGGTCAATGGTAGAAAAGGAAATATCTTCGTATAAAAACTAGACAGAATGATTCTCAGAAACTCCTTTGTGATGTGTGCGTTCAACTCACAGAGTTTAACCTTTCTTTTCACAGAGCAGTTAGGAAACACTCTGTTTGTGAAGCCTGCCAGTGGATATTCGGACCTCTTTGAGGCCTTCGTTGGAAACGGGATTTCTTCATATTATGCTAGACAGAAGATTTCTCAGTAACTTCTTTGTGTTGTGTGTATGCAACTCACAGAGTTCAACCTTCCTTTAGACAGAGCAGATTTGAAACACTCTTTTTGTGGAATTTGCAAGTGGAGATTTCAAGCGCTTCGATGCCAATGGTAGAAAAGGAAATATCTTCGTATAAAAACAAGACAAACTCGTTCCCAGACACTGCGTAGTGATGTGTGTGTTTAACTCACAGAGTTTAACCTTTCTTTTCATACAGCATTCTGGAAACCCTGTGTTTGTAAAGTCTGCAAGTGGATATTTGGACCTCTTAGATGCCTTCGTTGGAAACGGGATTTCTTCATATAATGCTAGAGGGAAGAATTCTTAGTAACTTCTTTGTGTTGTGTGTATTCAACTGACAGAGTTGAACCTTCCTTTAGACAGAGCAGATTTGAAAGTCTCTTTTTGTGGAATTTGCAAGTGGAGATTTCAAGCGCTTTGAGGCCAAAAGCAGAAAAGGAAATATTTTCCTATAAAAACTCGACAGAATCTTTCTCAGAAACTGCTCTGGGATGTGTGCGTTCAACTCACAGAGTTTAACTTTTCTTTTCATTCAGCAGTTTGGAAACACTCTGTTTGGAAAGTCTGCACGTGGATATTTTGACCTCTTTGAGGCCTTCGTTGGAAACGGGTTTTTTTCATGTAAGGCTAGACAGAAGAAATCTCAGTAACTTCCTTGTGTTGTGTGTATTCAACTGACAGAGTTGAACCTTCCTTTAGACAGAGCAGATTCGAAACACTCTTTTTCTGCAATTTGCAAGTGGAGACTTCAAGCGCTTTGAGGCCAAAGGCAGAAAAGGAAATATCTTCGTATAAAAACCCGACAGAATCATTCTCAGAAACTGCTCTGTGATGTGTGCGTTCAACTCACAGAGTTTAACTTTTCTTTTCATTCAGCAGTTTGGAAACACTCTGTTTGTAAAGTCTGCAAGTGGATATCTTGGCCTCTTAGAGGCCTTCGTTGGAAACGGGTTTTTTCATGTAAGGTTAGACAGAGGAATTCCCCAGTAACTTCCTTGTGTTGTGTGCATTCAACTCACAGAGTTGAATGATTCTTTACACAGAGCAGATTTGAGACACTCTTTTGGTGGAATTTGTAAGTGGAGAATTCAGCCGCTTTGAGGTCAACGGTAGAAAAGGAAATATCTTCGTATAAAAACTAGACAGAATGATTCTCAGAAACTGTTTTGTGATGTGTGCTTTCAACTCACAGAGTTTAACCTTTCTTTTCAAAGAGCAGTTAGGAAACACTCTGTTTGTAAAGTCTGCAAGTGGATATTCAGACCTCTTTGAGGCCTTCGTTGGAAACGGGATTTCTTCATATTATGCTAGACAGATGAATTCTCAGTAACTTCCTTGTGTTGTGTGTATTCAACTCACAGAGTTGAACGATCCTTTACACAGAGCAGATTTGAAACACTGTTTTTCTGGAATTTGCAAGTGGAGATTTCAGCCGCTTTGAAGTCAATGGTAGAAAAGGAAATATCTTCGTATAAAAACTAGACAGAATGATTCTCAGAAACTCCTTTGTGATGTGTGCGTTCAACTCACAGAGTTTAACCTTTCTTTTCACAGAGCAGTTAGGAAACACTCTGTTTGTGAAGCCTGCCAGTGGATATTCGGACCTCTTTGAGGCCTTCGTTGGAAACGGGATTTCTTCATATTATGCTAGACAGAAGATTTCTCAGTAACTTCTTTGTGTTGTGTGTATGCAACTCACAGAGTTCAACCTTCCTTTAGACAGAGCAGATTTGAAACACTCTTTTTGTGGAATTTGCAAGTGGAGATTTCAAGCGCTTCGATGCCAATGGTAGAAAAGGAAATATCTTCGTATAAAAACAAGACAAACTCGTTCCCAGACACTGCGTAGTGATGTGTGTGTTTAACTCACAGAGTTTCACCTTTCTTTTCATACAGCATTCTGGAAACCCTCTGTTTGTAAAGTCTGCAAGTGGATATTTGGACCTCTTAGATGCCTTCGTTGGAAACGGGATTTCTTCATATAATGCTAGAGGGAAGAATTCTTAGTAACTTCTTTGTGTTGTGTGTATTCAACTGACAGAGTTGAACCTTCCTTTAGACAGAGCAGATTTGAAAGTCTCTTTTTGTGGAATTTGCAAGTGGAGATTTCAAGCGCTTTGAGGCCAAAAGCAGAAGAGGAAATATTTTCCTATAAAAACTCGACAGAATCTTTCTCAGAAACTGCTCTGTGATGTGTGCGTTCAACTCACAGAGTTTAACTTTTCTTTTCATTCAGCAGTTTGGAAACACTCTGTTTGGAAAGTCTGCACGTGGATATTTTGACCTCTTTGAGGCCTTCGTTGGAAACGGGTTTTTTTCATGTAAGGCTAGACAGAAGAAATCTCAGTAAATTCCCTTGTGTTGTGTGTATTCAACTGACAGAGTTGAACCTTCCTTTAGACAGAGCAGATTCGAAACACTCTTTTTCTGCAATTTGCAAGTGGAGACTTCAAGCGCTTTGAGGCCAAAGGCAGAAAAGGAAATATCTTCGTATAAAAACCCGACAGAATCATTCTCAGAAACTGCTCTGTGATGTGTGCGTTCAACTCACAGAGTTTAACTTTTCTTTTCATTCAGCAGTTTGGAAACACTCTGTTTGTAAAGTCTGCAAGTGGATATCTTGGCCTCTTAGAGGCCTTCGTTGGAAGCGGGTTTTTTCATGTAAGGTTAGACAGAGGAATTCCCACTAACTTCCTTGTGTTGTGTGCATTCAACTCACAGAGTTGAATGATTCTTTACACAGAGCAGATTTGAGACACTCTTTTGGTGGAATTTGTAAGTGGAGAATTCAGCCGCTTTGATGTCAACGGTAGAAAAGGAAATATCTTCGTATAAAAACTAGACAGAATGATTCTCAGAAACTGTTTTGTGATGTGTGCTTTCAACTCACAGAGTTTAACCTTTCTTTTCAAAGAGCAGTTAGGAAACACTCTGTTTGTAAAGTCTGCAAGTGGATATTCAGACCTCTTTGAGGCCTTCGTTGGAAACGGGATTTCTTCATATTATGCTAGACAGAGAAGATTCTCAGTAACTTCCTTGTGTTGTGTGTATTCAACTCACAGAGTTGAACGATCCTTTACACAGAGCAGATTTGAAACACTGTTTTTCTGGAATTTGCAAGTGGAGATTTCAGCCGCTTTGAGGTCAATGGTAGAAAAGGAAATATCTTCGTATAAAAACTAGACAGATGATTCTCAGAAACTCCTTTGTGATGTGTGCGTTCAACTCACAGAGTTTAACCTTTCTTTTCACAGAGCAGTTAGGAAACACTCTGTTTGTGAAGCCTGCCAGTGGATATTCAGACCTCTTTGAGGCCTTCGTTGGAAACGGGATTTCTTCATATTATGCTAGACAGAAGATTTCTCAGTAACTTCTTTGTGTTGTGTGTATGCAACTCACAGAGTTCAACCTTCCTTTAGACAGAGCAGATTTGAAACACTCTTTTTGTGGAATTTGCAAGTGGAGATTTCAAGCGCTTCGATGCCAATGGTAGAAAAGGAAATATCTTCGTATAAAAACAAGACAAACTCGTTCCCAGACACTGCGTAGTGATGTGTGTGTTTAACTCACAGAGTTTCACCTTTCTTTTCATACAGCATTCTGGAAACCCTGTGTTTGTAAAGTCTGCAAGTGGATATTTGGACCTCTTAGATGCCTTCGTTGGAAACGGGATTTCTTCATATAATGCTAGAGGGAAGAATTCTTAGTAACTTCTTTGTGTTGTGTGTATTCAACTGACAGAGTTGAACCTTCCTTTAGACAGAGCAGATTTGAAAGTCTCTTTTTGTGGAATTTGCAAGTGGAGATTTCAAGCGCTTTGAGGCCAAAAGCAGAAAAGGAAATATTTTCCTATAAAAACTCGACAGAATCTTTCTCAGAAACTGCTCTGGGATGTGTGCGTTCAACTCACAGAGTTTAACTTTTCTTTTCATTCAGCAGTTTGGAAACACTCTGTTTGGAAAGTCTGCACGTGGATATTTTGACCTCTTTGAGGCCTTCGTTGGAAACGGGTTTTTTTCATGTAAGGCTAGACAGAAGAAATCTCAGTAACTTCCTTGTGTTGTGTGTATTCAACTGACAGAGTTGAACCTTCCTTTAGACAGAGCAGATTCGAAACACTCTTTTTCTGCAATTTGCAAGTGGAGACTTCAAGCGCTTTGAGGCCAAAGGCAGAAAAGGAAATATCTTCGTATAAAAACCCGACAGAATCATTCTCAGAAACTGCTCTGTGATGTGTGCGTTCAACTCACAGAGTTTAACTTTTCTTTTCATTCAGCAGTTTGGAAACACTCTGTTTGTAAAGTCTGCATGTGGATATCTTGGCCTCTTAGAGGCCTTCGTTGGAAACGGGTTTTATCATGTAAGGTTAGACAGAGGAATTCCCAGTAACTTCCTTGTGTTGTGTGCATTCAACTCACAGAGTTGAATGATTCTTTACACAGAGCAGATTTGAGACACTCTTTTGGTGGAATTTGTAAGTGGAGAATTCAGCCGCTTTGAGGTCAACGGTAGAAAAGGAAATATCTTCGTATAAAAACTAGACAGAATGATTCTCAGAAACTGTTTTGTGATGTGTGCGTTCAACTCACAGAGTTTAACCTTTCTTTTCAAAGAGCAGTTAGGAAACACTCTGTTTGTAAAGTCTGCAAGTGGATATTCAGACCTCTTTGAGGCCTTCGTTGGAAACGGGATTTCTTCATATTATGCTAGACAGATGAATTCTCAGTAACTTCCTTGTGTTGTGTGTATTCAACTCACAGAGTTGAACGATCCTTTACACAGAGCAGATTTGAAACACTGTTTTTCTGGAATTTGCAAGTGGAGATTTCAGCCGCTTTGAGGTCAATGGTAGAAAAGGAAATATCTTCGTATAAAAACTAGACAGAATGATTCTCAGAAACTCCTTTGTGATGTGTGCGTTCAACTCACAGAGTTTAACCTTTCTTTTCACAGAGCAGTTAGGAAACACTCTGTTTGTGAAGCCTGCCAGTGGATATTCGGACCTCTTTGAGGCCTTCGTTGGAAACGGGATTTCTTCATATTATGCTAGACAGAAGATTTCTCAGTAACTTCTTTGTGTTGTGTGTATGCAACTCACAGAGTTCAACCTTCCTTTAGACAGAGCAGATTTGAAACACTCTTTTTGTGGAATTTGCAAGTGGAGATTTCAAGCGCTTCGATGCCAATGGTAGAAAAGGAAATATCTTCGTATAAAAACAAGACAAACTCGTTCCCAGACACTGCGTAGTGATGTGTGTGTTTAACTCACAGAGTTTAACCTTTCTTTTCATACAGCATTCTGGAAACCCTGTGTTTGTAAAGTCTGCAAGTGGATATTTGGACCTCTTAGATGCCTTCGTTGGAAACGGGATTTCTTCATATAATGCCAGAGGGAAGAATTCTTAGTAACTTCTTTGTGTTGTGTGTATTCAACTGACAGAGTTGAACCTTCCTTTAGACAGAGCAGATTTGAAAGTCTCTTTTTGTGGAATTTGCAAGTGGAGATTTCAAGCGATTTGAGGCCAAAAGCAGAAAAGGAAATATTTTCCTATAAAAACTCGACAGAATCTTTCTCAGAAACTGCTCTGGGATGTGTGCGTTCAACTAACAGAGTTTAACTTTTCTTTTCATTCAGCAGTTTGGAAACACTCTGTTTGGAAAGTCTGCACGTGGATATTTTGACCTCTTTGAGGCCTTCGTTGGAAACGGGTTTTTTTCATGTAAGGCTAGACAGAAGAAATCTCAGTAACTTCCTTGTGTTGTGTGTATTCAACTGACAGAGTTGAACCTTCCTTTAGACAGAGCAGATTCGAAACACTCTTTTTCTGCAATTTGCAAGTGGAGACTTCAAGCGCTTTGAGGCCAAAGGCAGAAAAGGAAATATCTTCGTATAAAAACCCGACAGAATCATTCTCAGAAACTGCTCTGTGATGTGTGCGTTCAACTCACAGAGTTTAACTTTTCTTTTCATTCAGCAGTTTGGAAACACTCTGTTTGTAAAGTCTGCAAGTGGATATCTTGGCCTCTTAGAGGCCTTCGTTGGAAACGGGTTTTTTCATGTAAGGTTAGACAGAGGAATTCCCAGTAACTTCCTTGTGTTGTGTGCATTCAACTCACAGAGTTGAATGATTCTTTACACAGAGCAGATTTGAGACACTCTTTGGGTGGAATTTGTAAGTGGAGAATTCAGCCACTTTGAGGTCAACGGTAGAAAAGGAAATATCTTCGTATAAAAACTAGACAGAATGATTCTCAGAAACTGTTTTGTGATGTGTGCGTTCAACTCACAGAGTTTAACCTTTCTTTTCAAAGAGCAGTTAGGAAACACTCTGTAAAGTCTGCAAGTGGATATTCAGACCTCTTTGAGGCCTTCGTTGGAAACGGGATTTCTTCATATAATGCTAGAGGGAAGAATTCTTAGTAACTTCTTTGTGTTGTGTGTATTGAACTGACAGAGTTGAACCTTCCTTTAGACAGAGCAGATTTGAAAGTCTCTTTTTGTGGAATTTGCAAGTGGAGATTTCAAGCACTTTGAGGCCAAAAGCAGAAAAGGAAATATTTTCCTATAAAAACTAGAGAGAATCATTCTCAGAAACTGCTCTGTGATGTGTGTGTTCAACTCACAGAGTTTAACTTTCTTTTCATTCAGCAGTTTGGAAACACTCTGTTTGGAAAGTCTGCACGTGGATATTTTGACCTCTTTGAGGCCTTCGTTGGAAACGGGTTTTTTTCATGTAAGGCTAGACAGAAGAAATCTCAGTAACTTCCTTGTGTTGTGTGTATTCAACTGACAGCAGTTGAACCTTCCTTTAGACAGAGCAGATTCGAAACACTCTTTTTCTGCAATTTGCAAGTGGAGACTTCAAGCGCTTTGAGGCCAAAGGCAGAAAAGGAAATATCTTCGTATAAAAACCCGACAGAATCATTCTCAGAAACTGCTCTGTGATGTGTGCGTTCAACTCACAGAGTTTAACTTTTCTTTTCATTCAGCAGTTTGGAAACACTCTGTTTGTAAAGTCTGCAAGTGGATATCTTGGCCTCTTAGATGCCTTCGTTGGAAACGGTTTTTTTCATGTAAGGTTAGACAGAGGAATTCCCAGTAACTTCCTTGTGTTGTGTGCATTCAACTCACAGAGTTGAATGATTCTTTACACAGAGCAGATTTGAGACACTCTTTTGGTGGAATTTGTAAGTGGAGAATTCAGCCGCTTTGAGGTCAACGGTAGAAAAGGAAATATCTTCGTATAAAAACTAGACAGAATGATTCTCAGAAACTGTTTTGTGATGTGTGCGTTCAACTCACAGAGTTTAACCTTTCTTTTCAAAGAGCAGTTAGGAAACACTCTGTTTGTAAAGTCTGCAAGCGGATATTCAGACCTCTTTGAGGCCTTCGTTGGAAACGGGATTTCTTCATATTATGCTAGACAGATGAATTCTCAGTAACTTCCTTGTGTTGTGTGTATTCAACTCACAGAGTTGAACGATCCTTTACACAGAGCAGATTTGAAACACTGTTTTTCTGGAATTTGCAAGTGGAGATTTCAGCCGCTTTGAGGTCAATGGTAGAAAAGGAAATATCTTCGTATAAAAACTAGACAGAATGATTCTCAGAAACTCCTTTGTGATGTGTGCGTTCAACTCACAGAGTTTAACCTTTCTTTTCACAGAGCAGTTAGGAAACACTCTGTTTGTGAAGCCTGCCAGTGGATATTCAGACCTCTTTCAGGCCTTCGTTGGAAACGGGATTTCTTCATATTATGCTAGACAGAAGATTTCTCAGTAACTTCTTTGTGTTGTGTGTATGCAACTCACAGAGTTCAACCTTCCTTTAGACAGAGCAGATTTGAAACACTCTTTTTGTGGAATTTGCAAGTGGAGATTTCAAGCGCTTCGATGCCAATGGTAGAAAAGGAAATATCTTCGTATAAAAACAAGACAAACTCGTTCCCAGACACTGCGTAGTGATGTGTGTGTTTAACTCACAGAGTTTAACCTTTCTTTTCATACAGCATTCTGGAAACCCTGTGTTTGTAAAGTCTGCAAGTGGATATTTGGACCTCTTAGATGCCTTCGTTGGAAACGGGATTTCTTCATATAATGCTAGAGGGAAGAATTCTTAGTAACTTCTTTTTGTTGTGTGTATTCAACTGACAGAGTTGAACCTTCCTTTAGACAGAGCAGATTTGAAAGTCTCTTTTTGTGGAATTTGCAAGTGGAGATTTCAAGCGCTTTGAGGCCAAAAGCAGAAAAGGAAATATTTTCCTATAAAAATTAGACAGAATCTTTCTCAGAAACTGCTCTGGGATGTGTGCGTTCAACTCACAGAGTTTAACTTTTCTTTTCATTCAGCAGTTTGGAAACACTCTGTTTGGAAAGTCTGCACGTGGATATTTTGACCTCTTTGAGGCCTTCGTTGGAAACGGGTTTTTTTCATGTAAGGCTAGACAGAAGAAATCTCAGTAACTTCCTTGTGTTGTGTGTATTCAACTGACAGAGTTGAACCTTCCTTTAGACAGAGCAGATTCGAAACACTCTTTTTCTGCAATTTGCAAGTGGAGACTTCAAGCGCTTTGAGGCCAAAGGCAGAAAAGGAAATATCTTCGTATAAAAACCCGACAGAATCATTCTCAGAAACTGCTCTGTGATGTGTCCGTTCAACTCACAGAGTTTAACTTTTCTTTTCATTCAGCAGTTTGGAAACACTCTGTTTGTAAAGTCTGCAAGTGGATATCTTGGCCTCTTAGAGGCCTTCGTTGGAAACGGGTTTTTTCATGTAAGGTTAGACAGAGGAATTCCCAGTAACTTCCTTGTGTTGTGTGCATTCAACTCACAGAGTTGAATGATTCTTTACACAGAGCAGATTTGAGACACTCTTTTGGTGGAATTTGTAAGTGGAGAATTCAGCCGCTTTGAGGTCAACGGTAGAAAAGGAAATATCTTCGTATAAAAACTAGACAGAATGATTCTCAGAAACTGTTTTGTGATGTGTGCGTTCAACTCACAGAGTTTAACCTTTCTTTTCAAAGAGCAGTTAGGAAACACTCTGTTTGTAAAGTCTGCAAGTGGATATTCAGACCTCTTTGAGGCCTTCGTTGGAAACGGGATTTCTTCATATTATGCTAGACAGATGAATTCTCAGTAACTTCCTTGTGTTGTGTGTATTCAACTCACAGAGTTGAACGATCCTTTTCACAGAGCAGATTTGAAACACTGTTTTTCTGGAATTTGCAAGTGGAGATTTCAGCCGCTTTGAGGTCAATGGTAGAAAAGGAAATATCTTCGTATAAAAACTAGACAGAATGATTCTCAGAAACTCCTTTGTGATGTGTGCGTTCAACTCACAGAGTTTAACCTTTCTTTTCACAGAGCAGTTAGGAAACACTCTGTTTGTGAAGCCTGCCAGTGGATATTCGGACCTCTTTGAGGCCTTCGTTGGAAACGGGATTTCTTCATGTTATGCTAGACAGAAGATTTCTCAGTAACTTCTTTGTGTTGTGTGTATGCAACTCACAGAGTTCAACCTTCCTTTAGAGAGAGCATATTTGAAACACTCTTTTTGTGGAATTTGCAAGTGGAGATTTCAAGCGCTTCGATGCCAATGGTAGAAAAGGAAATATCTTCGTATAAAAACAAGACAAACTCGTTCCCAGACACTGCGTAGTGATGTGTGTGTTTAACTCACAGAGTTTAACCTTTCTTTTCATACAGCATTCTGGAAACCCTGTGTTTGTAAAGTCTGCAAGTGGATATTTGGACCTCTTAGATGCCTTCGTTGGAAACGGGATTTCTTCATATAATGCTAGAGGGAAGAATTCTTAGTAACTTCTTTGTGTTGTGTGTATTCAACTGACAGAGTTGAACCTTCCTTTAGACAGAGCAGATTTGAAAGTCTCTTTCTGTGGAATTTGCAAGTGGAGATTTCAAGCGCTTTGAGGCCAAAAGCAGAAAAGGAAATATTTTCCTATAAAAACTCGACAGAATCTTTCTCAGAAACTGCTCTGGGATGTGTGCGTTCAACTCACAGAGTTTAACTTTTCTTTTCATTCAGCAGTTTGGAAACACTCTGTTTGGAAAGTCTGCACGTGGATATTTTGACCTCTTTGAGGCCTTCGTTGGAAACGGGTTTTTTTCATGTAAGGCTAGACAGAAGAAATCTCAGTAACTTCCTTGTGTTGTGTGTATTCAACTGACAGAGTTGAACCTTCCTTTAGACAGAGCAGATTCGAAACACTCTTTTTCTGCAATTTGCAAGTGGAAACTTCAAGCGCTTTGAGGCCAAAGGCAGAAAAGGAAATATCTTCGTATAAAAACCCGACAGAATCACTCTCAGAAACTGCTCTGTGATGTGTGCGTTCAACTCACAGAGTTTAACTTTTCTTTTCATTCAGCAGTTTGGAAACACTCTGTTTGTAAAGTCTGCAAGTGGATATCTTGGACTCTTAGAGGCCTTCGTTGGAAACGGGTTTTTTCATGTAAGGTTAGACAGAGGAATTCCCAGTAACTTCCTTGTGTTGTGTGCATTCAACTCACAGAGTTGAATGATTCTTTACACAGAGCAGATTTGAGACACTCTTTTGGTGGAATTTGTAAGTGGAGAATTCAGCCGCTTTGAGGTCAACGGTAGAAAAGGAAATATCTTCGTATAAAAACTAGACAGAATGATTCTCAGAAACTGTTTTGTGATGTGTGCGTTCAACTCACAGAGTTTAACCTTTCTTTTCAGAGAGCAGTTAGGAAACACTCTGTTTGTAAAGTCTGCAAGTGGATATTCAGACCTCTTTGAGGCCTTCGTTGGAAACGGGATTTCTTCATATTATGCTAGACAGATGAATTCTCAGTAACTTCCTTGTGTTGTGTGTATTCAACTCACAGAGTTGAACGATCCTTTACACAGAGCAGATTTGAAACACTGTTTTTCTGGAATTTGCAAGTGGAGATTTCAGCCGATTTGAGGTCAATGGTAGAAAAGGAAATATCTTCGTATAAAAACTAGACAGAATGATTCTCAGAAACTTCTTTGTGATGTGTGCGTTCAACTCACAGAGTTTAACCTTTCTTTTCACAGAGCAGTTAGGAAACACTCTGTTTGTGAAGCCTGCCAGTGGATATTCGGACCTCTTTGAGGCCTTCGTTGGAAACGGGATTTCTTCATATTATGCTAGACAGAAGATTTCTCAGTAACTTCTTTGTGTTGTGTGTATGCAACTCACAGAGTTCAACCTTCCTTTAGACAGAGCAGATTTGAAACACTCTTTTTGTGGAATTTGCAAGTGGAGATTTCAAGCGCTTCGATGCCAATGGTAGAAAAGGAAATATCTTCGTATAAAAACAAGACAAACTCGTTCCCAGACACTGCGTAGTGATGTGTGTGTTTAACTCACAGAGTTTAACCTTTCTTTTCATACAGCATTCTGGAAACCCTGTGTTTGTAAAGTCTGCAAGTGGATATTTGGACCTCTTAGATGCCTTCGTTGGAAACGGGATTTCTTCATATAATGCTAGAGGGAAGAATTCTTAGTAACTTCTTTGTGTTGTGTGTATTCAACTGACAGAGTTGAACCTTCCTTTAGACAGAGCAGATTTGAAAGTCTCTTTCTGTGGAATTTGCAAGTGGAGATTTCAAGCGCTTTGAGGCCAAAAGCAGAAAAGGAAATATTTTCCTATAAAAACTCGACAGAATCTTTCTCAGAAACTGCTCTGGGATGTGTGCGTTCAACTCACAGAGTTTAACTTTTCTTTTCATTCAGCAGTTTGGAAACACTCTGTTTGGAAAGTCTGCACGTGGATATTTTGACCTACTTTGAGGCCTTCGTTGGAAACGGGTTTTTTTCATGTAAGGCTAGACAGAAAGAAATCTCAGTAACTTCCTTGTGTTGTGTGTATTCAACTGACAGAGTTGAACCTTCCTTTAGACAGAGCAGATTCGAAACACTCTTTTTCTGCAATTTGCAAGTGGAAACTTCAAGCGCTTTGAGGCCAAAGGCAGAAAAGGAAATATCTTCGTATAAAAACCCGACAGAATCTTTCTCAGAAACTGCTCTGTGATGTGTGCGTTCAACTCACAGAGTTTAACTTTTCTTTTCATTCAGCAGTTTGGAAACACTCTGTTTGTAAAGTCTGCAAGTGGATATCTTGGCCTCTTAGAGGCCTTCGTTGGAAACGGGTTTTTTCATGTAAGGATAGACAGAGGAATTCCCAGTAACTTCCTTGTGTTGTGTGCATTCAACTCACAGAGTTGAATGATTCTTTACACAGAGCAGATTTGAGACACTCTTTTGGTGGAATTTGTAAGTGGAGAATTCAGCCGCTTTGAGGTCAACGGTAGAAAAGGAAATATCTTCGTATAAAAACTAGACAGAATGATTCTCAGAAACTGTTTTGTGATGTGTGCGTTCAACTCACAGAGTTTAACCTTTCTTTTCAAAGAGCAGTTAGGAAACACTCTGTTTGTAAAGTCTGCAAGTGGATATTCAGACCTCTTTGAGGCCTTCGTTGGAAACGGGATTTCTTCATATTATGCTAGACAGATGAATTCTCAGTAACTTCCTTGTGTTGTGTGTATTCAACTCACAGAGTTGAACGATCCTTTACACAGAGCAGATTTGAAACACTGTTTTTCTGGAATTTGCAAGTGGAGATTTCAGCCGCTTTGAGGTCAATGGTAGAAAAGGAAATATCTTCGTATAAAAACTAGACAGAATGATTCTCAGAAACTCCTTTGTGATGTGTGCGTTCAACTCACAGAGTTTAACCTTTCTTTTCACAGAGCAGTTAGGAAACACTCTGTTTGTGAAGCCTGCCAGTGGATATTCGGACCTCTTTGAGGCCTTCGTTGGAAACGGGATTTCTTCATATTATGCTAGACAGAAGAATTCTTAGTAACTTCTTTGTGTTGTGTGTATTCAACTGACAGAGTTGAACCTTCCTTTAGACAGAGCAGATTTGAAAGTCTCTTTTTGTGGAATTTGCAAGTGGAGATTTCAAGCGCTTCGATGCCAATGGTAGAAAAGGAAATATTTTCCTATAAAAACTAGAGAGAATCATTCTCAGAAACTGCTCTGTGATGTGTGCGTTCAACTCACAGAGTTTAACTTTCTTTTCATTCAGCAGTTTGGAAACACTGTTTGGAAAGTCTGCACGTGGATATTTTGACCTCTTTGAGGCCTTCGTTGGAAACGGGTTTTTTTCATGTAAGGCTAGACAGAAGAAATCTCAGTAACTTCCTTGTGTTGTGTGTATTCAACTGACAGAGTTGAACCTTCCTTTAGAGAGAGCAGATTCGAAACGCTCTTTTTCTGCAATTTGCAAGTGGAGACTTCAAGCGCTTTGAGGCCAAAGGCAGAAAAGGAAATATCTTCGTATAAAAACCCGACAGAATCATTCTCAGAAACTGCTCTGTGATGTGTGCGTTCAACTCACAGAGTTTAACTTTTCTTTTCATTCAGCAGTTTGGAAACACTCTGTTTGTAAAGTCTGCAAGTGGATATCTTGGCCTCTTAGAGGCCTTCGTTGGAAGCGGGTTTTTTCATGTAAGGTTAGACAGAGGAATTCCCACTAACTTCCTTGTGTTGTGTGCATTCAACTCACAGAGTTGAATGATTCTTTACACAGAGCAGATTTGAGACACTCTTTTGGTGGAATTTGTAAGTGGAGAATTCAGCCGCTTTGATGTCAACGGTAGAAAAGGAAATATCTTCGTATAAAAACTAGACAGAATGATTCTCAGAAACTGTTTTGTGATGTGTGCTTTCAACTCACAGAGTTTAACCTTTCTTTTCAAAGAGCAGTTAGGAAACACTCTGTTTGTAAAGTCTGCAAGTGGATATTCAGACCTCTTTGAGGCCTTCGTTGGAAACGGGATTTCTTCATATTATGCTAGACAGATGAATTCTCAGTAACTTCCTTGTGTTGTGTGTATTCAACTCACAGAGTTGAACGATCCTTTACACAGAGCAGATTTGAAACACTGTTTTTCTGGAATTTGCAAGTGGAGATTTCAGCCGCTTTGAGGTCAATGGTAGAAAAGGAAATATCTTCGTATAAAAACTAGACAGAATGATTCTCAGAAACTCCTTTGTGATGTGTGCGTTCAACTCACAGAGTTTAACCTTTCTTTTCACAGAGCAGTTAGGAAACACTCTGTTTGTGAAGCCTGCCAGTGGATATTCGGACCTCTTTGAGGCCTTCGTTGGAAACGGGATTTCTTCATATTATGCTAGACAGAAGATTTCTCAGTAACTTCTTTGTGTTGTGTGTATGCAACTCACAGAGTTCAACCTTCCTTTAGACAGAGCAGATTTGAAACACTCTTTTTGTGGAATTTGCAAGTGGAGATTTCAAGCGCTTCGATGCCAATGGTAGAAAAGGAAATATCTTCGTATAAAAACAAGACAAACTCGTTCCCAGACACTGCGTAGTGATGTGTGTGTTTAACTCACAGAGTTTCACCTTTCTTTTCATACAGCATTCTGGAAACCCTGTGTTTGTAAAGTCTGCAAGTGGATATTTGGACCTCTTAGAAGCCTTCGTTGGAAACGGGATTTCTTCATATAATGCTAGAGGGAAGAATTCTTAGTAACTTCTTTGTGTTGTGTGTATTCAACTGACAGAGTTGAACCTTCCTTTAGACAGAGCAGATTTGAAAGTCTCTTTTTGTGGAATTTGCAAGTGGAGATTTCAAGCGCTTTGAGGCCAAAAGCAGAAAAGGAAATATTTTCCTATAAAAACTCGACAGAATCTTTCTCAGAAACTGCTCTGGGATGTGTGCGTTCAACTCACAGAGTTTAACTTTTCTTTTCATTCAGCAGTTTGGAAACACTCTGTTTGGAAAGTCTGCACGTGGATATTTTGACCTCTTTGAGGCCTTCGTTGGAAACGGGTTTTTTTCATGTAAGGCTAGACAGAAGAAATCTCAGTAACTTCCTTGTGTTGTGTGTATTCAACTGACAGAGTTGAACCTTCCTTTAGACAGAGCAGATTCGAAACACTCTTTTTCTGCAATTTGCAAGTGGAGACTTCAAGCGCTTTGAGGCCAAAGGCAGAAAAGGAAATATCTTCGTATAAAAACCCGACAGAATCATTCTCAGAAACTGCTCTGTGATGTGTGCGTTCAACTCACAGAGTTTAACTTTTCTTTTCATTCAGCAGTTTGGAAACACTCTGTTTGTAAAGTCTGCAAGTGGATATCTTGGCCTCTTAGAGGCCTTCGTTGGAAACGGGTTTTTTCATGTAAGGATAGACAGAGGAATTCCCAGTAACTTCCTTGTGTTGTGTGCATTCAACTCACAGAGTTGAATGATTCTTTACACAGAGCAGATTTGAGACACTCTTTGGGTGGAATTTGTAAGTGGAGAATTCAGCCGCTTTGAGGTCAACGGTAGAAAAGGAAATATCTTCGTATAAAAACTAGACAGAATGATTCTCAGAAACTGTTTTGTGATGTGTGCGTTCAACTCACAGAGTTTAACCTTTCTTTTCAAAGAGCAGTTAGGAAACACTCTGTTTGTAAAGTCTGCAAGTGGATATTCAGACCTCTTTGAGGCCTTCGTTGGAAACGGGATTTCTTCATATTATGCTAGACAGATGAATTCTCAGTAACTTCCTTGTGTTGTGTGTATTCAACTCACAGAGTTGAACGATCCTTTACACAGAGCAGATTTGAAACACTGTTTTTCTGGAATTTGCAAGTGGAGATTTCAGCCGCTTTGAGGTCAATGGTAGAAAAGGAAATATCTTCGTATAAAAACTAGACAGAATGATTCTCAGAAACTCCTTTGTGATGTGTGCGTTCAACTCACAGAGTTTAACCTTTCTTTTCACAGAGCAGTTAGGAAACACTCTGTTTGTGAAGCCTGCCAGTGGATATTCGGACCTCTTTGAGGCCTTCGTTGGAAACGGGATTTCTTCATATTATGCTAGACAGAAGATTTCTCAGTAACTTCTTTGTGTTGTGTGTATGCAACTCACAGAGTTCAACCTTCCTTTAGACAGAGCAGATTTGAAACACTCTTTTTGTGGAATTTGCAAGTGGAGATTTCAAGCGCTTCGATGCCAATGGTAGAAAAGGAAATATCTTCTGTATAAAAACAAGACAAACTCGTTCCCAGACACTGCGTAGTGATGTGTGTGTTTAACTCACAGAGTTTAACCTTTCTTTTCATACAGCATTCTGGAAACCCTGTGTTTGTAAAGTCTGCAAGTGGATATTTGGACCTCTTAGATGCCTTCGTTGGAAACGGGATTTCTTCATATAATGCTAGAGGGAAGAATTCTTAGTAACTTCTTTGTGTTGTGTGTATTCAACTGACAGAGTTGAACCTTCCTTTAGACAGAGCAGATTTGAAAGTCTCTTTTTGTGGAATTTGCAAGTGGAGATTTCAAGCGCTTTGAGGCCAAAAGCAGAAAAGGAAATATTTTCCTATAAAAACTCGACAGAATCTTTCTCAGAAACTGCTCTGGGATGTGTGCGTTCAACTCACAGAGTTTAACTTTTCTTTTCATTCAGCAGTTTGGAAACACTCTGTTTGGAAAGTCTGCACGTGGATATTTTGACCTCTTTGAGGCCTTCGTTGGAAACGGGTTTTTTTCATGTAAGGCTAGACAGAAGAAATCTCAGTAACTTCCTTGTGTTGTGTGTATTCAACTGACAGAGTTGAACCTTCCTTTAGACAGAGCAGATTCGAAACACTCTTTTTCTGCAATTTGCAAGTGGAGACTTCAAGCGCTTTGAGGCCAAAGGCAGAAAAGGAAATATCTTCGTATAAAAACCCGACAGAATCATTCTCAGAAACTGCTCTGTGATGTGTGCGTTCAACTCACAGAGTTTAACTTTTCTTTTCATTCAGCAGTTTGGAAACACTCTGTTTGTAAAGTCTGCAAGTGGATATCTTGGCCTCTTAGAGGCCTTCGTTGGAAGCGGGTTTTTTCATGTAAGGTTAGACAGAGGAATTCCCACTAACTTCCTTGTGTTGTGTGCATTCAACTCACAGAGTTGAATGATTCTTTACACAGAGCAGATTTGAGACACTCTTTTGGTGGAATTTGTAAGTGGAGAATTCAGCCGCTTTGATGTCAACGGTAGAAAAGGAAATATCTTCGTATAAAAACTAGACAGAATGATTCTCAGAAACTGTTTTGTGATGTGTGCTTTCAACTCACAGAGTTTAACCTTTCTTTTCAAAGAGCAGTTAGGAAACACTCTGTTTGTAAAGTCTGCAAGTGGATATTCAGACCTCTTTGAGGCCTTCGTTGGAAACGGGATTTCTTCATATTATGCTAGACAGATGAATTCTCAGTAACTTCCTTGTGTTGTGTGTATTCAACTCACAGAGTTGAACGATCCTTTACACAGAGCAGATTTGAAACACTGTTTTTCTGGAATTTGCAAGTGGAGATTTCAGCCGCTTTGAGGTCAATGGTAGAAAAGGAAATATCTTCGTATAAAAACTAGACAGAATGATTCTCAGAAACTCCTTTGTGATGTGTGCGTTCAACTCACAGAGTTTAACCTTTCTTTTCACAGAGCAGTTAGGAAACACTCTGTTTGTGAAGCCTGCCAGTGGATATTCAGACCTCTTTGAGGCCTTCGTTGGAAACGGGATTTCTTCATATTATGCTAGACAGAAGATTTCTCAGTAACTTCTTTGTGTTGCGTGTATGCAACTCACAGAGTTCAACCTTCCTTTAGACAGAGCAGATTTGAAACACTCTTTTTGTGGAATTTGCAAGTGGAGATTTCAAGCGCTTCGATGCCAATGGTAGAAAAGGAAATATCTTCGTATAAAAACAAGACAAAATCATTCCCAGAAACTGCGTAGTGATGTGTGTGTTTAACTCACTGAGTTTAACCTTTCTTTTCATACAGCATTCTGGAAACACTCTTTTTGAAAATTCAGCAAATGGATATCTGGACCTCTTAGATGCCTTCTTTGGAAACGGGATTTCTTCATATAATGCTAGAGGGAAGAATTCTTAGTAACTTCTTTGTGTTGTGTGTATTCAACTGACAGAGTTGAACCTTCCTTTAGACAGAGCAGATTTGAAACACTCTTTTTGTGGAATTTGCAATTGGAGATTTCAAGCGATTTGAGGCCTAAGGCAGAAAAGGAAATATTTTCGTCTAAAAACTAGACAGAATCATTCTCAGAAACTGCACCGTGATGTGTGCGTTGAACTCACAGAGTTTAACTTTTCTTTTCATTCAGCAGTTTGGAAACAGTCTGTTTGTAATGTCTGCAAGTTGATATATTGACCTGTTTGAGGTCTTCGTTGGAAACGGGTTTTTTTCATGTAAGGCTAGACAGAGAATTCCCAGTAACTTCCTTGTGTTGTGTGCATTCAACTCACAGAGTTGAATGATTCTTTACACAGAGCAGATTTGAGACACTCTTTTGGTGGAATTTGTAAGTGGAGAATTCAGCTGCTTTGAGGTCAACGGTAGAAAAGGAAATATCTTCGTATAAAAACTAGACAGAATGATTCTCAGAAACTTTTTTGTGATGTGTGCGTTCAACTCACAGAGTTTAACCTTTCTTTTCAAAGAGGAGTTAGGAAACACTCTGTTTGTAAAGTCTGCAAGTGGATATTCAGACCTCTTTGAGGCCTTCGTTGGAAACGGGATTTCTTCATATTATGCTAGACAGATGAATTCTCAGTAACTTCCTTGTGTTGTGTGTATTCAACTCACAGAGTTGAACGATCCTTTACACAGAGCAGATTTGAAACACTGTTTTTCTGGAATTTGCAAGTGGAGATTTCAGCCGCTTTGAGGTCAATGGTAGAAAAAGAAATATCTTCGTATAAAAACTAGACAGAATGATTCTCAGAAACTCCTTTGTGATGTGTGCGTTCAACTCACAGAGTTTAACCTTTCTTTTCACAGAGCAGTTAGGAAACACTCTGTTTGTGAAGCCTGCCAGTGGATATTCGGACCTCTTTGAGGCCTTCGTTGGAAACGGGATTTCTTCATATTATGCTAGACAGAAGATTTCTCAGTAACTTCTTTGTGTTGTGTGTATGCAACTCACAGAGTTCAACCTTCCTTTAGACAGAGCAGATTTGAAACACTCTTTTTGTGGAATTTGCAAGTGGAGATTTCAAGCGCTTCGATGCCAATGGTAGAAAAGGAAATATCTTCGTATAAAAACAAGACAAAACTCGTTCCCAGACACTGCGTAGTGATGTGTGTGTTTAACTCACAGAGTTTCACCTTTCTTTTCATAGAGCATTCTGGAAACCCTCTGTTTGTAAAGTCTGCAAGTGGATATTTGGACCTCTTAGATGCCTTCTTTGGAAACGGGATTTCTTCATATAATGCTAGAGGGAAGAATTCTTAGTAACTTCTTTGTGTTGTGTGTATTCAACTGACAGAGTTGAACCTTCCTTTAGACAGAGCAGATTTGAAAGTCTCTTTTTGTGGAATTTGCAAGTGGAGATTTCAAGCGCTTTGAGGCCAAAAGCAGAAAAGGAAATATTTTCCTATAAAAACTAGACAGAATCTTTCTCAGAAACTGCTCTGGGATGTGTGCGTTCAACTCACAGAGTTTAACTTTTCTTTTCATTCAGCAGTTTGGAAACACTCTGTTTGGAAAGTCTGCACGTGGATATTTTGACCTCTTTGAGGCCTTCGTTGGAAACGGGTTTTTTTCATGTAAGGCTAGACAGAAGAAATCTCAGTAACTTCCTTGTGTTGTGTGTATTCAACTGACAGAGTTGAACCTTCTTTTAGACAGAGCAGATTCGAAACACTCTTTTTCTGCAATTTGCAAGTGGAGACTTCAAGCGCATTGAGGCCAAAGGCAGAAAAGGAAATATCTTCGTATAAGAACCCGACAGAAATCATTCTCAGGAAACTGCTCTGTGATGTGTGCGTTCAACTCACAGAGTTTAACTTTTCTTTTCATTCAGCAGTTTGGAAACACTCTGTTTGTAAAGTCTGCAAGTGGATATCTTGGCCTCTTAGAGGCCTTCGTTGGAAACGGGTTTTTTCATGTAAGGATAGACAGAGGAATTCCCAGTAACTTCCTTGTGTTGTGTGCATTCAACTCACAGAGTTGAATGATTCTTTACACAGAGCAGATTTGAGACACTCTTTTGGTGGAATTTGTAAGTGGAGAATTCAGCCGCTTTGAGGTCAACGGTAGAAAAGGAAATATCTTCGTATAAAAACTAGACAGAATGATTCTCAGAAACTGTTTTGTGATGTGTGCGTTCAACTCACAGAGTTTAACCTTTCTTTTCAAAGAGCAGTTAGGAAACACTCTGTTTGTAAAGTCTGCAAGTGGATATTCAGACCTCTTTGAGGCCTTCGTTGGAAACGGGATTTCTTCATATTATGCTAGACAGATGAATTCTCAGTAACTTCCTTGTGTTGTGTGTATTCAACTCACAGAGTTGAACGATCCTTTACACAGAGCAGATTTGAAACACTGTTTTTCTGGAATTTGCAAGTGGAGATTTCAGCTGCTTTGAGGTCAATGGTAGAAAAGGAAATATCTTCGTATAAAAACTAGACAGAATGATTCTCAGAAACTCCTTTGTGATGTGTGCGTTCAACTCACAGAGTTTAACCTTTCTTTTCACAGAGCAGTTAGGAAACACTCTGTTTGTGAAGCCTGCCAGTGGATATTCGGACCTCTTTGAGGCCTTCGTTGGAAACGGGATTTCTTCATATTATGCTAGACAGAAGATTTCTCAGTAACTTCTTTGTGTTGTGTGTATGCAACTCACAGAGTTCAACCTTCCTTTAGACAGAGCAGATTTGAAACACTCTTTTTGTGGAATTTGCAAGTGGAGATTTCAAGCGCTTCGATGCCAATGGTAGAAAAGGAAATATCTTCGTATAAAAACAAGACAAACTCGTTCCCAGACACTGCGTAGTGATGTGTGTGTTTAACTCACAGAGTTTCACCTTTCTTTTCATACAGCATTCTGGAAACCCTGTGTTTGTAAAGTCTGCAAGTGGATATTTGGACCTCTTAGATGCCTTCGTTGGAAACGGGATTTCTTCATATAATGCTAGAGGGAAGAATTCTTAGTAACTTCTTTGTGTTGTGTGTATTCAACTGACAGAGTTGAACCTTCCTTTAGACAGAGCAGATTTGAAAGTCTCTTTTTGTGGAATTTGCAAGTGGAGATTTCAAGCGCTTTGAGGCCAAAAGCAGAAAAGGAAATATTTTCCTATAAAAACTCGACAGAATCTTTCTCAGAAACTGCTCTGGGATGTGTGCGTTCAACTCACAGAGTTTAACTTTTCTTTTCATTCAGCAGTTTGGAAACACTCTGTTTGGAAAGTCTGCACGTGGATATTTTGACCTCTTTGAGGCCTTCGTTGGAAACGGGTTTTTTTCATGTAAGGCTAGACAGAAGAAATCTCAGTAACTTCCTTGTGTTGTGTGTATTCAACTGACAGAGTTGAACCTTCCTTTAGACAGAGCAGATTCGAAACACTCTTTTTCTGCAATTTGCAAGTGGAGACTTCAAGCGCTTTGAGGCCAAAGGCAGAAAAGGAAATATCTTCGTATAAAAACCCGACAGAATCATTCTCAGAAACTGCTCTGTGATGTGTGCGTTCAACTCACAGAGTTTAACTTTTCTTTTCATTCAGCAGTTTGGAAACACTCTGTTTGTAAAGTCTGCAAGTGGATATCTTGGCCTCTTAGAGGCCTTAGTTGGAAACGGGTTTTTTCATGTAAGGATAGACAGAGGAATTCCCAGTAACTTCCTTGTGTTGTGTGCATTCAACTCACAGAGTTGAATGATTCTTTACACAGAGCAGATTTGAGACACTCTTTTGGTGGAATTTGTAAGTGGAGAATTCAGCCGCTTTGAGGTCAACGGTAGAAAAGGAAATATCTTCGTATAAAAACTAGACAGAATGATTCTCAGAAACTGTTTTGTGATGTGTGCGTTCAACTCACAGAGTTTAACCTTTCTTTTCAAAGAGCAGTTAGGAAACACTCTGTTTGTAAAGTCTGCAAGTGGATATTCAGACCTCTTTGAGGCCTTCGTTGGAAACGGGATTTCTTCATATTATGCTAGACAGATGAATTCTCAGTAACTTCCTTGTGTTGTGTGTATTCAACTCACAGAGTTGAACGATCCTTTACACAGAGCAGATTTGAAACACTGTTTTTCTGGAATTTGCAAGTGGAGATTTCAGCCGCTTTGAGGTCAATGGTAGAAAAGGAAATATCTTCGTATAAAAACTAGACAGAATGATTCTCAGAAACTCCTTTGTGATGTGTGCGTTCAACTCACAGAGTTTAACCTTTCTTTTCACAGAGCAGTTAGGAAACACTCTGTTTGTGAAGCCTGCCAGTGGATATTCGGACCTCTTTGAGGCCTTCGTTGGAAACGGGATTTCTTCATATTATGCTAGACAGAAGATTTCTCAGTAACTTCTTTGTGTTGTGTGTATGCAACTCACAGAGTTCAACCTTCCTTTAGACAGAGCAGATTTGAAACACTCTTTTTGTGGAATTTGCAAGTGGAGATTTCAAGCGCTTTGAGGCCAAAAGCAGAAAAGGAAATATTTTCCTATAAAAACTAGACAGAATCTTTCTCAGAAACTGCTCTGTGATGTGTGCGTTCAACTCACAGAGTTTAACTTTTCTTTTCATTCAGCAGTTTGGAAACACTCTGTTTGTAAAGTCTGCAAGTGGATATCTTGGCCTCTTAGAGGCCTTCGTTGGAAACGGGTTTTTTCATGTAAGGATAGACAGAGGAATTCCCAGTAACTTCCTTGTGTTGTGTGCATTGAACTCACAGAGTTGAATGATTCTTTACACAGAGCAGATTTGAGACACTCTTTTGGTGGAATTTGTAAGTGGAGAATTCAGCCGCTTTGGGGTCAACGGTAGAAAAGGAAATATCCTTCGTATAAAAACTAGACAGAATGATTCTCAGAAACTCCTTTGTGATGTGTGCGTTCAACTCACAGAGTTTAACCTTTCTTTTCACAGAGCAGTTAGGAAACACTCTGTTTGTGAAGCCTGCCAGTGGATATTCGGACCTCTTTGAGGCCTTCGTTGGAAACGGGATTTCTTCATATTATGCTAGACAGAAGATTTCTCAGTAACTTCTTTGTGTTGTGTGTATACAACTCACAGAGTTCAACCTTCCTTTAGACAGAGCAGATTTGAAACACTCTTTTTCTGGAATTTGCAAGTGGAGATTTCAAGCGCTTTGATGCCAATGGTAGAAAAGGAAATATCTTCGTATAAAAACAAGACAATCTCGTTCCCAGACACTGCGTAGTGATGTGTGTGTTTAACTCACAGAGTTTAACCTTTCTTTTCATACAGCATTCTGGAAACCCTCTGTTTGTAAAGTCTGCAAGTGGATATTTGGACCTCTTAGATGCCTTCGTTGGGAACGGGATTTCTTCATATAATGCTAGAGGGAAGAATTCTTAGTAACTTCTTTGTGTTGTGTGTATTCAACTGACAGAGTTGAACCTTCCTTTAGACAGAGCAGATTTGAAAGTCTCTTTTTGTGGAATTTGCAAGTGGAGATTTCAAGCGCTTTGAGGCCAAAAGCAGAAAAGGAAATATTTTCCTATAAAAACTCGACACAATCTTTCTCAGAAACTGCTCTGGGATGTGTGCGTTCAACTCACAGAGTTTAACTTTTCTTTTCATTCAGCAGTTTGGAAACACTCTGTTTGGAAAGTCTGCACGTGGATATTTTGACCTCTTTGAGGCCTTCGTTGGAAACGGGTTTTTTTCATGTAAGGCTAGACAGAAGAAATCTCAGTAACTTCCTTGTGTTGTGTGTATTCAACTGACAGAGTTGAACCTTCCTTTAGACAGAGCAGATTCGAAACACTCTTTTTCTGCAATTTGCAAGTGGAGACTTCAAGCGCTTTGAGGCCAAAGGCAGAAAAGGATATATCTTCGTATAAAAACCCGACAGAATCATTCTCAGAAACTGCTCTGTGATGTGTGCGTTCAACTCACAGAGTTTAACTTTTCTTTTCATTCAGCAGTTTGGAAACACTCTGTTTGTAAAGTCTGCAAGTGGATATCTTGGCCTCTTAGAGGCCTTCGTTGGAAACGGGTTTTTTCATGTAAGGTTAGACAGAGGAATTCCCAGTAACTTCCTTGTGTTGTGTGCATTCAACTCACAGAGTTGAATGATTCTTTACACAGAGCAGATTTGAGACACTCTTTGGGTGGAATTTGTAAGTGGAGAATTCAGCCGCTTTGAGGTCAACGGTAGAAAAGGAAATATCTTCGTATAAAAACTAGACAGAATGATTCTCAGAAACTGTTTTTTGATGTGTGCGTTCAACTCACAGAGTTTAACCTTTCTTTTCAAAGAGCAGTTAGGAAACACTCTGTTTGTAAAGTCTGCAAGTGGATATTCAGACCTCTTTGAGGCCTTCGTTGGAAACGGGATTTCTTCATATTATGCTAGACAGATGAATTCTCAGTAACTTCCTTGTGTTGTGTGTATTCAACTCACAGAGTTGAACGATCCTTTACACAGAGCAGATTTGAAACACTGTTTTTCTGGAATTTGCAAGTGGAGATTTCAGCCGCTTTGAGGTCAATGGTAGAAAAGCAAATATCTTCGTATAAAAACTAGACAGAATGATTCTCAGAAACTCCTTTGTGATGTGTGCGTTCAACTCACAGAGTTTAACCTTTCTTTTCACAGAGCAGTTAGGAAACACTCTGTTTGTGAAGCCTGCCAGTGGATAATCGGACCTCTTTGAGGCCTTCGTTGGAAACGGGATTTCTTCATATTTTGCTAGACAGAAGATTTCTCAGTAACTTCTTTGTGTTGTGTGTATGCAACTCACAGAGTTCAACCTTCCTTTAGACAGAGCAGATTTGAAACACTCTTTTTGTGGAATTTGCAAGTGGAGATTTCAAGCGCTTCGATGCCAATGGTAGAAAACGAAATATCTTCGTATAAAAACAAGACAAACTCGTTCCCAGACACTGCGTAGTGATGTGTGTGTTTAACTCACAGAGTTTAACCTTTCTTTTCATACAGCATTCTGGAAACCCTGTGTTTGTAAAGTCTGCAAGTGGATATTTGGACCTCTTAGATGCCTTCGTTGGAAACGGGATTTCTTCATATAATGCTAGAGGGAAGAATTCTTAGTAACTTCTTTGTGTTGTGTGTATTCAACTGACAGAGTTGAACCTTCCTTTAGACAGAGCAGATTTGAAAGTCTCTTTTTGTGGAATTTGCAAGTGGAGATTTCAAGCGCTTTGAGGCCAAAAGCAGAAAAGGAAATATTTTCCTATAAAAACTAGACAGAATCTTTCTCAGAAACTGCTCTGGGATGTGTGCGTTCAACTCACAGAGTTTAACTTTTCTTTTCATTCAGCAGTTTGGAAACACTCTGTTTGGAAAGTCTGCACGTGGATATTTTGACCTCTTTGAGGCCTTCGTTGGAAACGGGTTTTTTTCATGTAAGGCTAGACAGAAGAAATCTCAGTAACTTCCTTGTGTTGTGTGTATTCAACTGACAGAGTTGAACCTTCTTTTAGACAGAGCAGATTCGAAACACTCTTTTTCTGCAATTTGCAAGTGGAGACTTCAAGCGCTTTGAGGCCAAAGGCAGAAAAGGAAATATCTTCGTATAAAAACCCGACAGAATCATTCTCAGAAACTGCTCTGTGATGTGTGCGTTCAACTCACAGAGTTTAACTTTTCTTTTCATTCAGCAGTTTGGAAACACTCTGTTTGTAAAGTCTGCAAGTGGATATCTTGGCCTCTTAGAGGCCTTCGTTGGAAAAGGGTTTTTTCATGTAAGGTTAGACAGAGGAATTCCCAGTAACTTCCTTGTGTTGTGTGCATTCAACTCACAGAGTTGAATGATTCTTTACACAGAGCAGATTTGAGACACTCTTTTGGTGGAATTTGTAAGTGGAGAATTCAGCCGCTTTGAGGTCAACGGTAGAAAAGGAAATATCTTCGTATAAAAACTAGACAGAATGATTCTCAGAAACTGTTTTGTGATGTGTGCGTTCAACTCACAGAGTTTAACCTTTCTTTTCAAAGAGCAGTTAGGAAACACTCTGTTTGTAAAGTCTGCAAGTGGATATTCAGACCTCTTTGAGGCCTTCGTTGGAAACGGGATTTCTTCATATTATGCTAGACAGATGAATTCTCAGTAACTTCCTTGTGTTGTGTGTATTCAACTCACAGAGTTGAACGATCCTTTACACAGAGCAGATTTGAAACACTGTTTTTCTGGAATTTGCAAGTGGAGATTTCAGCCGCTTTGAGGTCAATGGTAGAAAAGGAAATATCTTCGTATAAAAACTAGACAGAATGATTCTCAGAAACTCCTTTGTGATGTGTGCGTTCAACTCACAGAGTTTAACCTTTCTTTTCACAGAGCAGTTAGGAAACACTCTGTTTGTGAAGCCTGCCAGTGGATATTCGGACCTCTTTGAGGCCTTCGTTGGAAACGGGATTTCTTCATATTATGCTAGACAGAAGATTTCTCAGTAACTTCTTTGTGTTGTGTGTATGCAACTCACAGAGTTCAACCTTCCTTTAGACAGAGCAGATTTGAAACACTCTTTTTGTGGAATTTGCAAGTGGAGATTTCAAGCGCTTCGATGCCAATGGTAGAAAAGGAAATATCTTCGTATAAAAACAAGACAAACTCGTTCCCAGACACTGCGTAGTGATGTGTGTGTTTAACTCACAGAGTTTAACCTTTCTTTTCATACAGCATTCTGGAAACCCTGTGTTTGTAAAGTCTGCAAGTGGATATTTGGACCTCTTAGATGCCTTCGTTGGAAACGGGATTTCTTCATATAATGCTAGAGGGAAGAATTCTTAGTAACTTCTTTGTGTTGTGTGTATTCAACTGACAGAGTTGAACCTTCCTTTAGACAGAGCAGATTTGAAAGTCTCTTTTTGTGGAATTTGCAAGTGGAGATTTCAAGCGCTTTGAGGCCAAAAGCAGAAAAGGAAATATTTTCCTATAAAAATTAGACAGAATCTTTCTCAGAAACTGCTCTGGGATGTGTGCGTTCAACTCACAGAGTTTAACTTTTCTTTTCATTCAGCAGTTTGGAAACACTCTGTTTGGAAAGTCTGCACGTGGATATTTTGACCTCTTTGAGGCCTTCGTTGGAAACGGGTTTTTTTCATGTAAGGCTAGACAGAAGAAATCTCAGTAACTTCCTTGTGTTGTGTGTATTCAACTGACAGAGTTGAACCTTCCTTTAGACAGAGCAGATTCGAAACACTCTTTTTCTGCAATTTGCAAGTGGAGACTTCAAGCGCTTTGAGGCCAAAGGCAGAAAAGGAAATATCTTCGTATAAAAACCCGACAGAATCATTCTCAGAAACTGCTCTGTGATGTGTGCGTTCAACTCACAGAGTTTAACTTTTCTTTTCATTCAGCAGTTTGGAAACACTCTGTTTGTAAAGTCTGCAAGTGGATATCTTGGCCTCTTAGAGGCCTTCGTTGGAAACGGGTTTTTTCATGTAAGGTTAGACAGAGGAATTCCCAGTAACTTCCTTGTGTTGTGTGCATTCAACTCACAGAGTTGAATGATTCTTTACACAGAGCAGATTTGAGACACTCTTTTGGTGGAATTTGTAAGTGGAGAATTCAGCCGCTTTGAGGTCAACGGTAGAAAAGGAAATATCTTCGTATAAAAACTAGACAGAATGATTCTCAGAAACTGTTTTGTGATGTGTGCGTTCAACTCACAGAGTTTAACCTTTCTTTTCAAAGAGCAGTTAGGAAACACTCTGTTTGTAAAGTCTGCAAGTGGATATTCAGACCTCTTTGAGGCCTTCGTTGGAAACGGGATTTCTTCATATTATGCTAGACAGATGAATTCTCAGTAACTTCCTTGTGTTGTGTGTATTCAACTCACAGAGTTGAACGATCCTTTACACAGAGCAGATTTGAAACACTGTTTTTCTGGAATTTGCAAGTGGAGATTTCAGCCGCTTTGAGGTCAATGGTAGAAAAGGAAATATCTTCGTATAAAAACTAGACAGAATGATTCTCAGAAACTCCTTTGTGATGTGTGCGTTCAACTCACAGAGTTTAACCTTTCTTTTCACAGAGCAGTTAGGAAACACTCTGTTTGTGAAGCCTGCCAGTGGATATTCGGACCTCTTTGAGGCCTTCGTTGGAAACGGGATTTCTTCATATTATGCTAGACAGAAGATTTCTCAGTAACTTCTTTGTGTTGTGTGTATGCAACTCACAGAGTTCAACCTTCCTTTAGACAGAGCAGATTTGAAACACTCTTTTTGTGGAATTTGCAAGTGGAGATTTCAAGCGCTTCGATGCCAATGGTAGAAAAGGAAATATCTTCGTATAAAAACAAGACAAACTCGTTCCCAGACACTGCGTAGTGATGTGTGTGTTTAACTCACAGAGTTTAACCTTTCTTTTCATACAGCATTCTGGAAACCCTGTGTTTGTAAAGGCTGCAAGTGGATATTTGGACCTCTTAGATGCCTTCGTTGGAAACGGGATTTCTTCATATAATGCTAGAGGGAAGAATTCTTAGTAACTTCTTTGTGTTGTGTGTATTCAACTGACAGAGTTGAACCTTCCTTTAGACAGAGCAGATTTGAAAGTCTCTTTTTGTGGAATTTGCAAGTGGAGATTTCAAGCGCTTTGAGGCCAAAAGCAGAAAAGGAAATATTTTCCTATAAAAACTAGACAGAATCATTCTCAGAAACTGCTCTGTGATGTGTGTGTTCAACTCACAGAGTTTAACTTTCTTTTCATTCAGCAGTTTGGAAACACTCTGTTTGGAAAGTCTGCCTTGGATATTTTGACCTCTTTGAGGCCTTCGTTGGAAACGGGTTTTTTTCATGTAAGGCTAGACAGAAGAAATCTCAGTAACTTCCTTGTGTTGTGTGTATTCAACTGACAGAGTTGAACCTTCCTTTAGACAGAGCAGATTCGAAACACTCTTTTTCTGCAATTTGCAAGTGGAGACTTCAAGCGCTTTGAGGCCAAAGGCAGAAAAGGAAATATCTTCGTATAAGAACCCGACAGAATCATTCTCAGAAACTGCTCTGTGATGTGTGCGTTCAACTCACAGAGTTTAACTTTTCTTTTCATTCAGCAGTTTGGAAACACTCTGTTTGTAAAGTCTGCAAGTGGATATCTTGGCCTCTTAGAGGCCTTCGTTGGAAACGGGTTTTTTCATGTAAGGTTAGACAGAGGAATTCCCAGTAACTTCCTTGTGTTGTGTGCATTCAACTCACAGAGTTGAATGATTCTTTACACAGAGCAGATTTGAGACACTCTTTTGGTGGAATTTGTTAGTGGAGAATTCAGCCGCTTTGAGGTCAACGGTAGAAAAGGAAATATCTTCGTATAAAAACTAGACAGAATGATTCTCAGAAACTGTTTTGTGATGTGTGCGTTCAACTCACAGAGTTTAACCTTTCTTTTCAAAGAGCAGTTAGGAAACACTCTGTTTGTAAAGTCTGCAAGTGGATATTCAGACCTCTTTGAGGCCTTCGTTGGAAACGGGATTTCTTCATATTATGCTAGACAGATGAATTCTCAGTAACTTCCTTGTGTTGTGTGTATTCAACTCACAGAGTTGAACGATCCTTTACACAGAGCAGATTTGAAACACTGTTTTTCTGGAATTTGCAAGTGGAGATTTCAGCCGCTTTGAGGTCAATGGTAGAAAAAGAAATATCTTCGTATAAAAACTAGACAGAATGATTCTCAGAAACTCCTTTGTGATGTGTGCGTTCAACTCACAGAGTTTAACCTTTCTTTTCACAGAGCAGTTAGGAAACACTCTGTTTGTGAAGCCTGCCAGTGGATATTCGGACCTCTTTGAGGCCTTCGTTGGAAACGGGATTTCTTCATATTATGCTAGACAGAAGATTTCTCAGTAACTTCTTTGTGTTGTGTGTATGCAACTCACAGAGTTCAACCTTCCTTTAGACAGAGCAGATTTGAAACACTCTTTTTGTGGAATTTGCAAGTGGAGATTTCAAGCGCTTCGATGCCAATGGTAGAAAAGGAAATATCTTCGTAGAAAAACAAGACAAACTCGTTCCCAGACACTGCGTAGTGATGTGTGTGTTTAACTCACAGAGTTTCACCTTTCTTTTCATACAGCATTCTGGAAACCCTCTGTTTGTAAATTCTGCAAGTGGATATTTGGACCTCTTAGATGCCTTCGTTGGAAACGGGATTTCTTCATATAATGCTAGAGGGAAGAATTCTTAGTAACTTCTTTGTGTTGTGTGTATTCAACTGACAGAGTTGAACCTTCCTTTAGACAGAGCAGATTTGAAAGTCTCTTTTTGTGGAATTTGCAAGTGGAGATTTCAAGCGCTTTGAGGCCAAAAGCAGAAAAGGAAATATTTTCCTATAAAAACTAGACAGAATCTTTCTCAGAAACTGCTCTGGGATGTGTGCGTTCAACTCACAGAGTTTAACTTTTCTTTTCATTCAGCAGTTTGGAAACACTCTGTTTGGAAAGTCTGCACGTGGATATTTTGACCTCTTTGAGGCCTTCGTTGGAAACGGGTTTTTTTCATGTAAGGCTAGACAGAAGAAATCTCAGTAACTTCCTTGTGTTGTGTGTATTCAACTGACAGAGTTGAACCTTCCTTTAGACAGAGCAGATTCGAAACACTCTTTTTCTGCAATTTGCAAGTGGAGACTTCAAGCGCTTTGAGGCCAAAGGCAGAAAAGGAAATATCTTCGTATAAAAACCCGACAGAATCATTCTCAGAAACTGCTCTGTGATGTGTGCGTTCAACTCACAGAGTTTAACTTTTCTTTTCATTCAGCAGTTTGGAAACACTCTGTTTGTAAAGTCTGCAAGTGGATATCTTGGCCTCTTAGAGGCCTTCGTTGGAAACGGGTTTTTTCATGTAAGGTTAGACAGAGGAATTCCCAGTAACTTCCTTGTGTTGTGTGCATTCAACTCACAGAGTTGAATGATTCTTTACACAGAGCAGATTTGAGACACTCTTTTGGTGGAATTTGTAAGTGGAGAATTCAGCCGCTTTGAGGTCAACGGTAGAAAAGGAAATATCTTCGTATAAAAACTAGACAGAATGATTCTCAGAAACTGTTTTGTGATGTGTGCGTTCAACTCACAGAGTTTAACCTTTCTTTTCAAAGAGCAGTTAGGAAACACTCTGTTTGTAAAGTCTGCAAGTGGATATTCAGACCTCTTTGAGGCCTTCGTTGGAAACGGGATTTCTTCATATTATGCTAGACAGATGAATTCTCAGTAACTTCCTTGTGTTGTGTGTATTCAACTCACAGAGTTGAACGATCCTTTACACAGAGCAGATTTGAAACACTGTTTTTCTGGAATTTGCAAGTGGAGATTTCAGCCGCTTTGAGGTCAATGGTAGAAAAGGAAATATCTTCGTATAAAAACTAGACAGAATGATTCTCAGAAACTCCTTTGTGATGTGTGCGTTCAACTCACAGAGTTTAACCTTTCTTTTCACAGAGCAGTTAGGAAACACTCTGTTTGTGAAGCCTGCCAGTGGATAATCGGACCTCTTTGAGGCCTTCGTTGGAAACGGGATTTCTTCATATTATGCTAGACAGAAGATTTCTCAGTAACTTCTTTGGGTTGTGTGTATGCAACTCACAGAGTTCAACCTTCCTTTAGAGAGAGCATATTTGAAACACTCTTTTTGTGGAATTTGCAAGTGGAGATTTGAAGCGCTTCGATGCCAATGGTAGAAAAGGAAATATCTTCGTATAAAAACAAGACAAACTCGTTCCCAGACACTGCGTAGTGATGTGTGTGTTTAACTCACAGAGTTTAACCTTTCTTTTCATACAGCATTCTGGAAACCCTCTGTTTGTAAAGTCTGCAAGTGGATATTTGGACCTCTTAGATGCCTTCGTTGGGAACGGGATTTCTTCATATAATGCTAGAGGGAAGAATTCTTAGTAACTTCTTTGTGTTGTGTGTATTCAACTGACAGAGTTGAACCTTCCTTTAGACAGAGCAGATTTGAAAGTCTCTTTTTGTGGAATTTGCAAGTGGAGATTTCAAGCGCTTTGAGGCCAAAAGCAGAAAAGGAAATATTTTCCTATAAAAACTCGACAGAATCTTTCTCAGAAACTGCTCTGGGATGTGTGCGTTCAACTCACAGAGTTTAACTTTTCTTTTCATTCAGCAGTTTGGAAACACTCTGTTTGGAAAGTCTGCACGTGGATATTTTGACCTCTTTGAGGCCTTCGTTGGAAACGGGTTTTTTTCATGTAAGGCTAGACAGAAGAAATCTCAGTAACTTCCTTGTGTTGTGTGTATTCAACTGACAGAGTTGAACCTTCCTTTAGACAGAGCAGATTCGAAACACTCTTTTTCTGCAATTTGCAAGTGGAGACTTCAAGCGCTTTGAGGCCAAAGGCAGAAAAGGAAATATCTTCGTATAAAAACCCGACAGAATCATTCTCAGAAACTGCTCTGTGATGTGTGCGTTCAACTCACAGAGTTTAACTTTTCTTTTCATTCAGCAGTTTGGAAACACTCTGTTTGTAAAGTCTGCAAGTGGATATCTTGGCCTCTTAGAGGCCTTCGTTGGAAACGGGTTTTTTCATGTAAGGTTAGACAGAGGAATTCCCAGTAACTTCCTTGTGTTGTGTGCACTCAACTCACAGAGTTGAATGATTCTTTACACAGAGCAGATTTGAGACACTCTTTTGGTGGAATTTGTAAGTGGAGAATTCAGCCGCTTTGAGGTCAACGGTAGAAAAGGAAATATCTTCGTATAAAAACTAGACAGAATGATTCTCAGAAACTGTTTTGTGATGTGTGCGTTCAACTCACAGAGTTTAACCTTTCTTTTCAAAGAGCAGTTAGGAAACACTCTGTTTGTAAAGTCTGCAAGTGGATATTCAGACCTCTTTGAGGCCTTCGTTGGAAACGGGATTTCTTCATATTATGCTAGACAGATGAATTCTCAGTAACTTCCTTGTGTTGTGTGTATTCAACTCACAGAGTTGAACGATCCTTTACACAGAGCAGATTTGAAACACTGTTTTTCTGGAATTTGCAAGTGGAGATTTCAGCCGCTTTGAGGTCAATGGTAGAAAAGGAAATATCTTCGTATAAAAACTAGACAGAATGATTCTCAGAAACTCCTTTGTGATGTGTGCGTTCAACTCACAGAGTTTAACCTTTCTTTTCACAGAGCAGTTAGGAAACACTCTGTTTGTGAAGCCTGCCAGTGGATATTCGGACCTCTTTGAGGCCTTCGTTGGAAACGGGATTTCTTCATATTATGCTAGACAGAAGATTTCTCAGTAACTTCTTTGTGTTGTGTGTATGCAACTCACAGAGTTCAACCTTCCTTTAGACAGAGCAGATTTGAAACACTCTTTTTGTGGAATTTGCAAGTGGAGATTTCAAGCGCTTCGATGCCAATGGTAGAAAAGGAAATATCTTCGTATAAAAACAAGACAAACTCGTTCCCAGACACTGCGTAGTGATGTGTGTGTTTAACTCACAGAGTTTCACCTTTCTTTTCATACAGCATTCTGGAAACCCTGTGTTTGTAAAGTCTGCAAGTGGATATTTGGACCTCTTAGATGCCTTCGTTGGAAACGGGATTTCTTCATATAATGCTAGAGGGAAGAATTCTTAGTAACTTCTTTGTGTTGTGTGTATTCAACTGACAGAGTTGAACCTTCCTTTAGACAGAGCAGATTTGAAAGTCTCTTTTTGTGGAATTTGCAAGTGGAGATTTCAAGCGCTTTGAGGCCAAAAGCAGAAAAGGAAATATTTTCCTATAAAAACTAGACAGAATCTTTCTCAGAAACTGCTCTGGGATGTGTGCGTTCAACTCACAGAGTTTAACTTTTCTTTCCATTCAGCAGTTTGGAAACACTCTGTTTGGAAAGTCTGCACGTGGATATTTTGACCTCTTTGAGGCCTTCGTTGGAAACGGGTTTTTTTCATGTAAGGCTAGACAGAAGAAATCTCAGTAACTTCCTTGTGTTGTGTGTATTCAACTGACAGAGTTGAACCTTCCTTTAGACAGAGCAGATTCGAAACACTCTTTTTCTGCAATTTGCAAGTGGAGACTTCAAGCGCTTTGAGGCCAAAGGCAGAAAAGGAAATATCTTCGTATAAAAACCCGACAGAATCATTCTCAGAAACTGCTCTGTGATGTGTGCGTTCAACTCACAGAGTTTAACTTTTCTTTTCATTCAGCAGTTTGGAAACACTCTGTTTGTAAAGTCTGCAAGTGGATATCTTGGCCTCTTAGAGGCCTTCATTGGAAACGGGTTTTTTCATGTAAGGTTAGACAGAGGAATTCCCAGTAACTTCCTTGTGTTGTGTGCATTCAACTCACAGAGTTGAATGATTCTTTACACAGAGCAGATTTGAGACACTCTTTTGGTGGAATTTGTAAGTGGAGAATTCAGCCGCTTTGAGGTCAACGGTAGAAAAGGAAATATCTTCGTATAAAAACTAGACAGAATGATTCTCAGAAACTGTTTTGTGATGTGTGCTTTCAACTCACAGAGTTTAACCTTTCTTTTCAAAGAGCAGTTAGGAAACACTCTGTTTGTAAAGTCTGCAAGTGGATATTCAGACCTCTTTGAGGCCTTCGTTGGAAACGGGATTTCTTCATATTATGCTAGACAGATGAATTCTCAGTAACTTCCTTGTGTTGTGTGTATTCAACTCACAGAGTTGAACGATCCTTTACACAGAGCAGATTTGAAACACTGTTTTTCTGGAATTTGCAAGTGGAGATTTCAGCCGCTTTGAGGTCAATGGTAGAAAAGGAAATATCTTCGTATAAAAACTAGACAGAATGATTCTCAGAAACTCCTTTGTGATGTGTGCGTTCAACTCACAGAGTTTAACCTTTCTTTTCACAGAGCAGTTAGGAAACACTCTGTTTGTGAAGCCTGCCAGTGGATATTCGGACCTCTTTGAGGCCTTCGTTGGAAACGGGATTTCTTCATATTATGCTAGACAGAAGATTTCTCAGTAACTTCTTTGTGTTGTGTGTATGCAACTCACAGAGTTCAACCTTCCTTTAGACAGAGCAGATTTGAAACACTCTTTTTGTGGAATTTGCAAGTGGAGATTTCAAGCGCTTCGATGCCAATGGTAGAAAAGGAAATATCTTCGTATAAAAACAAGACAAACTCGTTCCCAGACACTGCGTAGTGATGTGTGTGTTTAACTCACAGAGTTTCACCTTTCTTTTCATACAGCATTCTGGAAACCCTCTGTTTGTAAAGTCTGCAAGTGGATATTTGGACCTCTTAGATGCCTTCGTTGGAAACGGGATTTCTTCATATAATGCTAGAGGGAAGAATTCTTAGTAACTTCTTTGTGTTGTGTGTATTCAACTGACAGAGTTGAACCTTCCTTTAGACAGAGCAGATTTGAAAGTCTCTTTTTGTGGAATTTGCAAGTGGAGATTTCAAGCGCTTTGAGGCCAAAAGCAGAAAAGGAAATATTTTCCTATAAAAACTCGACAGAATCTTTCTCAGAAACTGCTCTGGGATGTGTGCGTTCAACTCACAGAGTTTAACTTTTCTTTTCATTCAGCAGTTTGGAAACACTCTGTTTGGAAAGTCTGCACGTGGATATTTTGACCTCTTTGAGGCCTTCGTTGGAAACGGGTTTTTTTCATGTAAGGCTAGACAGAAGAAATCTCAGTAACTTCCTTGTGTTGTGTGTATTCAACTGACAGAGTTGAACCTTCCTTTAGACAGAGCAGATTCGAAACACTCTTTTTCTGCAATTTGCAAGTGGAGACTTCAAGCGCTTTGAGGCCAAAGGCAGAAAAGGAAATATCTTCGTATAAAAACCCGACAGAATCATTCTCAGAAACTGCTCTGTGATGTGTGCGTTCAACTCACAGAGTTTAACTTTTCTTTTCATTCAGCAGTTTGGAAACACTCTGTTTGTAAAGTCTGCAAGTGGATATCTTGGCCTCTTAGAGGCCTTCGTTGGAAGCGGGTTTTTTCATGTAAGGATAGACAGAGGAATTCCCAGTAACTTCCTTGTGTTGTATGCATTCAACTCACAGAGTTGAATGATTCTTTACACAGAGCAGATTTGAGACACTCTTTTGGTGGAATTTGTAAGTGGAGAATTCAGCCGCTTTGAGGTCAACGGTAGAAAAGGAAATATCTTCGTATAAAAACTAGAAAGAATGATTCTCAGAAACTGTTTTGTGATGTGTGCGTTCAACTCACAGAGTTTAACCTTTCTTTTCAAAGAGCAGTTAGGAAACACTCTGTTTGTAAAGTCTGCAAGTGGATATTCAGACCTCTTTGAGGCCTTCGTTGGAAACGGGATTTCTTCATATTATGCTAGACAGATGAATTCTCAGTAACTTCCTTGTGTTGTGTGTATTCAACTCACAGAGTTGAACGATCCTTTACACAGAGCAGATTTGAAACACTGTTTTTCTGGAATTTGCAAGTGGAGATTTCAGCCGCTTTGAGGTCAATGGTAGAAAAGGAAATATCTTCGTATAAAAACTAGACAGAATGATTCTCAGAAACTCCTTTGTGATGTGTGCGTTCAACTCACAGGGTTTAACCTTTCTTTTCACAGAGCAGTTAGGAAACACTCTGTTTGTGAAGCCTGCCAGTGGATATTCGGACCTCTTTGAGGCCTTCGTTGGAAACGGGATTTCTTCATATTATGCTAGACAGAAGATTTCTCAGTAACTTCTTTGTGTTGTGTGTATGCAACTCACAGAGTTCAACCTTCCTTTAGACAGAGCAGATTTGAAACACTCTTTTTGTGGAATTTGCAAGTGGAGATTTCAAGCGCTTCGATGCCAATGGTAGAAAAGGAAATATCTTCGTATAAAAACAAGACAAACTCGTTCCCAGACACTGCGTAGTGATGTGTGTGTTTAACTCACAGAGTTTAACCTTTCTTTTCATACAGCATTCTGGAAACCCTCTGTTTGTAAAGTCTGCAAGTGGATATTTGGACCTCTTAGATGCCTTCGTTGGAAACGGGATTTCTTCATATAATGCTAGAGGGAAGAATTCTTAGTAACTTCTTTGTGTTGTGTGTATTCAACTGACAGAGTTGAACCTTCCTTTAGACAGAGCAGATTTGAAAGTCTCTTTTTGTGGAATTTGCAAGTGGAGATTTCAAGCGCTTTGAGGGCAAAAGCAGAAAAGGAAATATTTTCCTTTAAAAACTCGACAGAATCTTTCTCAGAAACTGCTCTGGGATGTGTGCGTTCAACTCACAGAGTTTAACTTTTCTTTTCATTCAGCAGTTTGGAAACACTCTGTTTGGAAAGTCTGCACGTGGATATTTTGACCTCTTTGAGGCCTTCGTTGGAAACGGGTTTTTTTCATGTAAGGCTAGACAGAAGAAATCTCAGTAACTTCCTTGTGTTGTGTGTATTCAACTGACAGAGTTGAACCTTCCTTTAGACAGAGCAGATTCGAAACACTCTTTTTCTGCAATTTGCAAGTGGAGACTTCAAGCGCTTTGAGGCCAAAGACAGAAAAGGAAATATCTTCGTATAAAAACCCGACAGAATCATTCTCAGAAACTGCTCTGTGATGTGTGCGTTCAACTCACAGAGTTTAACTTTTCTTTTCATTCAGCAGTTTGGAAACACTCTGTTTGTAAAGTCTGCAAGTGGATATCTTGGCCTCTTAGAGGCCTTCGTTGGAAACGGGTTTTTTCATGTAAGGTTAGACAGAGGAATTCCCAGTAACTTCCTTGTGTTGTGTGCATTCAACTCACAGAGTTGAATGATTCTTTACACAGAGCAGTTTTGAGACACTCTTTTGGTGGAATTTGTAAGTGGAGAATTCAGCCGCTTTGAGGTCAACGGTAGAAAAGGAAATATCTTCGTATAAAAACTAGACAGAATGATTCTCAGAAACTGTTTTGTGATGTGTGCGTTCAACTCACAGAGTTTAACCTTTCTTTTCAAAGAGCAGTTAGGAAACACTCTGTTTGTAAAGTCTGCAAGTGGATATTCAGACCTCTTTGAGGCCTTCGTTGGAAACGGGATTTCTTCATATTATGCTAGACAGATGAATTCTCAGTAACTTCCTTGTGTTGTGTGTATTCAACTCACAGAGTTGAACGATCCTTTACACAGAGCAGATTTGAAACACTGTTTTTCTGGAATTTGCAAGTGGAGATTTCAGCCGCTTTGAGGTCAATGGTAGAAAAGGAAATATCTTCGTATAAAAACTAGACAGAATGATTCTCAGAAACTCCTTTGTGATGTGTGCGTTCAACTCACAGAGTTTAACCTTTCTTTTCACAGAGCAGTTAGGAAACACTCTGTTTGTGAAGCCTGCCAGTGGATATTCGGACCTCTTTGAGGCCTTCGTTGGAAACGGGATTTCTTCATATTATGCTAGACAGAAGATTTCTCAGTAACTTCTTTGTGTTGTGTGTATGCAACTCACAGAGTTCAACCTTCCTTTAGACAGAGCAGATTTGAAACACTCTTTTTGTGGAATTTGCAAGTGGAGATTTCAAGCGCTTCGATGCCAATGGTAGAAAAGGAAATATCTTCGTATAAAAACAAGACAAACTCGTTCCCAGACACTGCGTAGTGATGTGTGTGTTTAACTCACAGAGTTTAACCTTTCTTTTCATACAGCATTCTGGAAACCCTGTGTTTGTAAAGTCTGCAAGTGGATATTTGGACCTCTTAGATGCCTTCGTTGGAAACGGGATTTCTTCATATAATGCTAGAGGGAAGAATTCTTAGTAACTTCTTTGTGTTGTGTGTATTCAACTGACAGAGTTGAACCTTCCTTTAGACAGAGCAGATTTGAAAGTCTCTTTTTGTGGAATTTGCAAGTGGAGATTTCAAGCGCTTTGAGGCCAAAAGCAGAAAAGCAAATATTTTCCTATAAAAACTCGACAGAATCTTTCTCAGAAACTGCTCTGGGATGTGTGCGTTCAACTCACAGAGTTTAACTTTTCTTTTCATTCAGCAGTTTGGAAACACTCTGTTTGGAAAGTCTGCACGTGGATATTTTGACCTCTTTGAGGCCTTCGTTGGAAACGGGTTTTTTTCATGTAAGGCTAGACAGAAGAAATCTCAGTAACTTCCTTGTGTTGTGTGTATTCAACTGACAGAGTTGAACCTTCCTTTAGACAGAGCAGATTCGAAACACTCTTTTTCTGCAATTTGCAAGTGGAGACTTGAAGCGCTTTGAGGCCAAAGGCAGAAAAGGAAATATCTTCGTATAAAAACCCGACAGAATCATTCTCAGAAACTGCTCTGTGATGTGTGCGTTCAACTCACAGAGTTTAACTTTTCTTTTCATTCAGCAGTTTGGAAACACTCTGTTTGTAAAGTCTGCAAGTGGATATCTTGGCCTCTTAGAGGCCTTCGTTGGAAACGGGTTTTTTCATGTAAGGTTAGACAGAGGAATTCCCAGTAACTTCCTTGTGTTGTGTGCATTCAACTCACAGAGTTGAATGATTCTTTACACAGAGCAGATTTGAGACACACTTTTGGTGGAATTTGTAAGTGGAGAATTCAGCCGCTTTGAGGTCAACGGTAGAAAAGGAAATATCTTCGTATAAAAACTAGAAAGAATGATTCTCAGAAACTGTTTTGTGATGTGTGCGTTCAACTCACAGAGTTTAACCTTTCTTTTCAAAGAGCAGTTAGGAAACACTCTGTTTGTAAAGTCTGCAAGTGGATATTCAGACCTCTTTGAAGCCTTCGTTGGAAACGGGATTTCTTCATATTATGCTAGACAGATGAATTCTCAGTAACTTCCTTGTGTTGTGTGTATTCAACTCACAGAGTTGAACGATCCTTTACACAGAGCAGATTTGAAACACTGTTTTTCTGGAATTTGCAAGTGGAGATTTCAGCCGCTTTGAGGTCAATGGTAGAAAAGGAAATATCTTCGTATAAAAACTGGACAGAATGATTCTCAGAAACTCCTTTGTGATGTGTGCGTTCAACTCACAGAGTTTAACCTTTCTTTTCACAGAGCAGTTAGGAAACACTCTGTTTGTGAAGCCTGCCAGTGGATATTCGGACCTCTTTGAGGCCTTCGTTGGAAACGGGATTTCTTCATATTTTGCAAGACAGAAGATTTCTCAGTAACTTCTTTGTGTTGTGTGTATGCAACTCACAGAGTTCAAACTTCCTTTAGACAGAGCAGATTTGAAACACTCTTTTTGTGGAATTTGCAAGTGGAAATTTCAAGCGCATCGATGCCCATGGTAGAAAAGGAAATATCTTCGTATAAAAACAAGACAAACTCGTTCCCAGACACTGCGTAGTGATGTGTGTGTTTAACTCACAGAGTTTAACCTTTCTTTTCATACAGCATTCTGGAAACCCTGTGTTTGTAAAGTCTGCAAGTGGATATTTGGACCTCTTAGATGCCTTCGTTGGAAACGGGATTTCTTCATATAATGCTAGAGGGAAGAATTCTTAGTAACTTCTTTGTGTTGTGTGTATTCAACTGACAGAGTTGAACCTTCCTTTAGACAGAGCAGATTTGAAAGTCTCTTTTTGTGGAATTTGCAAGTGGAAATTTCAAGCGCTTTGAGGCCAAAAGCAGAAAAGGAAATATTTTCCTATAAAAACTCGACAGAATCATTCTCAGAAACTGCTCTGTGATGTGTGCGTTCAACTCACAGAGTTTAACTTTTCTTTTCATTCAGCAGTTTGGAAACACTGTTTGGAAAGTCTGCACGTGGATATTTTGACCTCTTTGAGGCCTTCGTTGGAAACGGGTTTTTTTCATGTAAGGCTAGACAGAAGAAATCTCAGTAACTTCCTTGTGTTGTGTGTATTCAACTGACAGAGTTGAACCTTCCTTTAGACAGAGCAGATTCGAAACACTCTTTTTCTGCAATTTGCAAGTGGAGACTTCAAGCGCTTTGAGGCCAAAGGCAGAAAAGGAAATATCTTCGTATAAAAACCCGACAGAATCATTCTCAGAAACTGCTCTGTGATGTGTGCGTTCAACTCACAGAGTTTAACTTTTCTTTTCATTCAGCAGTTTGGAAACACTCTGTTTGTAAAGTCTGCAAGTGGATATCTTGGCCTCTTAGAGGCCTTCGTTGGAAACGGGTTTTTTCATGTAAGGTTAGACAGAGGAATTCCCAGTAACTTCCTTGTGTTGTGTGCATTCAACTCACAGAGTTGAATGATTCTTTACACAGAGCAGATTTGAGACACTCTTTTGGTGGAATTTGTAAGTGGAGAATTCAGCCGCTTTGAGGTCAACGGTAGAAAAGGAAATATCTTCGTATAAAAACTAGACAGAATGATTCTCAGAAACTGTTTTGTGATGTGTGCGTTCAACTCACAGAGTTTAACCTTTCTTTTCAAAGAGCAGTTAGGAAACACTCTGTTTGTAAAGTCTGCAAGTGGATATTCAGACCTCTTTGAGGCCTTCGTTGGAAACGGGATTTCTTCATATTATGCTAGACAGATGAATTCTCAGTAACTTCCTTGTGTTGTGTGTATTCAACTCACAGAGTTGAACGATCCTTTATACAGAGCAGATTTGAAACACTGTTTTTCTGGAATTTGCAAGTGGAGATTTCAGCCGCTTTGAGGTCAATGGTAGAAAAGGAAATATCTTCGTATAAAAACTGGACAGAATGATTCTCAGAAACTCCTTTGTGATGTGTGCGTTCAACTCACAGAGTTTAACCTTTCTTTTCACAGAGCAGTTAGGAAACACTCTGTTTGTGAAGCCTGCCAGTGGATATTCGGACCTCTTTGAGGCCTTCGTTGGAAACGGGATTTCTTCATATTATGCTAGACAGAAGATTTCTCAGTAACTTCTTTGTGTTGTGTGTATGCAACTCACAGAGTTCAACCTTCCTTTAGACAGAGCAGATTTGAAACACTCTTTTTGTGGAATTTGCAAGTGGAGATTTCAAGCGCTTCGATGCCAATGGTAGAAAAGGAAATATCTTCGTAGAAAAACAAGACAAACTCGTTCCCAGACACTGCGTAGTGATGTGTGTGTTTAACTCACAGAGTTTAACCTTTCTTTTCATACAGCATTCTGGAAACCCTCTGTTTGTAAAGTCTGCAAGTGGATATTTGGACCTCTTAGATGCCTTCGTTGGAAACGGGATTTCTTCATATAATGCTAGAGGGAAGAATTCTTAGTAACTTCTTTGTGTTGTGTGTATTCAACTGACAGAGTTGAACCTTCCTTTAGACAGAGCAGATTTGAAAGTCTCTTTTTGTGGAATTTGCAAGTGGAGATTTCAAGCGCTTTGAGGCCAAAAGCAGAAAAGGAAATATTTTCCTATAAAAACTCGACAGAATCTTTCTCAGAAACTGCTCTGGGATGTGTGCGTTCAACTCACAGAGTTTAACTTTTCTTTTCATTCAGCAGTTTGGAAACACTCTGTTTGGAAAGTCTGCACGTGGATATTTTGACCTCTTTGAGGCCTTCGTTGGAAACGGGTTTTTTTCATGTAAGGATAGACAGAAGAAATCTCAGTAACTTCCTTGTGTTGTGTGTATTCAACTGACAGAGTTGAACCTTCCTTTAGACAGAGCAGATTCGAAACACTCTTTTTCTGCAATTTGCAAGTGGAGACTTCAAGCGCTTTGAGGCCAAAGGCAGAAAAGGAAATATCTTCGTATAAAAACCCGACAGAATCATTCTCAGAAACTGCTCTGTGATGTGTGCGTTCAACTCACAGAGTTTAACTTTTCTTTTCATTCAGCAGTTTGGAAACACTCTGTTTGTAAAGTCTGCAAGTGGATATCTTGGCCTCTTAGAGGCCTTCGTTGGAAGCGGGTTTTTTCATGTAAGGATAGACAGAGGAATTCCCAGTAACTTCCTTGTGTTGTGTGCATTCAACTCACAGAGTTGAATGATTCTTTACACAGAGCAGATTTGAGACACTCTTTTGGTGGAATTTGTAAGTGGAGAATTCAGCCGCTTTGAGGTCAACGGTAGAAAAGCAAATATCTTCGTATAAAAACTAGACAGAATGATTCTCAGAAACTGTTTTGTGATGTGTGCTTTCAACTCACAGAGTTTAACCTTTCTTTTCAAAGAGCAGTTAGGAAACACTCTGTTTGTAAAGTCTGCAAGTGGATATTCAGACCTCTTTGAGGCCTTCGTTGGAAACGGGATTTCTTCATATTATGCTAGACCGATGAATTCTCAGTAACTTCCTTGTGTTGTGTGTATTCAACTCACAGAGTTAAACGATCCTTTACACAGAGCAGATTTGAAACACTGTTTTTCTGGAATTTGCAAGTGGAGATTTCAGCCGCTTTGAGGTCAATGGTAGAAAAGGAAATATCTTCGTATAAAAACTAGACAGAATGATTCTCAGAAACTCCTTTGTGATGTGTGCGTTCAACTCACAGAGTTTAACCTTTCTTTTCATACAGCATTCTGGAAACCCTGTGTTTGTAAAGTCTGCAAGTGGATATTTGGACCTCTTAGATGCCTTCGTTGGAAACGGGATTTCTTCATATAATGCTAGAGGGAAGAATTCTTAGTAACTTCTTTGTGTTGTGTGTATTCAACTGACAGAGTTGAACCTTCCTTTAGACAGAGCAGATTTGAAAGTCTCTTTTTGTGGAATTTGCAAGTGGAGATTTCAAGCGCTTTGAGGCCAAAAGCAGAAAAGGAAATATTTTCCTATAAAAACTAGACAGAATCTTTCTCAGAAACTGCTCTGGGATGTGTGCGTTCAACTCACAGAGTTTAACTTTTCTTTTCATTCAGCAGTTTGGAAACACTCTGTTTGGAAAGTCTGCACGTGGATATTTTGACCTCTTTGAGGCCTTCGTTGGAAACGGGTTTTTTTCATGTAAGGCTAGACAGAAGAAATCTCAGTAACTTCCTTGTGTTGTGTGTATTCAACTGACAGAGTTGAACCTTCCTTTAGACAGAGCAGATTGGAAACACTCTTGTTCTGCAATTTGCAAGTGGAGACTTCAAGCGCTTTGAGGCCAAAGGCAGAAAAGGAAATATCTTCGTATAAAAACCCGACAGAATCTCTCTCAGCAAACTGCTCTGTGATGTGTGCGTTCAACTCACAGAGTTTAACTTTTCTTTTCATTCAGCAGTTTGGAAACACTCTGTTTGTAAAGTCTGCAAGTGGATATCTTGGCCTCTTAGAGGCCTTCGTTGGAAACGGGTTTTTTCATGTAAGGTTAGACAGAGGAATTCCCAGTAACTTCCTTGTGTTGTGTGCATTCAACTCACAGAGTTGAATGATTCTTTACACAGAGCAGATTTGAGACACTCTTTTGGTGGAATTTGTAAGTGGAGAATTCAGCCGCTTTGAGGTCAACGGTAGAAAAGGAAATATCTTCGTATAAAAACTAGACAGAATGATTCTCAGAAACTGTTTTGTGATGTGTGCGTTCAACTCACAGAGTTTAACCTTTCTTTTCAAAGAGCAGTTAGGAAGCACTCTGTTTGTAAAGTCTGCAAGTGGATATTCAGACCTCTTTGAGGCCTTCGTTGGAAACGGGATTTCTTCATATTATGCTAGACAGATGAATTCTCAGTAACTTCCTTGTGTTGTGTGTATTCAACTCACAGAGTTGAACGATCCTTTACACAGAGCAGATTTGAAACACTGTTTTTCTGGAATTTGCAAGTGGAGATGTCAGCCGCTTTGAGGTCAATGGTAGAAAAGGAAATATCTTCGTATAAAAACTAGACAGAATGATTCTCAGAAACTCCTTTGTGATGTGTGCGTTCAACTCACAGAGTTTAACCTTTCTTTTCACAGAGCAGTTAGGAAACACTCTGTTTGTGAAGCCTGCCAGTGGATATTCGGACCTCTTTGAGGCCTTCGTTGGAAACGGGATTTCTTCATATTATGCTAGACAGAAGATTTCTCAGTAACTACTTTGTGTTGTGTGTATGCAACTCACAGAGTTCAACCTTCCTTTAGACAGAGCAGATTTGAAACACTCTTTTTGTGGAATTTGCAAGTGGAGATTTCAAGCGCTTCGATGCCAATGGTAGAAAAGGAAATATCTTCGTATAAAAACAAGACAAACTCGTTCCCAGACACTGCGTAGTGATGTGTGTGTTTAACTCACAGAGTTTCACCTTTCTTTTCATACAGCATTCTGGAAACCCTGTGTTTGTAAAGTCTGCAAGTGGATATTTGGACCTCTTAGATGCCTTCGTTGGAAACGGGATTTCTTCATATAATGCTAGAGGGAAGAATTCTTAGTAACTTCTTTGTGTTGTGTGTATTCAACTGACAGAGTTGAACCTTCCTTTAGACAGAGCAGATTTGAAAGTCTCTTTTTGTGGAATTTGCAAGTGGAGATTTCAAGCGCTTTGAGGCCAAAAGCAGAAAAGGAAATATTTTCCTATAAAAACTAGACAGAATCTTTCTCAGAAACTGCTCTGGGATGTGTGCGTTCAACTCACAGAGTTTAACTTTTCTTTTCATTCAGCAGTTTGGAAACACTCTGTTTGGAAAGTCTGCACGTGGATATTTTGACCTCTTTGAGGCCTTCGTTGGAAACGGGTTTTTTTCATGTAAGGCTAGACAGAAGAAATCTCAGTAACTTCCTTGTGTTGTGTGTATTCAACTGACAGAGTTGAACCTTCCTTTAGACAGAGCAGATTCGAAACACTCTTTTTCTGCAATTTGCAAGTGGAGACTTCAAGCGCTTTGAGGCCAAAGGCAGAAAAGGAAATATCTTCGTATAAAAACCCGACAGAATCATTCTCAGAAACTGCTCTGTGATGTGTGCGTTCAACTCACAGAGTTTAACTTTTCTTTTCATTCAGCAGTTTGGAAACACTGTGTTTGTAAAGTCTGCAAGTGGATATCTTGGCCTCTTAGAGGCCTTCGTTGGAAACGGGTTTTTTCATGTAAGGTTAGACAGAGGAATTCCCGGTAACTTCCTTGTGTTGTGTGCATTCAACTCACAGAGTTGAATGATTCTTTACACAGAGCAGATTTGAGACACTCTTTTGGTGGAATTTGTAAGTGGAGAATTCAGCCGCTTTGAGGTCAACGGTAGAAAAGGAAATATCTTCGTATAAAAACTAGACAGAATGATTCTCAGAAACTGTTTTGTGATGTGTGCGTTCAACTCACAGAGTTTAACCTTTCTTTTCAAAGAGCAGTTAGGAAACACTCTGTTTGTAAAGTCTGCAAGTGGATATTCAGACCTCTTTGAGGCCTTCGTTGGAAACGGGATTTCTTCATATTATGCTAGACAGATGAATTCTCAGTAACTTCCTTGTGTTGTGTGTATTCAACTCACAGAGTTGAACGATCCTTTACACAGAGCAGATTTGAAACACTGTTTTTCTGGAATTTGTAAGTGGAGATTTCAGCCGCTTTGAGGTCAATGGTAGAAAAGGAAATATCTTCGTATAAAAACTAGACAGAATGATTCTCAGAAACTCCTTTGTGATGTGTGCGTTCAACTCACAGAGTTTAACCTTTCTTTTCACAGAGCAGTTAGGAAACACTCTGTTTGTGAAGCCTGCCAGTGGATATTCGGACCTCTTTGAGGCCTTCGTTGGAAACGGGATTTCTTCATATTATGCTAGACAGAAGATTTCTCAGTAACTTCTTTGTGTTGTGTGTATGCAACTCACAGAGTTCAACCTTCCTTTAGACAGAGCAGATTTGAAACACTCTTTTTGTGGAATTTGCAAGTGGAGATTTCAAGCGCTTCGATGCCAATGGTAGAAAAGGAAATATCTTCGTATAAAAACAAGACAAACTCGTTCCCAGACACTGCGTAGTGATGTGTGTGTTTAACTCACAGAGTTTAACCTTTCTTTTCATACAGCATTCTGGAAACCCTCTGTTTGTAAAGTCTGCAAGTGGATATTTGGACCTCTTAGATGCCTTCGTTGGAAACGGGATTTCTTCATATAATGCTAGAGGGAAGAATTCTTAGTAACTTCTTTGTGTTGTGTGTATTCAACTGACAGAGTTGAACCTTCCTTTAGACAGAGCAGATTTGAAAGTCTCTTTTTGTGGAATTTGCAAGTGGAGATTTCAAGCGCTTTGAGGCCAAAAGCAGAAAAGGAAATATTTTCCTATAAAAACTCGACAGAATCTTTCTCAGAAACTGCTCTGGGATGTGTGCGTTCAACTCACAGAGTTTAACTTTTCTTTTCATTCAGCAGTTTGGAAACACTCTGTTTGGAAAGTCTGCACGTGGATATTTTGACCTCTTTGAGGCCTTCGTTGGAAACGGGTTTTTTTCATGTAAGGCTAGACAGAAGAAATCTCAGTAACTTCCTTGTGTTGTGTGTATTCAACTGACAGAGTTGAACCTTCCTTTAGACAGAGCAGATTCGAAACACTCTTTTTCTGCAATTTGCAAGTGGAGACTTCAAGCGCTTTGAGGCCAAAGGCAGAAAAGGAAATATCTTCGTATAAAAACCCGACAGAATCATTCTCAGAAACTGCTCTGTGATGTGTGCGTTCAACTCACAGAGTTTAACTTTTCTTTTCATTCAGCAGTTTGGAAACACTCTGTTTGTAAAGTCTGCAAGTGGATATCTTGGCCTCTTAGAGGCCTTCGTTGGAAACGGGTTTTTTCATGTAAGGTTAGACAGAGGAATTCCCAGTAACTTCCTTGTGTTGTGTGCATTCAACTCACAGAGTTGAATGATTCTTTACACAGAGCAGATTTGAGACACTCTTTTGGTGGAATTTGTAAGTGGAGAATTCAGCCGCTTTGAGGTCAACGGTAGAAAAGGAAATATCTTCGTAGAAAAACTAGACAGAATGATTCTCAGAAACTGTTTTGTGATGTGTGCGTTCAACTCACAGAGTTTAACCTTTCTTTTCAAAGAGCAGTTAGGAAACACTCTGTTTGTAAAGTCTGCAAGTGGATATTCAGACCTCTTTGAGGCCTTCGTTGGAAACGGGATTTCTTCATATTATGCTAGACAGATGAATTCTCAGTAACTTCCTTGTGTTGTGTGTATTCAACTCACAGAGTTGAACGATCCTTTACACAGAGCAGATTTGAAACACTGTTTTTCTGGAAATTGCAAGTGGAGATTTCAGCCGCTTTGAGGTCAATGGTAGAAAAGGAAATATCTTCGTATAAAAACTAGACAGAATGATTCTCAGAAACTCCTTTGTGATGTGTGCGTTCAACTCACAGGGTTTAACCTTTCTTTTCACAGAGCAGTTAGGAAACACTCTGTTTGTGAAGCCTGCCAGTGGATATTCGGACCTCTTTGAGGCCTTCGTTGGAAACGGGATTTCTTCATATTATGCTAGACAGAAGATTTCTCAGTAACTTCTTTGTGTTGTGTGTATGCAACTCACAGAGTTCAACCTTCCTTTAGACAGAGCAGATTTGAAACACTCTTTTTGTGGAATTTGCAAGTGGAGATTTCAAGCGCTTCGATGCCAATGGTAGAAAAGGAAATATCTTCGTATAAAAACAAGACAAACTCGATCCCAGACACTGCGTAGTGATGTGTGTGTTTAACTCACAGAGTTTAACCTTTCTTTTCATACAGCATTCTGGAAACCCTCTGTTTGTAAAGTCTGCAAGTGGATATTTGGACCTCTTAGATGCCTTCGTTGGAAACGGGATTTCTTCATATAATGCTAGAGGGAAGAATTCTTAGTAACTTCTTTGTGTTGTGTGTATTCAACTGACAGAGTTGAACCTTCCTTTAGACAGAGCAGATTTGAAAGTCTCTTTTTGTGGAATTTGCAAGTGGAGATTTCAAGCGCTTTGAGGCCAAAAGCAGAAAAGGAAATATTTTCCTATAAAAACTCGACAGAATCTTTCTCAGAAACTGCTCTGGGATGTGTGCGTTCAACTCACAGAGTTTAACTTTTCTTTTCATTCAGCAGTTTGGAAACACTCTGTTTGGAAAGTCTGCACGTGGATATTTTGACCTCTTTGAGGCCTTCGTTGGAAACGGGTTTTTTTCATGTAAGGCTAGACAGAAGAAATCTCAGTAACTTCCTTGTGTTGTGTGTATTCAACTGACAGAGTTGAACCTTCCTTTAGACAGAGCAGATTCGAAACACTCTTTTTCTGCAATTTGCAAGTGGAGACTTCAAGCGCTTTGAGGCCAAAGGCAGAAAAGGAAATATCTTCGTATAAAAACCCGACAGAATCATTCTCAGAAACTGCTCTGTGATGTGTGCGTTCAACTCACAGAGTTTAACTTTTCTTTTCATTCAGCAGTTTGGAAACACTCTGTTTGTAAAGTCTGCAAGTGGATATCTTGGCCTCTTAGAGGCCTTCGTTGGAAACGGGTTTTTTCATGTAAGGTTAGACAGAGGAATTCCCAGTAACTTCCTTGTGTTGTGTGCATTCAACTCACAGAGTTGAATGATTCTTTACACAGAGCAGATTTGAGACACTCTTTTGGTGGAATTTGTAAGTGGAGAATTCAGCCGCTTTGAGGTCAACGGTAGAAAAGGAAATATCTTCGTATAAAAACTAGACAGAATGATTCTCAGAAACTGTTTTGTGATGTGTGCGTTCAACTCACAGAGTTTAACCTTTCTTTTCAAAGAGCAGTTAGGAAACACTCTGTTTGTAAAGTCTGCAAGTGGATATTCAGACCTCTTTGAGGCCTTCGTTGGAAACGGGATTTCTTCATATTATGCTAGACAGATGAATTCTCAGTAACTTCCTTGTGTTGTGTGTATTCAACTCACAGAGTTGAACGATCCTTTACACAGAGCAGATTTGAAACACTGTTTTTCTGGAATTTGCAAGTGGAGATTTCAGCCGCTTTGAGGTCAATGGTAGAAAAGGAAATATCTTCGTATAAAAACTAGACAGAATGATTCTCAGAAACTCCTTTGTGATGTGTGCGTTCAACTCACAGAGTTTAACCTTTCTTTTCACAGAGCAGTTAGGAAACACTCTGTTTGTGAAGCCTGCCAGTGGATATTCGGACCTCTTTGAGGCCTTCGTTGGAAACGGGATTTCTTCATATTATGCTAGACAGAAGATTTCTCAGTAACTTCTTTGTGTTGTGTGTATGCAACTCACAGAGTTCAACCTTCCTTTAGACAGAGCAGATTTGAAACACTCTTTTTGTGGAATTTGCAAGTGGAGATTTCAAGCGCTTCGATGCCAATGGTAGAAAAGGAAATATCTTCGTATAAAAACAAGACAAACTCGTTCCCAGACACTGCGTAGTGATGTGTGTGTTTAACTCACAGAGTTTAACCTTTCTTTTCATACAGCATTCTGGAAACCCTCTGTTTGTAAAGTCTGCAAGTGGATATTTGGACCTCTTAGATGCCTTCGTTGGAAACGGGATTTCTTCATATAATGCTAGAGGGAGAATTCTTAGTAACTTCTTTGTGTTGTGTGTATTCAACTGACAGAGTTGAACCTTCCTTTAGACAGAGCAGATTTGAAAGTCTCTTTTTGTGGAATTTGCAAGTGGAGATTTCAAGCGCTTTGAGGCCAAAAGCAGAAAAGGAAATATTTTCCTATAAAAACTAGACAGAATCTTTCTCAGAAACTGCTCTGGGATGTGTGCGTTCAACTCACAGAGTTTAACTTTTCTTTTCATTCAGCAGTTTGGAAACACTCTGTTTGGAAAGTCTGCACGTGGATATTTTGACCTCTTTGAGGCCTTCGTTGGAAACGGGTTTTTTTCATGTAAGGCTAGACAGAAGAAATCTCAGTAACTTCCTTGTGTTGTGTGTATTCAACTGACAGAGTTGAACCTTCCTTTAGACAGAGCAGATTCGAAACACTCTTTTTCTGCAATTTGCAAGTGGAGACTTCAAGCGCTTTGAGGCCAAAGGCAGAAAAGGAAATATCTTCGTATAAAAACCCGACAGAATCATTCTCAGAAACTGCTCTGTGATGTGTGCGTTCAACTCACAGAGTTTAACTTTTCTTTTCATTCAGCAGTTTGGAAACACTCTGTAAAGTCTGCAAGTGGATATCTTGGCCTCTTAGAGGCCTTCGTTGGAAGCGGGTTTTTTCATGTAAGGTTAGACAGAGGAATTCCCAGTAACTTCCTTGTGTTGTGTGCATTCAACTCACAGAGTTGAATGATTCTTTACACAGAGCAGATTTGAGACACTCTTTTGGTGGAATTTGTAAGTGGAGAATTCAGCCGCTTTGAGGTCAACGGTAGAAAAGGAAATATCTTCGTATAAAAACTAGACAGAATGATTCTCAGAAACTGTTTTGTGATGTGTGCGTTCAACTCACAGAGTTTAACCTTTCTTTTCAAAGAGCAGTTAGGAAGCACTCTGTTTGTAAAGTCTGCAAGTGGATATTCAGACCTCTTTGAGGCCTTCGTTGGAAACGGGATTTCTTCATATTATGCTAGACAGATGAATTCTCAGTAACTTCCTTGTGTTGTGTGTATTCAACTCACAGAGTTGAACGATCCTTTACACAGAGCAGATTTGAAACACTGTTTTTCTGGAATTTGCAAGTGGAGATTTCAGCCGCTTTGAGGTCAATGGTAGAAAAGGAAATATCTTCGTATAAAAACTAGACAGAATGATTCTCAGAAACTCCTTTGTGATGTGTGCGTTCAACTCACAGAGTTTAACCTTTCTTTTCACAGAGCAGTTAGGAAACACTCTGTTTGTGAAGCCTGCCAGTGGATATTCGGACCTCTTTGAGGCCTTCGTTGGAAACGGGATTTCTTCATATTATGCTAGACAGAAGATTTCTCAGTAACTTCTTTGTGTTGTGTGTATGCAACTCACAGAGTTCAACCTTCCTTTAGACAGAGCAGATTTGAAACACTCTTTTTGTGGAATTTGCAAGTGGAGATTTCAAGCGCTTCGATGCCAATGGTAGAAAAGGAAATATCTTCGTATAAAAACAAGACAAACTCGTTCCCAGACACTGCGTAGTGATGTGTGTGTTTAACTCACAGAGTTTAACCTTTCTTTTCATACAGCATTCTGGAAACCCTCTGTTTGTAAAGTCTGCAAGTGGATATTTGGACCTCTTAGATGCCTTCGTTGGAAACGGGATTTCTTCATATAATGCTAGAGGGAAGAATTCTTAGTAACTTCTTTGTGTTGTGTGTATTCAACTGACAGAGTTGAACCTTCCTTTAGACAGAGCAGATTTGAAAGTCTCTTTTTGTGGAATTTGCAAGTGGAGATTTCAAGCGCTTTGAGGCCAAAAGCAGAAAAGGAAATATTTTCCTATAAAAACTCGACAGAATCTTTCTCAGAAACTGCTCTGTGATGTGTGCGTTCAACTCACAGAGTTTAACTTTTCTTTTCATTCAGCAGTTTGGAAACACTCTGTTTGGAAAGTCTGCACGTGGATATTTTGACCTCTTTGAGGCCTTCATTGGAAACGGGTTTTTTTCATGTAAGGCTAGACAGAAGAAATCTCAGTAACTTCCTTGTGTTGTGTGTATTCAACTGACAGAGTTGAACCTTCCTTTAGACAGAGCAGATTCGAAACACTCTTTTTCTGCAATTTGCAAGTGGAGACTTCAAGCGCTTTGAGGCCAAAGGCAGAAAAGGAAATATCTTCGTATAAAAACCCGACAGAATCATTCTCAGAAACTGCTCTGTGATGTGTGCGTTCAACTCACAGAGTTTAACTTTTCTTTTCATTCAGCAGTTTGGAAACACTCTGTTTGTAAAGTCTGCAAGTGGATATCTTGGCCTCTTAGAGGCCTTCGTTGGAAACGGGTTTTTTCATGTAAGGTTAGACAGAGGAATTCCCAGTAACTTCCTTGTGTTGTGTGCATTCAACTCACAGAGTTGAATGATTCTTTACACAGAGCAGATTTGAGACACTCTTTTGGTGGAATTTGTAAGTGGAGAATTCAGCCGCTTTGAGGTCAACGGTAGAAAAGGAAATATCTTCGTATAAAAACTAGACAGAATGATTCTCAGAAACTGTTTTGTGATGTGTGCTTTCAACTCACAGAGTTTAACCTTTCTTTTCAAAGAGCAGTTAGGAAACACTCTGTTTGTAAAGTCTGCAAGTGGATATTCAGACCTCTTTGAGGCCTTCGTTGGAAACGGGATTTCTTCATATTATGCTAGACAGATGAATTCTCAGTAACTTTCCTTGTGTTGTGTGTATTCAACTCACAGAGTTGAACGATCCTTTACACAGAGCAGATTTGAAACACTGTTTTTCTGGAATTTGCAAGTGGAGATTTCAGCCGCTTTGAGGTCAATGGTAGAAAAGGAAATATGCTTCGTATAAAAACTAGACAGAATGATTCTCAGAAACTCCTTTGTGATGTGTGCGTTCAACTCACAGAGTTTAACCTTTCTTTTCACAGAGCAGTTAGGAAACACTCTGTTTGTGAAGCCTGCCAGTGGATATTCGGACCTCTTTGAGGCCTTCGTTGGAAACGGGATTTCTTCATATTATGCTAGACAGAAGATTTCTCAGTAACTTCTTCGGGTTGTGTGTATGCAACTCACAGAGTTCAACCTTCCTTTAGACAGAGCAGATTTGAAACACTCTTTTTGTGGAATTTGCAAGTGGAGATTTCAAGCGCTTCGATGCCAATGGTAGAAAAGGAAATATCCTTCGTATAAAAACAAGACAAACTCGTTCCCAGACACTGCGTAGTGATGTGTGTGTTTAACTCACAGAGTTTAACCTTTCTTTTCATACAGCATTCTGGAAACCCTCTGTTTGTAAAGTCTGCAAGTGGATATTTGGACCTCTTAGATGCCTTCGTTGGAAACGGGATTTCTTCATATAATGCTAGAGGGAAGAATTCTTAGTAACTTCTTTGTGTTGTGTGTATTCAACTGACAGAGTTGAACCTTCCTTTAGACAGAGCAGATTTGAAAGTCTCTTTTTGTGGAATTTGCAAGTGGAGATTTCAAGCGCTTTGAGGCCAAAAGCAGAAAAGGAAATATTTTCCTATAAAAACTAGAGAGAATCATTCTCAGAAACTGCTCTGTGATGTGTGTGTTCAACTCACAGAGTTTAACTTTCTTTTCATTCAGCAGTTTGGAAACACTCTGTTTGGAAAGTCTGCACGTGGATATTTTGACCTCTTTGAGGCCTTCGTTGGAAACGGGTTTTTTTCATGTAAGGCTAGACAGAAGAAATCTCAGTAACTTCCTTGTGTTGTGTGTATTTAACTGACAGAGTTGAACCTTCCTTTAGACAGAGCAGATTCGAAACGCTCTTTTTCTGCAATTTGCAAGTGGAGACTTCAAGCGCTTTGAGGCCAAGGCAGAAAAGGAAATATCTTCGTATAAAAACCCGACAGAATCATTCTCAGAAACTGCTCTGTGATGTGTGCGTTCAACTCACAGAGTTTAACTTTTCTTTTCATTCAGCAGTTTGGAAACACTCTGTTTGTAAAGTCTGCAAGTGGATATCTTGGCCTCTTAGAGGCCTTCGTTGGAAACGCGTTTTTTCATGTAAGGTTAGACAGAGGAATTCCCAGTAACTTCCTTGTGTTGTGTGCATTCAACTCACAGAGTTGAATGATTCTTTACACAGAGCAGATTTGAGACACACTTTTGGTGGAATTTGTAAGTGGAGAATTCAGCCGCTTTGAGGTCAACGGTAGAAAAGGAAATATCTTCGTATAAAAACTAGAAAGAATGATTCTCAGAAACTGTTTTGTGATGTGTGCGTTCAACTCACAGAGTTTAACCTTTCTTTTCAAAGAGCAGTTAGGAAACACTCTGTTTGTAAAGTCTGCAAGTGGATATTCAGACCTCTTTGAAGCCTTCGTTGGAAACGGGATTTCATCATATTATGCTAGACAGATGAATTCTCAGTAACTTCCTTGTGTTGTGTGTATTCAACTCACAGAGTTGAACGATCCTTTACACAGAGCAGATTTGAAACACTGTTTTTCTGGAATTTGCAAGTGGAGATTTCAGCCGCTTTGAGGTCAATGGTAGAAAAGGAAATATCTTCGTATAAAAACTGGACAGAATGATTCTCAGAAACTCCTTTGTGATGTGTTCGTTCAACTCACAGAGTTTAACCTTTCTTTTCACAGAGCAGTTAGGAAACACTCTGTTTGTGAAGCCTGCCAGTGGATATTCGGACCTCTTTGAGGCCTTCGTTGGAAACGGGATTTCTTCATATTTTGCTAGACAGAAGATTTCTCAGTAACTTCTTTGTGTTGTGTGTATGCAACTCACAGAGTTCAACCTTCCTTTAGACAGAGCAGATTTGAAACACTCTTTTTGTGGAATTTGCAAGTGGAGATTTCAAGCGCTTCGATGCCAATGGTAGAAAAGGAAATATCTTCGTATAAAAACAAGGCAAACTCGTTCCCAGACACTGCGTAGTGATGTGTGTGTTTAACTCACAGAGTTTAACCTTTCTTTTCATACAGCATTCTGGAAACCCTGTGTTTGTAAAGTCTGCAAGTGGATATTTGGACCTCTTAGATGCCTTCGTTGGAAACGGGATTTCTTCATATAATGCTAGAGGGAAGAATTCTTAGTAACTTCTTTGTGTTGTGTGTATTCAACTGACAGAGTTGAACCTTCCTTTAGACAGAGCAGATTTGAAAGTCTCTTTTTGTGGAATTTGCAAGTGGAGATTTCAAGCGCTTTGAGGCCAAAAGCAGAAAAGGAAATATTTTCCTATAAAAACTAGACAGAATCTTTCTCAGAAACTGCTCTGGGATGTGTGCGTTCAACTCACAGAGTTTAACTTTTCTTTTCATTCAGCAGTTTGGAAACACTCTGTTTGGAAAGTCTGCACGTGGATATTTTGACCTCTTTGAGGCCTTCGTTGGAAACGGGTTTTTTTCATGTAAGGCTAGACAGAAGAAATCTCAGTAACTTCCTTGTGTTGTGTGTATTCAACTGACAGAGTTGAACCTTCCTTTAGACAGAGCAGATTCGAAACACTCTTTTTCTGCAATTTGCAAGTGGAGACTTCAAGCGCTTTGAGGCCAAAGGCAGAAAAGGAAATATCTTCGTATAAAAACCCGACAGAATCATTCTCAGAAACTGCTCTGTGATGTGTGCGTTCAACTCACAGAGTTTAACTTTTCTTTTCATTCAGCAGTTTGGAAACACTCTGTTTGTAAAGTCTGCAAGTGGATATCTTGGCCTCTTAGAGGCCTTCGTTGGAAGCGGGTTTTTTCATGTAAGGATAGACAGAGGAATTCCCAGTAACTTCCTTGTGTTGTATGCATTCAACTCACAGAGTTGAATGATTCTTTACACAGAGCAGATTTGAGACACTCTTTTGGTGGAATTTGTAAGTGGAGAATTCAGCCGCTTTGAGGTCAACGGTAGAAAAGGAAATATCTTCGTATAAAAACTAGAAAGAATGATTCTCAGAAACTGTTTTGTGATGTGTGCTTTCAACTCACAGAGTTTAACCTTTCTTTTCAAAGAGCAGTTAGGAAACACTCTGTTTGTAAAGTCTGCAAGTGGATATTCAGACCTCTTTGAGGCCTTCGTTGGAAACGGGATTTCTTCATATTATGCTAGACAGATGAATTCTCAGTAACTTCCTTGTGTTGTGTGTATTCAACTCACAGAGTTGAACCATCCTTTACACAGAGCAGATTTGAAACACTGTTTTTCTGGAATTTGCAAGTGGAGATTTCAGCTGCTTTGAGGTCAATGGTAGAAAAGGAAATATCTTCGTATAAAAACTAGACAGAATGATTCTCAGAAACTCCTTTGTGATGTGTGCGTTCAACTCACAGAAGTTTAACCTTTCTTTTCACAGAGCAGTTAGGAAACACTCTGTTTGTGAAGCCTGCCAGTGGATATTCGGACCTCTTTGAGGCCTTCGTTGGAAACGGGATTTCTTCATATTTTGCTAGACAGAAGATTTCTCAGTAACTTCTTTGTGTTGTGTGTATGCAACTCACAGAGTTCAACCTTCCTTTAGACAGAGCAGATTTGAAACACTCTTTTTGTGGAATTTGCAAGTGGAGATTTCAAGCGCTTCGATGCCAATGGTAGAAAAGGAAATATCTTCGTATAAAAACAAGACAAACTCGTTCCCAGACACTGCGTAGTGATGTGTGTGTTTAACTCACAGAGTTTCACCTTTCTTTTCATACAGCATTCTGGAAACCCTGTGTTTGTAAAGTCTGCAAGTGGATATTTGGACCTCTTAGATGCCTTCGTTGGAAACGGGATTTCTTCATATAATGCTAGAGGGAAGAATTCTTAATAACTTCTTTGTGTTGTGTGTATTCAACTGACAGAGTTGAACCTTCCTTTAGACAGAGCAGATTTGAAAGTCTCTTTTTGTGGAATTTGCAAGTGGAGATTTCAAGCGCTTTGAGGCCAAAAGCAGAAAAGGAAATATTTTCCTATAAAAACTCGACAGAATCTTTCTCAGAAACTGCTCTGGGATGTGTGCGTTCAACTCACAGAGTTTAACTTTTCTTTTCATTCAGCAGTTTGGAAACACTCTGTTTGGAAAGTCTGCACGTGGATATTTTGACCTCTTTGAGGCCTTCGTTGGAAACGGGTTTTTTTCATGTAAGGCTAGACAGAAGAAATCTCAGTAACTTCCTTGTGTTGTGTGTATTCAACTGACAGAGTTGAACCTTCCTTTAGACAGAGCAGATTCGAAACACTCTTTTTCTGCAATTTGCAAGTGGAGACTTCAAGCGCTTTGAGGCCAAAGGCAGAAAAGGAAATATCTTCGTATAAAAACCCGACAGAATCATTCTCAGAAACTGCTCTGTGATGTGTGCGTTCAACTCACAGAGTTTAACTTTTCTTTTCATTCAGCAGTTTGGAAACACTCTGTTTGTAAAGTCTGCAAGTGGATATCTTGGCCTCTTAGAGGCCTTCGTTGGAAGCGGGTTTTTTCATGTAAGGATAGACAGAGGAATTCCCAGTAACTTCCTTGTGTTGTGTGCATTCAACTCACAGAGTTGAATGATTCTTTACACAGAGCAGATTTGAGACACTCTTTTGGTGGAATTTGTAAGTGGAGAATTCAGCCGCTTTGAGGTCAACGGTAGAAAAGGAAATATCTTCGTATAAAAACTAGACAGAATGATTCTCAGAAACTGTTTTGTGATGTGTGCGTTCAACTCACAGAGTTTAACCTTTCTTTTCAAAGAGCAGTTAGGAAACACTCTGTTTGTAAAGTCTGCAAGTGGATATTCAGACCTCTTTGAGGCCTTCGTTGGAAACGGGATTTCTTCATATTATGCTAGACAGATGAATTCTCAGTAACTTCCTTGTGTTGTGTGTATTCAACTCACAGAGTTGAACGATCCTTTACACAGAGCAGATTTGAAACACTGTTTTTCTGGAATTTGCAAGTGGAGATTTCAGCCGCTTTGAGGTCAATGGTAGAAAAGGAAATATCTTCGTATAAAAACTAGACAGAATGATTCTCAGAAACTCCTTTGTGATGTGTGCGTTCAACTCACAGGGTTTAACCTTTCTTTTCACAGAGCAGTTAGGAAACACTCTGTTTGTGAAGCCTGCCAGTGGATATTCGGACCTCTTTGAGGCCTTCGTTGGAAACGGGATTTCTTCATATTATGCTAGACAGAAGATTTCTCAGTAACTTCTTTGTGTTGTGTGTATGCAACTCACAGAGTTCAACCTTCCTTTAGACAGAGCAGATTTGAAACACTCTTTTTGTGGAATTTGCAAGTGGAGATTTCAAGCGCTTCGATGCCAATGGTAGAAAAGGAAATATCTTCGTATAAAAACAAGACAAACTCGTTCCCAGACACTGCGTAGTGATGTGTGTGTTTAACTCACAGAGTTTCACCTTTCTTTTCATACAGCATTCTGGAAACCCTCTGTTTGTAAAGTCTGCAAGTGGATATTTGGACCTCTTAGATGCCTTCGTTGCAAACGGGATTTCTTCATATAATGCTAGAGGGAAGAATTCTTAGTAACTTCTTTGTGTTGTGTGTATTCAACTGACAGAGTTGAACCTTCCTTTAGACAGAGCAGATTTGAAAGTCTCTTTTTGTGGAATTTGCAAGTGGAGATTTCAAGCGCTTTGAGGCCAAAAGCAGAAAAGGAAATATTTTCCTATAAAAACTCGACAGAATCTTTCTCAGAAACTGCTCTGGGATGTGTGCGTTCAACTCACAGAGTTTAACTTTTCTTTTCATTCAGCAGTTTGGAAACACTCTGTTTGGAAAGTCTGCACGTGGATATTTTGACCTCTTTGAGGCCTTCGTTGGAAACGGGTTTTTTTCATGTAAGGCTAGACAGAAGAAATCTCAGTAACTTCCTTGTGTTGTGTGTATTCAACTGACAGAGTTGAACCTTCCTTTAGACAGAGCAGATTCGAAACACTCTTTTTCTGCAATTTGCAAGTGGAGACTTCAAGCGCTTTGAGGCCAAAGGCAGAAAAGGAAATATCTTCGTATAAAAACCCGACAGAATCATTCTCAGAAACTGCTCTGTGATGTGTGCGTTCAACTCACAGAGTTTAACTTTTCTTTTCATTCAGCAGTTTGGAAACACTCTGTTTGTAAAGTCTGCAAGTGGATATCTTGGCCTCTTAGAGGCCTTCGTTGGAAGCGGGTTTTTTCATGTAAGGTTAGACAGAGGAATTCCCACTAACTTCCTTGTGTTGTGTGCATTCAACTCACAGAGTTGAATGATTCTTTACACAGAGCAGATTTGAGACACTCTTTTGGTGGAATTTGTAAGTGGAGAATTCAGCCGCTTTGATGTCAACGGTAGAAAAGGAAATATCTTCGTATAAAAACTAGACAGAATGATTCTCAGAAACTGTTTTGTGATGTGTGCTTTCAACTCACAGAGTTTAACCTTTCTTTTCAAAGAGCAGTTAGGAAACACTCTGTTTGTAAAGTCTGCAAGTGGATATTCAGACCTCTTTGAGGCCTTCGTTGGAAACGGGATTTCTTCATATTATGCTAGACAGATGAATTCTCAGTAACTTCCTTGTGTTGTGTGTATTCAACTCACAGAGTTAAACGATCCTTTACACACAGCAGATTTGAAACACTGTTTTTCTGGAATTTGCAAGTGGAGATTTCAGCCGATTTGAGGTCAATGGTAGAAAAGGAAATATCTTCGTATAAAAACTAGACAGAATGATTCTCAGAAACTCCTTTGTGATGTGTGCGTTCAACTCACAGAGTTTAACCTTTCTTTTCACAGAGCAGTTAGGAAACACTCTGTTTGTGAAGCCTGCCAGTGGATATTCGGACCTCTTTGAGGCCTTCGTTGGAAACGGGATTTCTTCATATTATGCTAGACAGAAGATTTCTCAGTAACTTCTTTGTGTTGTGTGTATGCAACTCACAGAGTTCAACCTTCCTTTAGACAGAGCAGATTTGAAACACTCTTTTTGTGGAATTTGCAAGTGGAGATTTCAAGCGCTTCGATGCCAATGGTAGAAAAGGAAATATCTTCGTATAAAAACAAGACAAACTCGTTCCCAGACACTGCGTAGTGATGTGTGTGTTTAACTCACAGAGTTTCACCTTTCTTTTCATACAGCATTCTGGAAACCCTGTGTTTGTAAAGTCTGCAAGTGGATATTTGGACCTCTTAGATGCCTTCGTTGGAAACGGGATTTCTTCATATAATGCTAGAGGGAAGAATTCTTAGTAACTTCTTTGTGTTGTGTGTATTCAACTGACAGAGTTGAACCTTCCTTTAGACAGAGCAGATTTGAAAGTCTCTTTTTGTGGAATTTGCAAGTGGAGATTTCAAGCGCTTTGAGGCCAAAAGCAGAAAAGGAAATATTTTCCTATAAAAACTCGACAGAATCTTTCTCAGAAACTGCTCTGGGATGTGTGCGTTCAACTCACAGAGTTTAACTTTTCTTTTCATTCAGCAGTTTGGAAACACTCTGTTTGGAAAGTCTGCACGTGGATATTTTGACCTCTTTGAGGCCTTCGTTGGAAACGGGTTTTTTTCATGTAAGGCTAGACAGAAGAAATCTCAGTAACTTCCTTGTGTTGTGTGTATTCAACTGACAGAGTTGAACCTTCCTTTAGACAGAGCAGATTCGAAACACTCTTTTTCTGCAATTTGCAAGTGGAGACTTCAAGCGCTTTGAGGCCAAAGGCAGAAAAGGAAATATCTTCGTATAAAAACCCGACAGAATCATTCTCAGAAACTGCTCTGTGATGTGTGCGTTCAACTCACAGAGTTTAACTTTTCTTTTCATTCAGCAGTTTGGAAACACTCTGTTTGTAAAGTCTGCAAGTGGATATCTTGGCCTCTTAGAGGCCTTCGTTGGAAACGGGTTTTTTCATGTAAGGTTAGACAGAGGAATTCCCAGTAACTTCCTTGTGTTGTGTGCATTCAACTCACAGAGTTGAATGATTCTTTACACAGAGCAGTTTTGAGACACTCTTTTGGTGGAATTTGTAAGTGGAGAATTCAGCCGCTTTGAGGTCAACGGTAGAAAAGGAAATATCTTCGTATAAAAACTAGACAGAATGATTCTCAGAAACTGTTTTGTGATGTGTGCGTTCAACTCACAGAGTTTAACCTTTCTTTTCAAAGAGCAGTTAGGAAACACTCTGTTTGTAAAGTCTGCAAGTGGATATTCAGACCTCTTTGAGGCCTTCGTTGGAAACGGGATTTCTTCATATTATGCTAGACAGATGAATTCTCAGTAACTTCCTTGTGTTGTGTGTATTCAACTCACAGAGTTGAACGATCCTTTACACAGAGCAGATTTGAAACACTGTTTTTCTGGAATTTGCAAGTGGAGATGTCAGCCGCTTTGAGGTCAATGGTAGAAAAGGAAATATCTTCGTATAAAAACTAGACAGAATGATTCTCAGAAACTCCTTTGTGATGTGTGCGTTCAACTCAGAGTTTAACCTTTCTTTTCACAGAGCAGTTAGGAAACACTCTGTTTGTGAAGCCTGCCAGTGGATATTCGGACCTCTTTGAGGCCTTCGTTGGAAACGGGATTTCTTCATATTATGCTAGACAGAAGATTTCTCAGTAACTTCTTTGTGTTGTGTGTATGCAACTCACAGAGTTCAACCTTCCTTTAGACAGAGCAGATTTGAAACACTCTTTTTGTGGAATTTGCAAGTGGAGATTTCAAGCGCTTCGATGCCAATGGTAGAAAAGGAAATATCTTCGTATAAAAACAAGACAAACTCGTTCCCAGACACTGCGTAGTGATGTGTGTGTTTAACTCACAGAGTTTCACCTTTCTTTTCATACAGCATTCTGGAAACCCTGTGTTTGTAAAGTCTGCAAGTGGATATTTGGACCTCTTAGATGCCTTCGTTGGAAACGGGATTTCTTCATATAATGCTAGAGGGAAGAATTCTTAGTAACTTCTTTGTGTTGTGTGTATTCAACTGACAGAGTTGAACCTTCCTTTAGACAGAGCAGATTTGAAAGTCTCTTTTTGTGGAATTTGCAAGTGGAGATTTCAAGCGCTTTGAGGCCAAAAGCAGAAAAGGAAATATTTTCCTATAAAAACTCGACAGAATCTTTCTCAGAAACTGCTCTGGGATGTGTGCGTTCAACTCACAGAGTTTAACTTTTCTTTCCATTCAGCAGTTTGGAAACACTCTGTTTGGAAAGTCTGCACGTGGATATTTTGACCTCTTTGAGGCCTTCGTTGGAAACGGGTTTTTTTCATGTAAGGCTAGACAGAAGAAATCTCAGTAACTTCCTTGTGTTGTGTGTATTCAACTGACAGAGTTGAACCTTCCTTTAGACAGAGCAGATTCGAAACACTCTTTTTCTGCAATTTGCAAGTGGAGACTTCAAGCGCTTTGAGGCCAAAGGCAGAAAAGGAAATATTTTCGTATAAAAACCCGACAGAATCATTCTCAGAAACTGCTCTGTGATGTGTGCGTTCAACTCACAGAGTTTAACTTTTCTTTTCATTCAGCAGTTTGGAAACACTCTGTAAAGTCTGCAAGTGGATATCTTGGCCTCTTAGAGGCCTTCGTTGGAAGCGGGTTTTTTCATGTAAGGTTAGACAGAGGAATTCCCAGTAACTTCCTTGTGTTGTGTGCATTCAACTCACAGAGTTGAATGATTCTTTACACAGAGCAGATTTGAGACACTCTTTTGGTGGAATTTGTAAGTGGAGAATTCAGCCGCTTTGAGGTCAACGGTAGAAAAGGAAATATCTTCGTATAAAAACTAGACAGAATGATTCTCAGAAACTGTTTTGTGATGTGTGCGTTCAACTCACAGAGTTTAACCTTTCTTTTCAAAGAGCAGTTAGGAAACACTCTGTTTGTAAAGTCTGCAAGTGGATATTCAGACCTCTTTGAGGCCTTCGTTGGAAACGGGATTTCTTCATATTATGCTAGACAGATGAATTCTCAGTAACTTCCTTGTGTTGTGTGTATTCAACTCACAGAGTTGAACGATCCTTTACACAGAGCAGATTTGAAACACTGTTTTTCTGGAATTTGCAAGTGGAGATTTCAGCCGCTTTGAGGTCAATGGTAGAAAAGGAAATATCTTCGTATAAAAACTAGACAGAATGATTCTCAGAAACTCCTTTGTGATGTGTGCGTTCAACTCACAGAGTTTAACCTTTCTTTTCACAGAGCAGTTAGGAAACACTCTGTTTGTGAAGCCTGCCAGTGGATATTCGGACCTCTTTGAGGCCTTCGTTGGAAACGGGATTTCTTCATATTATGCTAGACAGAAGATTTCTCAGTAACTTCTTTGTGTTGTGTGTATGCAACTCACAGAGTTCAACCTTCCTTTAGACAGAGCAGATTTGAAACACTCTTTTTGTGGAATTTGCAAGTGGAGATTTCAAGCGCTTCGATGCCAATGGTAGAAAAGGAAATATCTTCGTATAAAAACAAGACAAACTCGTTCCCAGACACTGCGTAGTGATGTGTGTGTTTAACTCACAGAGTTTCACCTTTCTTTTCATACAGCATTCTGGAAACCCTCTGTTTGTAAAGTCTGCAAGTGGATATTTGGACCTCTTAGATGCCTTCGTTGGAAACGGGATTTCTTCATATAATGCTAGAGGGAAGAATTCTTAGTAACTTCTTTGTGTTGTGTGTATTCAACTGACAGAGTTGAACCTTCCTTTAGACAGAGCAGATTTGAAAGTCTCTTTTTGTGGAATTTGCAAGTGGAGATTTCAAGCGCTTTGAGGCCAAAAGCAGAAAAGGAAATATTTTCCTATAAAAACTAGACAGAATCATTCTCAGAAACTGCTCTGTGATGTGTGTGTTCAACTCACAGAGTTTAACTTTCTTTTCATTCAGCAGTTTGGAAACACTCTGTTTGGAAAGTCTGCACGTGGATATTTTGACCTCTTTGAGGCCTTCGTTGGAAACGGGTTTTTTCATGTAAGGCTAGACAGAAGAAATCTCAGTAACTTCCTTGTGTTGTGTGTATTCAACTGACAGAGTTGAACCTTCCTTTAGACAGAGCAGATTCGAAACACTCTTTTTCTGCAATTTCCAAGTGGAGACTTCAAGCGCTTTGAGGCCAAAGGCAGAAAAGGAAATATCTTCGTATAAAAACCCGACAGAATCATTCTCAGAAACTGCTCTGTGATGTGTGCGTTCAACTCACAGAGTTTAACTTTTCTTTTCATTCAGCAGTTTGGAAACACTCTGTTTGTAAAGTCTGCAAGTGGATATCTTGGCCTCTTAGATGCCTTCGTTGGAAACGGTTTTTTTCATGTAAGGTTAGACAGAGGAATTCCCAGTAACTTCCTTGTGTTGTGTGCATTCAACTCACAGAGTTGAACGATTCTTTACACAGAGCAGATTTGAGACACTCTTTTGGTGGAATTTGTAAGTGGAGAATTCAGCCGCTTTGAGGTCAACGGTAGAAAAGGAAATATCTTCGTATAAAAACTAGACAGAATGATTCTCAGAAACTGTTTTGTGATGTGTGCGTTCAACTCACAGAGTTTAACCTTTCTTTTCAAAGAGCAGTTAGGAAACACTCTGTAAAGTCTGCAAGTGGATATTCAGACCTCTTTGAGGCCTTCGTTGGAAACGGGATTTCTTCATATTATGCTAGACAGATGAATTCTCAGTAACTTCCTTGTGTTGTGTGTATTCAACTCACAGAGTTGAACGATCCTTTACACAGAGCAGATTTGAAACACTGTTTTTCTGGAATTTGCAAGTGGAGATTTCAGCCGCTTTGAGGTCAATGGTAGAAAAGGAAATATCTTCGTATAAAAACTAGACAGAATGATTCTCAGAAACTCCTTTGTGATGTGTGCGTTCAACTCACAGGGTTTAACCTTTCTTTTCACAGAGCAGTTAGGAAACACTCTGTTTGTGAAGCCTGCCAGTGGATATTCGGACCTCTTTGAGGCCTTCGTTGGAAACGGGATTTCTTCATATTATGCTAGACAGAAGATTTCTCAGTAACTTCTTTGTGTTGTGTGTATGCAACTCACAGAGTTCAACCTTCCTTTAGACAGAGCAGATTTGAAACACTCTTTTTGTGGAATTTGCAAGTGGAGATTTCAAGCGCTTCGATGCCAATGGTAGAAAAGGAAATATCTTCGTATAAAAACAAGACAAACTCGTTCCCAGACACTGCGTAGTGATGTGTGTGTTTAACTCACAGAGTTTCACCTTTCTTTTCATACAGCATTCTGGAAACCCTCTGTTTGTAAAGTCTGCAAGTGGATATTTGGACCTCTTAGATGCCTTCGTTGCAAACGGGATTTCTTCATATAATGCTAGAGGGAAGAATTCTTAGTAACTTCTTTGTGTTGTGTGTATTCAACTGACAGAGTTGAACCTTCCTTTAGACAGAGCAGATTTGAAAGTCTCTTTTTGTGGAATTTGCAAGTGGAGATTTCAAGCGCTTTGAGGCCAAAAGCAGAAAAGGAAATATTTTCCTATAAAAACTCGACAGAATCTTTCTCAGAAACTGCTCTGGGATGTGTGCGTTCAACTCACAGAGTTTAACTTTTCTTTTCATTCAGCAGTTTGGAAACACTCTGTTTGGAAAGTCTGCACGTGGATATTTTGACCTACTTTGAGGCCTTCGTTGGAAACGGGTTTTTTTCATGTAAGGCTAGACAGAAGAAATCTCAGTAACTTCCTTGTGTTGTGTGTATTCAACTGACAGAGTTGAACCTTCCTTTAGACAGAGCAGATTCGAAACACTCTTTTTCTGCAATTTGCAAGTGGAGACTTCAAGCGCTTTGAGGCCAAAGGCAGAAAAGGAAATATCTTCGTATAAAAACCCGACAGAATCATTCTCAGAAACTGCTCTGTGATGTGTGCGTTCAACTCACAGAGTTTAACTTTTCTTTTCATTCAGCAGTTTGGAAACACTCTGTTTGTAAAGTCTGCAAGTGGATATCTTGGCCTCTTAGAGGCCTTCGTTGGAAACGGGTTTTTTCATGTAAGGTTAGACAGAGGAATTCCCAGTAACTTTCCTTGTGTTGTGTGCATTCAACTCACAGAGTTGAATGATTCTTTACACAGAGCACATTTGAGACACTCTTTTGGTGGAATTTGTAAGTGGAGAATTCAGCCGCTTTGAGGTCAACGGTAGAAAAGGAAATATCTTCGTATAAAAACTAGACAGAATGATTCTCAGAAACTGTTTTGTGATGTGTGCGTTCAACTCACAGAGTTTAACCTTTCTTTTCAAAGAGCAGTTAGGAAACACTCTGTAAAGTCTGCAAGTGGATATTCAGACCTCTTTGAGGCCTTCGTTGGAAACGGGATTTCTTCATATAATGCTAGAGGGAAGAATTCTTAGTAACTTCTTTGTGTTGTGTGTATTCAACTGACAGAGTTGAACCTTCCTTTAGACAGAGCAGATTTGAAAGTCTCTTTTTGTGGAATTTGCAAGTGGAGATTTCAAGCACTTTGAGGCCAAAAGCAGAAAAGGAAATATTTTCCTATAAAAACTAGAGAGAATCATTCTCAGAAACTGCTCTGTGATGTGTGTGTTCAACTCACAGAGTTTAACTTTCTTTTCATTCAGCAGTTTGGAAACACTCTGTTTGGAAAGTCTGCACGTGGATATTTTGACCTCTTTGAGGCCTTCGTTGGAAACGGGTTTTTTTCATGTAAGGCTAGACAGAAGAAATCTCAGTAACTTCCTTGTGTTGTGTGTATTCAACTGACAGAGTTGAACCTTCCTTTAGACAGAGCAGATTCGAAACGCTCTTTTTCTGCAATTTGCAAGTGGAGACTTCAAGCGCTTTGAGGCCAAAGGCAGAAAAGGAAATATCTTCGTATAAAAACCCGACAGAATCATTCTCAGAAACTGCTCTGTGATGTGTGCGTTCAACTCACAGAGTTTAACTTTTCTTTTCATTCAGCAGTTTGGAAACACTCTGTTTGTAAAGTCTGCAAGTGGATATCTTGGCCTCTTAGAGGCCTTCGTTGGAAATGCGTTTTTTCATGTAAGGTTAGACAGAGGAATTCCCAGTAACTTCCTTGTGTTGTGTGCATTCAACTCACAGAGTTGAATGATTCTTTACACAGAGCAGATTTGAGACACACTTTTGGTGGAATTTGTAAGTGGAGAATTCAGCCGCTTTGAGGTCAACGGTAGAAAAGGAAATATCTTCGTATAAAAACTAGAAAGAATGATTCTCAGAAACTGTTTTGTGATGTGTGCGTTCAACTCACAGAGTTTAACCTTTCTTTTCAAAGAGCAGTTAGGAAACACTCTGTTTGTAAAGTCTGCAAGTGGATATTCAGACCTCTTTGAGGCCTTCGTTGGAAACGGGATTTCTTCATATTATGCTAGACAGATGAATTCTCAGTAACTTCCTTGTGTTGTGTGTATTCAACTCACAGAGTTGAACGATCCTTTACACAGAGCAGATTTGAAACACTGTTTTTCTGGAATTTGCAAGTGGAGATGTCAGCCGCTTTGAGGTCAATGGTAGAAAAGGAAATATCTTCGTATAAAAACTAGACAGAATGATTCTCAGAAACTCCTTTGTGATGTGTGCGTTCAACTCACAGAGTTTAACCTTTCTTTTCACAGAGCAGTTAGGAAACACTCTGTTTGTGAAGCCTGCCAGTGGATATTCGGACCTCTTTGAGGCCTTCGTTGGAAACGGGATTTCTTCATATTATGCTAGACAGAAGATTTCTCAGTAACTTCTTTGGGTTGTGTGTATGCAACTCACAGAGTTCAACCTTCCTTTAGAGAGAGCATATTTGAAACACTCTTTTTGTGGAATTTGCAAGTGGAGATTTCAAGCGCTTCGATGCCAATGGTAGAAAAGGAAATATCTTCGTATAAAAACAAGACAAACTCGTTCCCAGACACTGCGTAGTGATGTGTGTGTTTAACTCACAGAGTTTAACCTTTCTTTTCATACAGCATTCTGGAAACCCTGTGTTTGTAAAGTCTGCAAGTGGATATTTGGACCTCTTAGATGCCTTCGTTGGAAACGGGATTTCTTCATATAATGCTAGAGGGAAGAATTCTTAGTAACTTCTTTGTGTTGTGTGTATTCAACTGACAGAGTTGAACCTTCCTTTAGACAGAGCAGATTTGAAAGTCTCTTTTTGTGGAATTTGCACGTGGAGATTTCAAGCGCTTTGAGGCCAAAAGCAGAAAAGGAAATATTTTCCTATAAAAACTCGACAGAATCTTTCTCAGAAACTGCTCTGGGATGTGTGCGTTCAACTCACAGAGTTTAACTTTTCTTTTCATTCAGCAGTTTGGAAACACTCTGTTTGGAAAGTCTGCACGTGGATATTTTGACCTCTTTGAGGCCTTCGTTGGAAACGGGTTTTTTTCATGTAAGGCTAGACAGAAGAAATCTCAGTAACTTCCTTGTGTTGTGTGTATTCAACTGACAGAGTTGAACCTTCCTTTAGACAGAGCAGATTCGAAACACTCTTTTTCTGCAATTTGCAAGTGGAGACTTCAAGCGCTTTGAGGCCAAAGGCAGAAAAGGAAATATCTTCGTATAAAAACCCGACAGAATCATTCTCAGAAACTGCTCTGTGATGTGTGCGTTCAACTCACAGAGTTTAACTTTTCTTTTCATTCAGCAGTTTGGAAACACTCTGTTTGTAAAGTCTGCAAGTGGATATCTTGGCCTCTTAGAGGCCTTCGTTGGAAGCGGGTTTTTTCATGTAAGGTTAGACAGAGGAATTCCCACTAACTTCCTTGTGTTGTGTGCATTCAACTCACAGAGTTGAATGATTCTTTACACAGAGCAGATTTGAGACACTCTTTTGGTGGAATTTGTAAGTGGAGAATTCAGCCGCTTTGAGGTCAACGGTAGAAAAGGAAATATCTTCGTATAAAAACTAGACAGAATGATTCTCAGAAACTGTTTTGTGATGTGTGCTTTCAACTCACAGAGTTTAACCTTTCTTTTCAAAGAGCAGTTAGGAAACACTCTGTTTGTAAAGTCTGCAAGTGGATATTCAGACCTCTTTGAGGCCTTCGTTGGAAACGGGATTTCTTCATATTATGCTAGACAGATGAATTCTCAGTAACTTCCTTGTGTTGTGTGTATTCAACTCACAGAGTTGAACGATCCTTTACACAGAGCAGATTTGAAACACTGTTTTTCTGGAATTTGCAAGTGGAGATTTCAGCCGCTTTGAGGTCAATGGTAGAAAAGGAAATATCTTCGTATAAAAACTAGACAGAATGATTCTCAGAAACTCCTTTGTGATGTGTGCGTTCAACTCACAGAGTTTAACCTTTCTTTTCACAGAGCAGTTAGGAAACACTCTGTTTGTGAAGCCTGCCAGTGGATATTCGGACCTCTTTGAGGCCTTCGTTGGAAACGGGATTTCTTCATATTATGCTAGACAGAAGATTTCTCAGTAACTTCTTTGTGTTGTGTGTATGCAACTCACAGAGTTCAACCTTCCTTTAGAGAGAGCATATTTGAAACACTCTTTTTGTGGAATTTGCAAGTGGAGATTTCAAGCGCTTCGATGCCAATGGTAGAAAAGGAAATATCTTCGTATAAAAACAAGACAAACTCGTTCCCAGACACTGCGTAGTGATGTGTGTGTTTAACTCACAGAGTTTAACCTTTCTTTTCATACAGCATTCTGGAAACCCTGTGTTTGTAAAGTCTGCAAGTGGATATTTGGACCTCTTAGATGCCTTCGTTGGAAACGGGATTTCTTCATATAATGCTAGAGGGAAGAATTCTTAGTAACTTCTTTGTGTTGTGTGTATTCAACTGACAGAGTTGAACCTTCCTTTAGACAGAGCAGATTTGAAAGTCTCTTTTTGTGGAATTTGCAAGTGGAGATTTCAAGCGCTTTGAGGCCAAAAGCAGAAAAGGAAATATTTTCCTATAAAAACTCGACAGAATCTTTCTCAGAAACTGCTCTGGGACGTGTGCGTTCAACTCACAAGAGTTTAACTTTTCTTTTCATTCAGCAGTTTGGAAACACTCTGTTTGGAAAGTCTGCACGTGGATATTTTGACCTCTTTGAGGCCTTCGTTGGAAACGGGTTTTTTTCATGTAAGGCTAGACAGAAGAAATCTCAGTAACTTCCTTGTGTTGTGTGTATTCAACTGACAGAGTTGAACCTTCCTTTAGACAGAGCAGATTCGAAACACTCTTTTTCTGCAATTTGCAAGTGGAGACTTCAAGCGCTTTGAGGCCAAAGGCAGAAAAGGAAATATCTTCGTATAAAAACCCGACAGAATCATTCTCAGAAACTGCTCTGTGATGTGTGCGTTCAACTCACAGAGTTTAACTTTTCTTTTCATTCAGCAGTTTGGAAACACTCTGTTTGTAAAGTCTGCAAGTGGATATCTTGGCCTCTTAGAGGCCTTCGTTGGAAGCGGGTTTTTTCATGTAAGGTTAGACAGAGGAATTCCCAGTAACTTCCTTGTGTTGTGTGCATTCAACTCACAGAGTTGAATGATTCTTTACACAGAGCAGATTTGAGACACTCTTTTGGTGGAATTTGTAAGTGGAGAATTCAGCCGCTTTGAGGTCAACGGTAGAAAAGGAAATATCTTCGTATAAAAACTAGACAGAATGATTCTCAGAAACTGTTTTGTGATGTGTGCGTTCAACTCACAGAGTTTAACCTTTCTTTTCAAAGAGCAGTTAGGAAACACTCTGTTTGTAAAGTCTGCAAGTGGATATTCAGACCTCTTTGAGGCCTTCGTTGGAAACGGGATTTCTTCATATTATGCTAGACAGATGAATTCTCAGTAACTTCCTTGTGTTGTGTGTATTCAACTCACAGAGTTAAACGATCCTTTACACAGAGCAGATTTGAAACACTGTTTTTCTGGAATTTGCAAGTGGAGATTTCAGCCGCTTTGAGGTCAATGGTAGAAAAGGAAATATCTTCGTATAAAAACTAGACAGAATGATTCTCAGAAACTCCTTTGTGATGTGTGCGTTCAACTCACAGAGTTTAACCTTTCTTTTCACAGAGCAGTTAGGAAACACTCTGTTTGTGAAGCCTGCCAGTGGATATTCGGACCTCTTTGAGGCCTTCGTTGGAAACGGGATTTCTTCATATTATGCTAGACAGAAGATTTCTCAGTAACTTCTTTGTGTTGTGTGTATGCAACTCACAGAGTTCAACCTTCCTTTAGACAGAGCAGATTTGAAACACTCTTTTTGTGGAATTTGCAAGTGGAGATTTCAAGCGCTTCGATGCCAATGGTAGAAAAGGAAATATCTTCGTATAAAAACAAGACAAACTCGTTCCCAGACACTGCGTAGTGATGTGTGTGTTTAACTCACAGAGTTTCACCTTTCTTTTCATACAGCATTCTGGAAACCCTGTGTTTGTAAAGTCTGCAAGTGGATATTTGGACCTCTTAGATGCCTTCGTTGGAAACGGGATTTCTTCATATAATGCTAGAGGGAAGAATTCTTAGTAACTTCTTTGTGTTGTGTGTATTCAACTGACAGAGTTGAACCTTCCTTTAGACAGAGCAGATTTGAAAGTCTCTTTTTGTGGAATTTGCAAGTGGAGATTTCAAGCGCTTTGAGGCCGAAAGCAGAAAAGGAAATATTTTCCTATAAAAACTCGACAGAATCTTTCTCAGAAACTGCTCTGGGATGTGTGCGTTCAACTCACAGAGTTTAACTTTTCTTTTCATTCAGCAGTTTGGAAACACTCTGTTTGGAAAGTCTGCACGTGGATATTTTGACCTCTTTGAGGCCTTCGTTGGAAACGGGTTTTTTTCATGTAAGGCTAGACAGAAGAAATCTCAGTAACTTCCTTGTGTTGTGTGTATTCAACTGACAGAGTTGAACCTTCCTTTAGACAGAGCAGATTCGAAACACTCTTTTTCTGCAATTTGCAAGTGGAGACTTCAAGCGCTTTGAGGCCAAAGGCAGAAAAGGAAATATCTTCGTATAAAAACCCGACAGAATCATTCTCAGAAACTGCTCTGTGATGTGTGCGTTCAACTCACAGAGTTTAACTTTTCTTTTCATTCAGCAGTTTGGAAACACTCTGTTTGTAAAGTCTGCAAGTGGATATCTTGGCCTCTTAGAGGCCTTCGTTGGAAACGGGTTTTTTCATGTAAGGTTAGACAGAGGAATTCCCAGTAACTTCCTTGTGTTGTGTGCATTCAACTCACAGAGTTGAATGATTCTTTACACAGAGCAGTTTTGAGACACTCTTTTGGTGGAATTTGTAAGTGGAGAATTCAGCCGCTTTGATGTCAACGGTAGAAAAGGAAATATCTTCGTATAAAAACTAGACAGAATGATTCTCAGAAACTGTTTTGTGATGTGTGCGTTCAACTCACAGAGTTTAACCTTTCTTTTCAAAGAGCAGTTAGGAAACACTCTGTTTGTAAAGTCTGCAAGTGGATATTCAGACCTCTTTGAGGCCTTCGTTGGAAACGGGATTTCTTCATATTATGCTAGACAGATGAATTCTCAGTAACTTCCTTGTGTTGTGTGTATTCAACTCACAGAGTTGAACGATCCTTTACACAGAGCAGATTTGAAACATTGTTTTTCTGGAATTTGCAAGTGGAGATTTCAGCCGCTTTGAGGTCAATGGTAGAAAAGGAAATATCTTCGTATAAAAACTAGACAGAATGATTCTCAGAAACTCCTTTGTGATGTGTGCGTTCAACTCACAGGGTTTAACCTTTCTTTTCACAGAGCAGTTAGGAAACACTCTGTTTGTGAAGCCTGCCAGTGGATATTCGGACCTCTTTGAGGCCTTCGTTGGAAACGGGATTTCTTCATATTATGCTAGACAGAAGATTTCTCAGTAACTTCTTTGTGTTGTGTGTATGCAACTCACAGAGTTCAACCTTCCTTTAGACAGAGCAGATTTGAAACACTCTTTTTGTGGAATTTGCAAGTGGAGATTTCAAGCGCTTCGATGCCAATGGTAGAAAAGGAAATATCTTCGTATAAAAACAAGACAAACTCGTTCCCAGACACTGCGTAGTGATGTGTGTGTTTAACTCACAGAGTTTCACCTTTCTTTTCATACAGCATTCTGGAAACCCTGTGTTTGTAAAGTCTGCAAGTGGATATTTGGACCTCTTAGATGCCTTCGTTGCAAACGGGATTTCTTCATATAATGCTAGAGGGAAGAATTCTTAGTAACTTCTTTGTGTTGTGTGTATTCAACTGACAGAGTTGAACCTTCCTTTAGACAGAGCAGATTTGAAAGTCTCTTTTTGTGGAATTTGCAAGTGGAGATTTCAAGCGCTTTGAGGCCAAAAGCAGAAAAGGATATATTTTCCTATAAAAACTCGACAGAATCTTTCTCAGAAACTGCTCTGGGATGTGTGCGTTCAACTCACAGAGTTTAACTTTTCTTTTCATTCAGCAGTTTGGAAACACTCTGTTTGGAAAGTCTGCACGTGGATATTTTGACCTCTTTGAGGCCTTCGTTGGAAACGGGTTTTTTTCATGTAAGGCTAGACAGAAGAAATCTCAGTAACTTCCTTGTGTTGTGTGTATTCAACTGACAGAGTTGAACCTTCCTTTAGACAGAGCAGATTCGAAACACTCTTTTTCTGCAATTTGCAAGTGGAGACTTCAAGCGCTTTGAGGCCAAAGGCAGAAAAGGAAATATCTTCGTATAAAAACCCGACAGAATCATTCTCAGAAACTGCTCTGTGATGTGTGCGTTCAACTCACAGAGTTTAACTTTTCTTTTCATTCAGCAGTTTGGAAACACTCTGTTTGTAAAGTCTGCAAGTGGATATCTTGGCCTCTTAGAGGCCTTCGTTGGAAACGGGTTTTTTCATGTAAGGTTAGACAGAGGAATTCCCAGTAACTTCCTTGTGTTGTGTGCATTCAACTCACAGAGTTGAATGATTCTTTACACAGAGCAGATTTGAGACACTCTTTTGGTGGAATTTGTAAGTGGAGAATTCAGCCGCTTTGAGGTCAACGGTAGAAAAGGAAATATCTTCGTATAAAAACTAGACAGAATGATTCTCAGAAACTGTTTTGTGATGTGTGCGTTCAACTCACAGAGTTTAACCTTTCTTTTCAAAGAGCAGTTAGGAAACACTCTGTTTGTAAAGTCTGCAAGTGGATATTCAGACCTCTTTGAGGCCTTCGTTGGAAACGGGATTTCTTCATATTATGCTAGACAGATGAATTCTCAGTAACTTCCTTGTGTTGTGTGTATTCAACTCACAGAGTTGAACGATCCTTTACACAGAGCAGATTTGAAACACTGTTTTTCTGGAATTTGCAAGTGGAGATTTCAGCCGCTTTGAGGTCAATGGTAGAAAAGGAAATATCTTCGTATAAAAACTAGACAGAATGATTCTCAGAAACTCCTTTGTGATGTGTGCGTTCAACTCACAGAGTTTAACCTTTCTTTTCACAGAGCAGTTAGGAAACACTCTGTTTGTGAAGCCTGCCAGTGGATATTCGGACCTCTTTGAGGCCTTCGTTGGAAACGGGATTTCTTCATATTATGCCAGACAGAAGATTTCTCAGTAACTTCTTTGTGTTGTGTGTATGCAACTCACAGAGTTCAACCTTCCTTTAGACAGAGCAGATTTGAAACACTCTTTTTGTGGAATTTGCAAGTGGAGATTTCAAGCGCTTCGATGCCAATGGTAGAAAAGGAAATATCTTCGTATAAAAACAAGACAAACTCGTTCCCAGACACTGGGTAGTGATGTGTGTGTTTAACTCACAGAGTTTAACCTTTCTTTTCATACAGCATTCTGGAAACCCTGTGTTTGTAAAGTCTGCAAGTGGATATTTGGACCTCTTAGATGCCTTCGTTGGAAACGGGATTTCTTCATATAATGCTAGAGGGAAGAATTCTTAGTAACTTCTTTGTGTTGTGTGTATTCAACTGACAGAGTTGAACCTTCCTTTAGACAGAGCAGATTTGAAAGTCTCTTTTTGTCGAATTTGCAAGTGGAGATTTCAAGCGCTTTGAGGCCAAAAGCAGAAAAGGAAATATTTTCCTATAAAAACTAGACAGAATCATTCTCAGAAACTGCTCTGTGATGTGTGCGTTCAACTCACAGAGTTTAACTTTTCTTTTCATTCAGCAGTTTGGAAACACTCTGTTTGTAAAGTCTGCCGTGGATATTTTGACCTCTTTGAGGCCTTGGTTGGAAACGGGTTTTTTTCATGTAAGGCTAGACAGAGGAAATCTCAGTAACTTCCTTGTGTTGTGTGTATTCAACTGACAGGGTTGAACCTTCCTTTAGACAGAGCAGATTCCAAACACTCTTTTTCTGCAATTTGCAAGTGGAGACTTCAAGCGCTTTGAGGCCAAAGGCAGAAAAGGAAATATCTTCGTATAAAAACCCGACATAATCACTCTCAGAAACTGCTCTGTGATGTGTGCGTTCAACTCACAGAGTTTAACTTTTCTTTTCATTCAGCAGTTTGGAAACACTCTGTTTGTAAAGTCTGCAAGTGGATATCTTGGCCTCTTAGAGGCCTTCGTTGGAAACGGTTTTTTTCATGTAAGGTTAGACAGAGGAATTCCCAGTAACTTCCTTGTGTTGTGTGCATTCAACTCACAGAGTTGAATGATTCTTTACACAGAGCAGATTTGAGACACTCTTTTGGTGGAATTTGTAAGTGGAGAATTCAGCCGCTTTGAGGTCAACGGTAGAAAAGGAAATATCTTCGTATAAAAACTAGACAGAATGATTCTCAGAAACTGTTTTGTGATGTGTGCGTTCAACTCACAGAGTTTAACCTTTCTTTTCAAAGAGCAGTTAGGAAACACTCTGTTTGTAAAGTCTGCAAGCGGATATTCAGACCTCTTTGAGGCCTTCGTTGGAAACGGGATTTCTTCATATTATGCTAGACAGATGAATTCTCAGTAACTTCCTTGTGTTGTGTGTATTCAACTCACAGAGTTGAACGATCCTTTACACAGAGCAGATTTGAAACACTGTTTTTCTGGAATTTGCAAGTGGAGATTTCAGCCGCTTTGAGGTCAATGGTAGAAAAGGAAATATCTTCGTATAAAACCTAGACAGAATGATTCTCAGAAACTCCTTTGTGATGTGTGCGTTCAACTCACAGAGTTTAACCTTTCTTTTCACAGAGCAGTTAGGAAACACTCTGTTTGTGAAGCCTGCCAGGGGATATTCGGACCTCTTTGAGGCCTTCGTTGGAAACGGGATTTCTTCATATTATGCTAGACAGAAGATTTCTCAGTAACTTCTTTGTGTTGTGTGTATGCAACTCACAGAGTTCAACCTTCCTTTAGACAGAGCAGATTTGAAACACTCTTTTTGTGGAATTTGCAAGTGGAGATTTCAAGCGCTTCGATGCCAATGGTAGAAAAGGAAATATCTTCGTATAAAAACAAGACAAACTCGTTCCCAGACACTGCGTAGTGATGTGTGTGTTTAACTCACAGAGTTTCACCTTTCTTTTCATACAGCATTCTGGAAACCCTCTGTTTGTAAAGTCTGCAAGTGGATATTTGGACCTCTTAGATGCCTTCGTTGGAAACGGGATTTCTTCATATAATGCTAGAGGGAAGAATTCTTAGTAACTTCTTTGTGTTGTGTGTATTCAACTGACAGAGTTGAACCTTCCTTTAGACAGAGCAGATTTGAAAGTCTCTTTTTGTGGAATTTGCAAGTGGAGATTTCAAGCGCTTTGAGGCCAAAAGCAGAAAAGGAAATATTTTCCTATAAAAACTAGACAGAATCTTTCTCAGAAACTGCTCTGGGATGTGTGCGTTCAACTCACAGAGTTTAACTTTTCTTTTCATTCAGCAGTTTGGAAACACTCTGTTTGGAAAGTCTGCACGTGGATATTTTGACCTCTTTGAGGCCTTCGTTGGAAACGGGTTTTTTTCATGTAAGGCTAGACAGAAGGAAATCTCAGTAACTTCCTTGTGTTGTGTGTATTCAACTGACAGAGTTGAACCTTCCTTTAGACAGAGCAGATTCGAAACACTCTTTTTCTGCAATTTCCAAGTGGAGACTTCAAGCGCTTTGAGGCCAAAGGCAGAAAAGGAAATATCTTCGTATAAAAACCCGACAGAATCATTCTCAGAAACTGCTCTGTGATGTGTGCGTTCAACTCACAGAGTTTAACTTTTCTTTTCATTCAGCAGTTTGGAAACACTCTGTTTGTAAAGTCTGCAAGTGGATATCTTGGCCTCTTAGAGGCCTTCGTTGGAAACGGGTTTTTTCATGTAAGGTTAGACAGAGGAATTCCCAGTAACTTCCTTGTGTTGTGTGCATTCAACTCACAGAGTTGAATGATTCTTTACACAGAGCAGATTTGAGACACTCTTTTGGTGGAATTTGTAAGTGGAGAATTCAGCCGCTTTGAGGTCAACGGTAGAAAAGGAAATATCTTCGTATAAAAACTAGACAGAATGATTCTCAGAAACTGTTTTGTGATGTGTGCGTTCAACTCACAGAGTTTAACCTTTCTTTTCAAAGAGCAGTTAGGAAACACTCTGTTTGTAAAGTCTGCAAGTGGATATTCAGACCTCTTTGAGGCCTTCGTTGGAAACGGGATTTCTTCATATTATGCTAGACAGATGAATTCTCAGTAACTTCCTTGTGTTGTGTGTATTCAACTCACAGAGTTGAACGATCCTTTACACAGAGCAGATTTGAAACACTGTTTTTCTGGAATTTGCAAGTGGAGATGTCAGCCGCTTTGAGGTCAATGGTAGAAAAGGAAATATCTTCGTATAAAAACTAGACAGAATGATTCTCAGAAACTCCTTTGTGATGTGTGCGTTCAACTCACAGAGTTTAACCTTTCTTTTCACAGAGCAGTTAGGAAACACTCTGTTTGTGAAGCCTGCCAGTGGATATTCGGACCTCTTTGAGGCCTTCGTTGGAAACGGGATTTCTTCATATTATGCTAGACAGAAGATTTCTCAGTAACTTCTTTGGGTTGTGTGTATGCAACTCACAGAGTTCAACCTTCCTTTAGACAGAGCAGATTTGAAACACTCTTTTTGTGGAATTTGCAAGTGGAGATTTCAAGCGCTTCGATGCCAATGGTAGAAAAGGAAATATCTTCGTATAAAAACAAGACAAACTCGTTCCCAGACACTGCGTAGTGATGTGTGTGTTTAACTCACAGAGTTTCACCTTTCTTTTCATACAGCATTCTGGAAACCCTGTGTTTGTAAAGTCTGCAAGTGGATATTTGGACCTCTTAGATGCCTTCGTTGGAAACGGGATTTCTTCATATAATGCTAGAGGGAAGAATTCTTAGTAACTTCTTTGTGTTGTGTGTATTCAACTGACAGAGTTGAACCTTCCTTTAGACAGAGCAGATTTGAAAGTCTCTTTTTGTGGAATTTGCAAGTGGAGATTTCAAGCGCTTTGAGGCCAAAAGCAGAAAAGGAAATATTTTCCTATAAAAACTAGAGAGAATCTTTCTCAGAAACTGCTCTGGGATGTGTGTGTTCAACTCACAGAGTTTAACTTTCTTTTCATTCAGCAGTTTGGAAACACTCTGTTTGGAAAGTCTGCACGTGGATATTTTGACCTCTTTGAGGCCTTCGTTGGAAACGGGTTTTTTTCATGTAAGGCTAGACAGAAGAAATCTCAGTAACTTCCTTGTGTTGTGTGTATTCAACTGACAGAGTTGAACCTTCCTTTAGACAGAGCAGATTCGAAACACTCTTTTTCTGCAATTTGCAAGTGGAGACTTCAAGCGCTTTGAGGCCAAAGGCAGAAAAGGAAATATCTTCGTATAAAAACCCGACAGAATCATTCTCAGAAACTGCTCTGTGATGTGTGCGTTCAACTCACAGAGTTTAACTTTTCTTTTCATTCAGCAGTTTGGAAACACTCTGTTTGTAAAGTCTGCAAGTGGATATCATGGCCTCTTAGAGGCCTTCATTGGAAAAGGGTTTTTTCATGTAAGGTTAGACAGAGGAATTCCCAGTAACTTCCTTGTGTTGTGTGCATTCAACTCACAGAGTTGAATGATTCTTTACACAGAGCAGATTTGAGACACTCTTTGGGTGGAATTTGTAAGTGGAGAATTCAGCCGCTTTGAGGTCAACGGTAGAAAAGGAAATATCTTCGTATAAAATCTATACAGAAATGATTCTCAGAAACTCCTTTGTGATGTGTGCGTTCAACTCACAGAGTTTAACCTTTCTTTTCAAAGAGCAGTTAGGAAACACTCTGTTTGTAAAGTCTGCAAGCGGATATTCAGACCTCTTTGAGGCCTTCGTTGGAAACGGGATTTCTTCATATTATGCTAGACAGATGAATTCTCAGTAACTTCCTTGTGTTGTGTGTATTCAACTCACAGAGTTGAACGATCCTTTACACAGAGCAGATTTGAAACACTGTTTTTCTGGAATTTGCAAGTGGAGATTTCAGCCGCTTTGAGGTCAATGGTAGAAAAGGAAATATCTTCGTATAAAAACTAGACAGAATGATTCTCAGAAACTCCTTTGTGATGTGTGCGTTCAACTCACAGAGTTTAACCTTTCTTTTCACAGAGCAGTTAGGAAACACTCTGTTTGTGAAGCCTGCCAGTGGATATTCGGACCTCTTTGAGGCCTTCGTTGGAAACGGGATTTCTTCATATTATGCTAGACAGAAGATTTCTCAGTAACTTCTTTGTGTTGTGTGTATGCAACTCACAGAGTTCAACCTTCCTTTAGACAGAGCAGATTTGAAACACTCTTTTTGTGGAATTTGCAAGTGGAGATTTCAAGCGCTTCGATGCCAATGGTAGAAAAGGAAATATCTTCGTATAAAAACAAGACAAACTCGTTCCCAGACACTGCGTAGTGATGTGTGTGTTTAACTCACAGAGTTTAACCTTTCTTTTCATACAGCATTCTGGAAACCCTGTGTTTGTAAAGTCTGCAAGTGGATATTTGGACCTCTTAGATGCCTTCGTTGGAAACGGGATTTCTTCATATAATGCTAGAGGGAAGAATTCTTAGTAACTTCTTTGTGTTGTGTGTATTCAACTGACAGAGTTGAACCTTCCTTTAGACAGAGCAGATTTGAAAGTCTCTTTTTGTGGAATTTGCAAGTGGAGATTTCAAGCGCTTTGAGGCCAAAAGCAGAAAAGGAAATATTTTCCTATAAAAACTCGACAGAATCTTTCTCAGAAACTGCTCTGGGATGTGTGCGTTCAACTCACAGAGTTTAACTTTTCTTTTCATTCAGCAGTTTGGAAACACTCTGTTTGGAAAGTCTGCACGTGGATATTTTGACCTCTTTGAGGCCTTCGTTGGAAACGGGTTTTTTTCATGTAAGGCTAGACAGAAGAAATCTCAGTAACTTCCTTGTGTTGTGTGTATTCAACTGACAGAGTTGAACCTTCCTTTAGACAGAGCAGATTCAAAACACTCTTTTTCTGCAATTTGCAAGTGGAGACTTCAAGCGCTTTGAGGCCAAAGGCAGAAAAGGAAATATCTTCGTATAAAAACCCGACAGAATCATTCTCAGAAACTGCTCTGTGATGTGTGCGTTCAACTCACAGAGTTTAACTTTTCTTTTCATTCAGCAGTTTGGAAACACTCTGTTTGTAAAGTCTGCAAGTGGATATCTTGGCCTCTTAGAGGCCTTCGTTGGAAACGGGTTTTTTCATGTAAGGATAGACACAGGAATTCCCAGTAACTTCCTTGTGTTGTGTGCATTCAACTCACAGAGTTGAATGATTCTTTACACAGAGCAGATTTGAGACACTCTTTTGGTGGAATTTGTAAGTGGAGAATTCAGCCGCTTTGAGGTCAACGGTAGAAAAGGAAATATCTTCGTATAAAAACTAGACAGAATGATTCTCAGAAACTGTTTTGCGATGTGTGCGTTCAACTCACAGAGTTTAACCTTTCTTTTCAAAGAGCAGTTAGGAAACACTCTGTTTGTAAAGTCTGCAAGTGGATATTCAGACCTGTTTGAGGCCTTCGTTGGAAACGGGATTTCTTCATATTATGCTAGACAGATGAATTCTCAGTAACTTCCTTGTGTTGTGTGTATTCAACTCACAGAGTTAAACGATCATTTACACAGAACAGATTTGAAACACTGTTTTTCTGGAATTTGCAAGTTGAGATTTCAGCCGCTTTGAGGTCAATGGTAGAAAAGGAAATATCTTCGTATAAAAACTAGACAGAATGATTCTCAGAAACTCCTTTGTGATGTGTGCGTTCAACTCACAGAGTTTAACCTTTCTTTTCACAGAGCAGTTAGGAAACACTCTGTTTGTGAAGCCTGCCAGTGGATATTCGGACCTCTTTGAGGCCTTCGTTGGAAACGGGATTTCTTCATATTATGCTAGACAGAAGATTTCTCAGTAACTTCTTTGTGTTGTGTGTATGCAACTCACAGAGTTCAACCTTCCTTTAGACAGAGCAGATTTGAAACACTCTTTTTGTGGAATTTGCAAGTGGAGATTTCAAGCGCTTTGAGGCCAAAAGCAGAAAAGGAAATATTTTCCTATAAAAACTAGACAGAATCACTCTCAGAAACTGCTCTGTGATGTGTGCGTTCAACTCACAGAGTTTAACTTTTCTTTTCATTCAGCAGTTTGGAAACACTCTGTTTGTAAAGTCTGCAAGTGGATATCTTGGCCTCTTAGAGGCCTTCGTTGGAAACGGGTTTTTTCATGTAAGGATAGACAGAGGAATTCCCAGTAACTTCCTTGTGTTGTGTGCATTCAACTCACAGAGTTGAATGATTCTTTACACAGAGCAGATTTGAGACACTCTTTTGGTGGAATTTGTAAGTGGAGAATTCAGCCGCTTTGAGGTCAACGGTAGAAAAGGAAATATCTTCGTATAAAAACTAGACAGAATGATTCTCAGAAACTGTTTTGTGATGTGTGCGTTCAACTCACAGAGTTTAACCTTTCTTTTCAAAGAGCAGTTAGGAAACACTCTGTTTGTAAAGTCTGCAAGTGGATATTCAGACCTCTTTGAGGCCTTCGTTGGAAACGGGATTTCTTCATATTATGCTAGACAGATGAATTCTCAGTAACTTCCTTGTGTTGTGTGTATTCAACTCACAGAGTTGAACGATCCTTTACACAGAGCAGATTTGAAACACTGTTTTTCTGGAATTTGCAAGTGGAGATTTCAGCCGCTTTGAGGTCAATGGTAGAAAAGGAAATATCTTCGTATAAAAACTAGACAGAATGATTCTCAGAAACTCCTTTGTGATGTGTGCGTTCAACTCACAGAGTTTAACCTTTCTTTTCACAGAGCAGTTAGGAAACACTCTGTTTGTGAAGCCTGCCAGTGGATATTCGGACCTCTTTGAGGCCTTCGTTGGAAACGGGATTTCTTCATATTATGCTAGACAGAAGATTTCTCAGTAACTTCTTTGTGTTGTGTGTATGCAACTCACAGAGTTCAACCTTCCTTTAGACAGAGCAGATTTGAAACACTCTTTTTGTGGAATTTGCAAGTGGAGATTTCAAGCGCTTCGATGCCAATGGTAGAAAAGGAAATATCTTCGTATAAAAACAAGACAAACTCGTTCCCAGACACTGCGTAGTGATGTGTGTGTTTAACTCACAGAGTTTAACCTTTCTTTTCATACAGCATTCTGGATACCCTGTGTTTGTAAAGTCTGCAAGTGGATATTTGGACCTCTTAGATGCCTTCGTTGGAAACGGGATTTCTTCATATAATGCTAGAGGGAAGAATTCTTAGTAACTTCTTTGTGTTGTGTGTATTCAACTGACAGAGTTGAACCTTCCTTTAGACAGAGCAGATTTGAAAGTCTCTTTTTGTGGAATTTGCAAGTGGAGATTTCAAGCGCTTTGAGGCCAAAAGCAGAAAAGGAAATATTTTCCTATAAAAACTAGAGAGAATCATTCTCAGAAACTGCTCTGTGATGTGTGCGTTCAACTCACAGAGTTTAACTTTCTTTTCATTCAGCAGTTTGGAAACACTGTTTGGAAAGTCTGCACGTGGATATTTTGACCTCTTTGAGGCCTTCGTTGGAAACGGGTTTTTTTCATGTAAGGCTAGACAGAAGAAATCTCAGTAACTTCCTTGTGTTGTGTGTATTCAACTGACAGAGTTGAACCTTCCTTTAGACAGAGCAGATTCGAAACACTCTTTTTCTGCAATTTGCAAGTGGAGACTTCAAGCGCTTTGAGGCCAAAGGCAGAAAAGGAAATATCTTCGTATAAAAACCCGACAGAATCATTCTCAGAAACTGCTCTGTGATGTGTGCGTTCAACTCACAGAGTTTAACTTTTCTTTTCATTCAGCAGTTTGGAAACACTCTGTTTGTAAAGTCTGCAAGTGGATATCTTGGCCTCTTAGAGGCCTTCGTTGGAAACGGGTTTTTTCATGTAAGGTTAGACAGAGGAATTCCCAGTAACTTCCTTGTGTTGTGTGCATTCAACTCACAGAGTTGAATGATTCTTTACACAGAGCAGATTTGAGACACTCTTTTGGTGGAATTTGTAAGTGGAGAATTCAGCCGCTTTGAGGTCAACGGTAGAAAAGGAAATATCTTCGTATAAAAACTAGACAGAATGATTCTCAGAAACTGTTTTGTGATGTGTGCGTTCAACTCACAGAGTTTAACCTTTCTTTTCAAAGAGCAGTTAGGAAACACTCTGTTTGTAAAGTCTGCAAGCGGATATTCAGACCTCTTTGAGGCCTTCGTTGGAAACGGGATTTCTTCATATTATGCTAGACAGATGAATTCTCAGTAACTTCCTTGTGTTGTGTGTATTCAACTCACAGAGTTGAACGATCCTTTACACAGAGCAGATTTGAAACACTGTTTTTCTGGAATTTGCAAGTGGAGATTTCAGCCGCTTTGAGGTCAATGGTAGAAAAGGAAATATCTTCGTATAAAAACTAGACAGAATGATTCTCAGAAACTCCTTTGTGATGTGTGCGTTCAACTCACAGAGTTTAACCTTTCTTTTCACAGAGCAGTTAGGAAACACTCTGTTTGTGAAGCCTGCCAGTGGATATTCGGACCTCTTTCAGGCCTTCGTTGGAAACGGGATTTCTTCATATTATGCTAGACAGAAGATTTCTCAGTAACTTCTTTGTGTTGTGTGTATGCAACTCACAGAGTTCAACCTTCCTTTAGACAGAGCAGATTTGAAACACTCTTTTTGTGGAATTTGCAAGTGGAGATTTCAAGCGCTTCGATGCCAATGGTAGAAAAGGAAATATCTTCGTATAAAAACAAGACAAACTCGTTCCCAGACACTGCGTAGTGATGTGTGTGTTTAACTCACAGAGTTTAACCTTTCTTTTCATACAGCATTCTGGAAACCCTGTGTTTGTAAAGTCTGCAAGTGGATATTTGGACCTCTTAGATGCCTTCGTTGGAAACGGGATTTCTTCATATAATGCTAGAGGGAAGAATTCTTAGTAACTTCTTTGTGTTGTGTGTATTCAACTGACAGAGTTGAACCTTCCTTTAGACAGAGCAGATTTGAAAGTCTCTTTTTGTGGAATTTGCAAGTGGAGATTTCAAGCGCTTTGAGGCCAAAAGCAGAAAAGGAAATATTTTCCTATAAAAACTCGACAGAATCTTTCTCAGAAACTGCTCTGGGATGTGTGCGTTCAACTCACAGAGTTTAACTTTTCTTTTCATTCAGCAGTTTGGAAACACTCTGTTTGGAAAGTCTGCACGTGGATATTTTGACCTCTTTGAGGCCTTCGTTGGAAACGGGTTTTTTTCATGTAAGGCTAGACAGAAGAAATCTCAGTAACTTCCTTGTGTTGTGTGTATTCAACTGACAGAGTTGAACCTTCCTTTAGACAGAGCAGATTCGAAACACTCTTTTTCTGCAATTTGCAAGTGGAGACTTCAAGCGCTTTGAGGCCAAAGGCAGAAAAGGAAATATCTTCGTATAAAAACCCGACAGAATCATTCTCAGAAACTGCTCTGTGATGTGTGCGTTCAACTCACAGAGTTTAACTTTTCTTTTCATTCAGCAGTTTGGAAACACTCTGTTTGTAAAGTCTGCAAGTGGATATCTTGGCCTCTTAGAGGCCTTCGTTGGAAACGGGTTTTTTCATGTAAGGTTAGACAGAGGAATTCCCAGTAACTTCCTTGTGTTGTGTGCATTCAACTCACAGAGTTGAATGATTCTTTACACAGAGCAGATTTGAGACACTCTTTTGGTGGAATTTGTAAGTGGAGAATTCAGCCGCTTTGAGGTCAACGGTAGAAAAGGAAATATCTTCGTATAAAAACTAGACAGAATGATTCTCAGAAACTGTTTTGTGATGTGTGCGTTCAACTCACAGAGTTTAACCTTTCTTTTCAAAGAGCAGTTAGGAAACACTCTGTTTGTAAAGTCTGCAAGTGGATATTCAGACCTCTTTGAAGCCTTCGTTGGAAACGGGATTTCATCATATTATGCTAGACAGATGAATTCTCAGTAACTTCCTTGTGTTGTGTGTATTCAACTCACAGAGTTGAACGATCCTTTACACAGAGCAGATTTGAAACACTGTTTTTCTGGAATTTGCAAGTGGAGATTTCAGCCGCTTTGAGGTCAATGGTAGAAAAGGAAATATCTTCGTATAAAAACTAGACAGAATGATTCTCAGAAACTCCTTTGTGATGTGTGCGTTCAACTCACAGAGTTTAACCTTTCTTTTCACAGAGCAGTTAGGAAACACTCTGTTTGTGAAGCCTGCCAGTGGATATTCGGACCTCTTTCAGGCCTTCGTTGGAAACGGGATTTCTTCATATTATGCTAGACAGAAGATTTCTCAGTAACTTCTTTGTGTTGTGTGTATGCAACTCACAGAGTTCAACCTTCCTTTAGACAGAGCAGATTTGAAACACTCTTTTTGTGGAATTTGCAAGTGGAGATTTCAAGCGCTTCGATGCCAATGGTAGAAAAGGAAATATCTTCGTATAAAAACAAGACAAACTCGTTCCCAGACACTGCGTAGTGATGTGTGTGTTTAACTCACAGAGTTTAACCTTTCTTTTCATACAGCATTCTGGAAACCCTCTGTTTGTAAAGTCTGCAAGTCGATATTTGGACCTCTTAGATGCCTTCGTTGGAAACGGGATTTCTTCATATAATGCTAGAGGGAAGAATTCTTAGTAACTTCTTTGTGTTGTGTGTATTCAACTGACAGAGTTGAACCTTCCTTTAGACAGAGCAGATTTGAAAGTCTCTTTTTGTGGAATTTGCAAGTGGAGATTTCAAGCGCTTTGAGGCCAAAAGCAGAAAAGGAAATATTTTCCTATAAAACCTAGACAGATCTTTCTCAGAAACTGCTCTGGGATGTGTGCGTTCAACTCACAGAGTTTAACTTTTCTTTTCATTCAGCAGTTTGGAAACACTCTGTTTGGAAAGTCTGCACGTGGATAATTTGACCTCTTTGAGGCCTTCGTTGGAAACGGGTTTTTTTCATGTAAGGCTAGACAGAAGAAATCTCAGTAACTTCCTTGTGTTGTGTGTATTCAACTGACAGAGTTGAACCTTCCTTTAGACAGAGCAGATTCGAAACACTCTTTTTCTGCAATTTGCAAGTGGAGACTTCAAGCGCTTTGAGGCCAAAGGCAGAAAAGGAAATATCTTCGTATAAAAACCCGACAGAATCATTCTCAGAAACTGCTCTGTGATGTGTGCGTTCAACTCACAGAGTTTAACTTTTCTTTTCATTCAGCAGTTTGGAAACACTCTGTTTGTAAAGTCTGCAAGTGGATATCTTGGCCTCTTAGAGGCCTTCGTTGGAAACGGGTTTTTTCATGTAAGGATAGACAGAGGAATTCCCAGTAACTTCCTTGTGTTGTGTGCATTCAACTCACAGAGTTGAATGATTCTTTACACAGAGCAGATTTGAGACACTCTTTTGGTGGAATTTGTAAGTGGAGAATTCAGCCGCTTTGAGGTCAACGGTAGAAAAGGAAATATCTTCGTATAAAAACTAGACAGAATGATTCTCAGAAACTGTTTTGTGATGTGTGCGTTCAACTCACAGAGTTTAACCTTTCTTTTCAAAGAGCAGTTAGGAAACACTCTGTTTGTAAAGTCTGCAAGTGGATATTCAGACCTCTTTGAGGCCTTCGTTGGAAACGGGATTTCTTCATATTATGCTAGACAGATGAATTCTCAGTAACTTCCTTGTGTTGTGTGTATTCAACTCACAGAGTTGAACGATCCTTTACACAGAGCAGATTTGAAACACTGTTTTTCTGGAATTTGCAAGTGGAGATGTCAGCCGCTTTGAGGTCAATGGTAGAAAAGGAAATATCTTCGTATAAAAACTAGACAGAATGATTCTCAGAAACTCCTTTGTGATGTGTGCGTTCAACTCAGAGTTTAACCTTTCTTTTCACAGAGCAGTTAGGAAACACTCTGTTTGTGAAGCCTGCCAGTGGATATTCGGACCTCTTTGAGGCCTTCGTTGGAAACGGGATTTCTTCATATTATGCTAGACAGAAGATTTATCAGTAACTTCTTTGGGTTGTGTGTATGCAACTCACAGAGTTCAACCTTCCTTTAGACAGAGCAGATTTGAAACACTCTTTTTGTGGAATTTGCAAGTGGAGATTTCAAGCGCTTCGATGCCAATGGTAGAAAAGGAAATATCTTTGTATAAAAACAAGACAAACTCGTTCCCAGACACTGCGAAGTGATGTGTGTGTTTAACTCACAGAGTTTAACCTTTCTTTTCATACAGCATTCTGGAAACCCTCTGTTTGTAAAGTCTGCAAGTCGGTATTTGGACCTCTTAGATGCCTTCTTTGGAAACGGGATTTCTTCATATAATGTTAGAGGGAAGAATTCTTAGTAACTTCTTTGTGTTGTGTGTATTCAACTGACAGAGTTGAACCTTCCTTTAGACAGAGCAGATTTGAAAGTCTCTTTTTGTGGAATTTGCAAGTGGAGATTTCAAGCGCTTTGAGGCCAAAAGCAGAAAAGGAAATATTTTCCTATAAAAACTAGACAGAATCTTTCTCAGAAACTGCTCTGGGATGTGTGCGTTCAACTCACAGAGTTTAACTTTTCTTTTCATTCAGCAGTTTGGAAACACTCTGTTTGGAAAGTCTGCACGTGGATATTTTGACCTCTTTGAGGCCTTCGTTGGAAACGGGTTTTTTTCATGTAAGGCTAGACAGAAGAAATCTCAGTAACTTCCTTGTGTTGTGTGTATTCAACTGACAGAGTTGAACCTTCCTTTAGACAGAGCAGATTCGAAACACTCTTTTTCTGCAATTTGCAAGTGGAGACTTCAAGCGCTTTGAGGCCAAAGGCAGAAAAGGAAATATCTTCGTATAAAAACCCGACAGAATCATTCTCAGAAACTGCTCTGTGATGTGTGCGTTCAACTCACAGAGTTTAACTTTTCTTTTCATTCAGCAGTTTGGAAACACTCTGTTTGTAAAGTCTGCAAGTGGATATCTTGGCCTCTTAGAGGCCTTCGTTGGAAACGGGTTTTTTCATGTAAGGTTAGACAGAGGAATTCCCAGTAACTTCCTTGTGTTGTGTGCATTCAACTCACAGAGTTGAATGATTCTTTACACAGAGCAGATTTGAGACACTCTTTTGGTGGAATTTGTAAGTGGAGAATTCAGCTGCTTTGAGGTCAACGGTAGAAAAGGAAATATCTTCGTATAAAAACTAGACAGAATGATTCTCAGAAACTGTTTTGTGATGTGTGCGTTCAACTCACAGAGTTTAACCTTTCTTTTCAAAGAGCAGTTAGGAAACACTCTGTTTGTAAAGTCTGCAAGTGGATATTCAGACCTCTTTGAGGCCTTCGTTGGAAACGGGATTTCTTCATATTATGCTAGACAGATGAATTCTCAGTAACTTCCTTGTGTTGTGTGTATTCAACTCACAGAGTTGAACGATCCTTTACACAGAGCAGATTTGAAACACTGTTTTTCTGGAATTTGCAAGTGGAGATGTCAGCCGCTTTGAGGTCAATGGTAGAAAAGGAAATATCTTCGTATAAAAACTAGACAGAATGATTCTCAGAAACTCCTTTGTGATGTGTGCGTTCAACTCACAGAGTTTAACCTTTCTTTTCACAGAGCAGTTAGGAAACACTCTGTTTGTGAAGCCTGCCAGTGGATATTCGGACCTCTTTGAGGCCTTCGTTGGAAACGGGATTTCTTCATATTTTGCTAGACAGAAGATTTCTCAGTAACTTCTTTGTGTTGTGTGTATGCAACTCACAGAGTTCAACCTTCCTTTAGACAGAGCAGATTTGAAACACTCTTTTTGTGGAATTTGCAAGTGGAAATTTCAAGCGCATCGATGCCAATGGTAGAAAAGGAAATTTCTTCGTATAAAAACAAGACAAACTCGTTCCCAGACACTGCGTAGTGATGTGTGTGTTTAACTCACAGAGTTTAACCTTTCTTTTCATACAGCATTCTGGAAACCCTCTGTTTGTAAAGTCTGCAAGTGGATATTTGGACCTCTTAGATGCCTTCGTTGGAAACGGGATTTCTTCATATAATGCTAGAGGGAAGAATTCTTAGTAACTTCTTTGTGTTGTGTGTATTCAACTGACAGAGTTGAACCTTCCTTTAGACAGAGCAGATTTGAAAGTCTCTTTTTGTGGAATTTGCAAGTGGAGATTTCAAGCGCTTTGAGGCCAAAAGCAGAAAAGGAAATATTTTCCTATAAAAACTCGACAGAATCTTTCTCAGAAACTGCTCTGGGATGTGTGCGTTCAACTCACAGAGTTTAACTTTTCTTTTCATTCAGCAGTTTGGAAACACTCTGTTTGGAAAGTCTGCACGTGGATATTTTGACCTCTTTGAGGCCTTCGTTGGAAACGGGTTTTTTTCATGTAAGGCTAGACAGAAGAAATCTCAGTAACTTCCTTGTGTTGTGTGTATTCAACTGACAGAGTTGAACCTTCCTTTAGACAGAGCAGATTCGAAACACTCTTTTTCTGCAATTTGCAAGTGGAGACTTCAAGCGCTTTGAGTCCAAAGGCAGAAAAGGAAATATCTTCGTATAAAAACCCGACAGAATCATTCTCAGAAACTGCTCTGTGATGTGTGCGTTCAACTCACAGAGTTTAACTTTTCTTTTCATTCAGCAGTTTGGAAACACTCTGTTTGTAAAGTCTGCAAGTGGATATCTTGGCCTCTTAGAGGCCTTCGTTGGAAACGGGTTTTTTCATGTAAGGTTAGACAGAGGAATTCCCAGTAACTTCCTTGTGTTGTGTGCATTCAACTCACAGAGTTGAATGATTCTTTACACAGAGCAGATTTGAGACACTCTTTTGGTGGAATTTGTAAGTGGAGAATTCAGCCGCTTTGAGGTCAACGGTAGAAAAGGAAATATCTTCGTATAAAAACTAGACAGAATGATTCTCAGAAACTGTTTTGTGATGTGTGCGTTCAACTCACAGAGTTTAACCTTTCTTTTCAAAGAGCAGTTAGGAAACACTCTGTAAAATCTGCAAGTGGATATTCAGACCTCTTTGAGGCCTTCGTTGGAAACGGGATTTCTTCATATAATGCTAGAGGGAAGAATTCTTAGTAACTTCTTTGTGTTGTGTGTATTCAACTGACAGAGTTGAACCTTCCTTTAGACAGAGCAGATTTGAAAGTCTCTTTTTGTGGAATTTGCAAGTGGAGATTTCAAGCGCTTTGAGGCCAAAAGCAGAAAAGGAAATATTTTCCTATAAAAACTAGACAGAATCTTTCTCAGAAACTGCTCTGGGATGTGTGCGTTCAACTCACAGAGTTTAACTTTTCTTTTCATTCAGCAGTTTGGAAACACTCTGTTTGGAAAGTCTGCACGTGGATATTTTGACCTCTTTGAGGCCTTCGTTGGAAACGGGTTTTTTTCATGTAAGGCTAGACAGAAGAAATCTCAGTAACTTCCTTGTGTTGTGTGTATTCAACTGACAGAGTTGAACCTTCTTTTAGACAGAGCAGATTCGAAACACTCTTTTTCGGCAATTTGCAAGTGGAGACTTCAAGCGCTTTGAGGCCAAAGGCAGAAAAGGAAATATCTTCGTATAAAAACCCGACAGAATCATTCTCAGAAACTGCTCTGTGATGTGTGCGTTCAACTCACAGAGTTTAACTTTTCTTTTCATTCAGCAGTTTGGAAACACTCTGTTTCTAAAGTCTGCAAGTGGATATCTTGGCCTCTTAGAGGCCTTCGTTGGAAACGGGTTTTTTCATGTAAGGTTAGACAGAGGAATTCCCAGTAACTTCCTTGTGTTGTGTGCATTCAACTCACAGAGTTGAATGATTCTTTACACAGAGCAGATTTGAGACACTCTTTGGGTGGAATTTGTAAGTGGAGAATTCAGCCGCTTTGAGGTCAACGGTAGAAAAGGAAATATCTTCGTATAAAAACTAGACAGAATGATTCTCAGAAACTGTTTTTTGATGTGTGCGTTCAACTCACAGAGTTTAACCTTTCTTTTCAAAGAGCAGTTAGGAAACACTCTGTAAAGTCTGCAAGTGGATATTCAGACCTCTTTGAGGCCTTCGTTGGAAACGGGATTTCTTCATATTATGCTAGACAGATGAATTCTCAGTAACTTCCTTGTGTTGTGTGTATTCAACTCACAGAGTTGAACGATCCTTTACACAGAGCAGATTTGAAACACTGTTTTTCTGGAATTTGCAAGTGGAGATTTCAGCCGCTTTGAGGTCAATGGTAGAAAAGGAAATATCTTCGTATAAAAACTAGACAGAATGATTCTCAGAAACTCCTTTGTGATGTGTGCGTTCAACTCACAGAGTTTAACCTTTCTTTTCACAGAGCAGTTAGGAAACACTCTGTTTGTGAAGCCTGCCAGTGGATATTCGGACCTCTTTCAGGCCTTCGTTGGAAACGGGATTTCTTCATATTATGCTAGACAGAAGATTTCTCAGTAACTTCTTTGTGTTGTGTGTATGCAACTCACAGAGTTCAACCTTCCTTTAGAAAGAGCAGATTTGAAACACTCTTTTTGTGGAATTTGCAAGTGGAGATTTCAAGCGCTTCGATGCCAATGGTAGAAAAGGAAATATCTTCGTATAAAAACAAGACAAACTCGTTCCCAGACACTGCGTAGTGATGTGTGTGTTTAACTCACAGAGTTTAACCTTTCTTTTCATACAGCATTCTGGAAACCCTCTGTTTGTAAAGTCTGCAAGTGGATATTTGGACCTCTTAGATGCCTTCGTTGGAAACGGGATTTCTTCATATAATGCTAGAGGGAAGAATTCTTAGTAACTTCTTTGTGTTGTGTGTATTCAACTGACAGAGTTGAACCTTCCTTTAGACAGAGCAGATTTGAAAGTCTCTTTTTGTGGAATTTGCAAGTGGAGATTTCAAGCGCTTTGAGGCCAAAAGCAGAAAAGGAAATATTTTCCTATAAAAACTAGACAGAATCATTCTCAGAAACTGCTCTGTGATGTGTGTGTTCAACTCACAGAGTTTAACTTTCTTTTCATTCAGCAGTTTGGAAACACTCTGTTTGGAAAGTCTGCACGTGGATATTTTGACCTCTTTGAGGCCTTCGTTGGAAACGGGTTTTTTCATGTAAGGCTAGACAGAAGAAATCTCAGTAACTTCCTTGTGTTGTGTGTATTCAACTGACAGAGTTGAACCTTCCTTTAGACAGAGCAGATTCGAAACACTCTTTTTCTGCAATTTGCAAGTGGAGACTTCAAGTGCTTTGAGGCCAAAGGCAGAAAAGGAAATATCTTCGTATAAAAACCCGACAGAATCATTCTCAGAAACTGCTCTGTGATGTGTGCGTTCAACTCACAGAGTTTAACTTTTCTTTTCATTCAGCAGTTTGGAAACACTCTGTTTGTAAAGTCTGCAAGTGGATATCTTGGCCTCTTAGAGGCCTTCGTTGGAAACGGGTTTTTTCATGTAAGGTTAGACAGAGGAATTCCCACTAACTTCCTTGTGTTGTGTGCATTCAACTCACAGAGTTGAATGATTCTTTACACAGAGCAGATTTGAGACACTCTTTTGGTGGAATTTGTAAGTGGAGAATTCAGCCGCTTTGATGTCAACGGTAGAAAAGGAAATATCTTCGTATAAAAACTAGACAGAATGATTCTCAGAAACTGTTTTGTGATGTGTGCGTTCAACTCACAGAGTTTAACCTTTCTTTTCAAAGAGCAGTTAGGAAACACTCTGTTTGTAAAGTCTGCAAGTGGATATTCAGACCTCTTTGAGGCCTTCGTTGGAAACGGGATTTCTTCATATTATGCTAGACAGATGAATTCTCAGTAACTTCCTTGTGTTGTGTGTATTCAACTCACAGAGTTGAACGATCCTTTACACAGAGCAGATTTGAAACACTGTTTTTCTGGAATTTGCAAGTGGAGATTTCAGCCGCTTTGAGGTCAATGGTAGAAAAGGAAATATCTTCGTATAAAAACTAGACAGAATGATTCTCAGAAACTCCTTTGTGATGTGTGCGTTCAACTCACAGAGTTTAACCTTTCTTTTCACAGAGCAGTTAGGAAACACTCTGTTTGTGAAGCCTGCCAGTGGATATTCGGACCTCTTTGAGGCCTTCGTTGGAAACGGGATTTCTTCATATTATGCTAGACAGAAGATTTCTCAGTAACTTCTTTGTGTTGTGTGTATGCAACTCACAGAGTTCAACCTTCCTTTAGACAGAGCAGATTTGAAACACTCTTTTTGTGGAATTTGCAAGTGGAGATTTCAAGCGCTTCGATGCCAATGGTAGAAAAGGAAATATCTTCGTATAAAAACAAGACAAACTCGTTCCCAGACACTGCGTAGTGATGTGTGTGTTTAACTCACAGAGTTTAACCTTTCTTTTCATACAGCATTCTGGGAACCCTCTGTTTGTAAAGTCTGCAAGTGGATATTTGGACCTCTTAGATGCCTTCGTTGGAAACGGGATTTCTTCATATAATGCTAGAGGGAAGAATTCTTAGTAACTTCTTTGTGTTGTGTGTATTCAACTGACAGAGTTGAACCTTCCTTTAGACAGAGCAGATTTGAAAGTCTCTTTTTGTGGAATTTGCAAGTGGAGATTTCAAGCGCTTTGAGGCCAAAAGCAGAAAAGGAAATATTTTCCTATAAAAACTCGACAGAATCTTTCTCAGAAACTGCTCTGGGATGTGTGCGTTCAACTCACAGAGTTTAACTTTTCTTTTCATTCAGCAGTTTGGAAACACTCTGTTTGGAAAGTCTGCACGTGGATATTTTGACCTCTTTGAGGCCTTCGTTGGAAACGGGTTTTTTTCATGTAAGGCTAGACAGAAGAAATCTCAGTAACTTCCTTGTGTTGTGTGTATTCAACTGACAGAGTTGAACCTTCCTTTAGACAGAGCAGATTCGAAACACTCTTTTTCTGCAATTTGCAAGTGGAGACTTCAAGCGCTTTGAGGCCAAAGGCAGAAAAGGAAATATCTTCGTATAAAAACCCGACAGAATCATTCTCAGAAACTGCTCTGTGATGTGTGCGTTCAACTCACAGAGTTTAACTTTTCTTTTCATTCAGCAGTTTGGAAACACTCTGTTTGTAAAGTCTGCAAGTGGATATCTTGGCCTCTTAGAGGCCTTCGTTGGAAACGGGTTTTTTCATGTAAGGATAGACAGAGGAATTCCCAGTAACTTCCTTGTGTTGTGTGCATTCAACTCACAGAGTTGAATGATTCTTTACACAGAGCAGATTTGAGACACTCTTTTGGTGGAATTTGTAAGTGGAGAATTCAGCCGCTTTGAGGTCAACGGTAGAAAAGGAAATATCTTCGTATAAAAACTAGACAGAAATGATTCTCAGAAACTGTTTTGTGATGTGTGCGTTCAACTCACAGAGTTTAACCTTTCTTTTCAAAGAGCAGTTAGGAAACACTCTGTTTGTAAAGTCTGCAAGAGGATATTCAGACCTCTTTGAGGCCTTCGTTGGAAACGGGATTTCTTCATATTATGCTAGACAGATGAATTCTCAGTAACTTCCTTGTGTTGTGTGTATTCAACTCACAGAGTTGAACGATCCTTTACACAGAGCAGATTTGAAACACTGTTTTTCTGGAATTTGCAAGTGGAGATTTCAGCCGCTTTGAGGTCAATGGTAGAAAAGGAAATATCTTCGTATAAAAACTAGACAGAATGATTCTCAGAAACTCCTTTGTGATGTGTGCGTTCAACTCACAGGGTTTAACCTTTCTTTTCACAGAGCAGTTAGGAAACACTCTGTTTGTGAAGCCTGCCAGTGGATATTCGGACCTCTTTGAGGCCTTCGTTGGAAACGGGATTTCTTCATATTATGCTAGACAGAAGATTTCTCAGTAACTTCTTTGTGTTGTGTGTATGCAACTCACAGAGTTCAACCTTCCTTTAGACAGAGCAGATTTGAAACACTCTTTTTGTGGAATTTGCAAGTGGAGATTTCAAGCGCTTCGATGCCAATGGTAGAAAAGGAAATATCTTCGTATAAAAACAAGACAAACTCGTTCCCAGACACTGCGTAGTGATGTGTGTGTTTAACTCACAGAGTTTCACCTTTCTTTTCATACAGCCTTCTGGAAACCCTCTGTTTGTAAAGTCTGCAAGTGGATATTTGGACCTCTTAGATGCCTTCGTTGCAAACGGGATTTCTTCATATAATGCTAGAGGGAAGAATTCTTAGTAACTTCTTTGTGTTGTGTGTATTCAACTGACAGAGTTGAACCTTCCTTTAGACAGAGCAGATTTGAAAGTCTCTTTTTGTGGAATTTGCAAGTGGAGATTTCAAGCGCTTTGAGGCCAAAAGCAGAAAAGGAAATATTTTCCTATAAAAACTAGACAGAATCTTTCTCAGAAACTGCTCTGGGATGTGTGCGTTCAACTCACAGAGTTTAACTTTTCTTTTCATTCAGCAGTTTGGAAACACTCTGTTTGGAAAGTCTGCACGTGGATATTTTGACCTCTTTGAGGCCTTCGTTGGAAACGGGTTTTTTTCATGTAAGGCTAGACAGAAGAAATCTCAGTAACTTCCTTGTGTTGTGTGTATTCAACTGACAGAGTTGAACCTTCCTTTAGACAGAGCAGATTCGAAACACTCTTTTTCTGCAATTTGCAAGTGGAGACTTCAAGCGCTTTGAGGCCAAAGGCAGAAAAGGAAATATCTTCGTATAAAAACCCGACAGAATCATTCTCAGAAACTGCTCTGTGATGTGTGCGTTCAACTCACAGAGTTTAACTTTTCTTTTCATTCAGCAGTTTGGAAACACTCTGTTTGTAAAGTCTGCAAGTGGATATCTTGGCCTCTTAGAGGCCTTCGTTGGAAGCGGGTTTTTTCATGTAAGGATAGACAGAGGAATTCCCAGTAACTTCCTTGTGTTGTGTGCATTCAACTCACAGAGTTGAATGATTCTTTACACAGAGCAGATTTGAGACACTCTTTTGGTGGAATTTGTAAGTGGAGAATTCAGCCGCTTTGAGGTCAACGGTAGAAAAGGAAATATCTTCGTATAAAAACTAGACAGAATGATTCTCAGAAACTGTTTTGTGATGTGTGCGTTCAACTCACAGAGTTTAACCTTTCTTTTCAAAGAGCAGTTAGGAAACACTCTGTTTGTAAAGTCTGCAAGTGGATATTCAGACCTCTTTGAGGCCTTCGTTGGAAACGGGATTTCTTCATATTATGCTAGACAGATGAATTCTCAGTAACTTCCTTGTGTTGTGTGTATTCAACTCACAGAGTTAAACGATCCTTTACACAGAGCAGATTTGAAACACTGTTTTTCTGGAATTTGCAAGTGGAGATTTCAGCCGCTTTGAGGTCAATGGTAGAAAAGGAAATATCTTCGTATAAAAACTAGACAGAATGATTCTCAGAAACTCCTTTGTGATGTGTGCGTTCAACTCACAGAGTTTAACCTTTCTTTTCACAGAGCAGTTAGGAAACACTCTGTTTGTGAAGCCTGCCAGTGGATATTCGGACCTCTTTGAGGCCTTCGTTGGAAACGGGATTTCTTCATATTATGCTAGACAGAAGATTTCTCAGTAACTTCTTTGTGTTGTGTGTATGCAACTCACAGAGTTCAACCTTCCTTTAGACAGAGCAGATTTGAAACACTCTTTTTGTGGAATTTGCAAGTGGAGATTTCAAGCGCTTCGATGCCAATGGTAGAAAAGGAAATATCTTCGTATAAAAACAAGACAAACTCGTTCCCAGACACTGCGTAGTGATGTGTGTGTTTAACTCACAGAGTTTCACCTTTCTTTTCATACAGCATTCTGGAAACCCTGTGTTTGTAAAGTCTGCAAGTGGATATTTGGACCTCTTAGATGCCTTCGTTGGAAACGGGATTTCTTCATATAATGCTAGAGGGAAGAATTCTTAGTAACTTCTTTGTGTTGTGTGTATTCAACTGACAGAGTTGAACCTTCCTTTAGACAGAGCAGATTTGAAAGTCTCTTTTTGTGGAATTTGCAAGTGGAGATTTCAAGCGCTTTGAGGCCAAAAGCAGAAAAGGAAATATTTTCCTATAAAAACTCGACAGAATCTTTCTCAGAAACTGCTCTGGGATGTGTGCGTTCAACTCACAGAGTTTAACTTTTCTTTCCATTCAGCAGTTTGGAAACACTCTGTTTGGAAAGTCTGCACGTGGATATTTTGACCTCTTTGAGGCCTTCGTTGGAAACGGGTTTTTTTCTTGTAAGGCTAGACAGAAGAAATCTCAGTAACTTCCTTGTGTTGTGTGTATTCAACTGACAGAGTTGAACCTTCCTTTAGACAGAGCAGATTCGAAACACTCTTTTTCTGCAATTTGCAAGTGGAGACTTCAAGCGCTTTGAGGCCAAAGGCAGAAAAGGAAATATCTTCGTATAAAAACCCGACAGAATCATTCTCAGAAACTGCTCTGTGATGTGTGCGTTCAACTCACAGAGTTTAACTTTTCTTTTCATTCAGCAGTTTGGAAACACTCTGTTTGTAAAGTCTGCAAGTGGATATCTTGGCCTCTTAGAGGCCTTCGTTGGAAACGGGTTTTTTCATGTAAGGTTAGACAGAGGAATTCCCAGTAACTTCCTTGTTTTGTGTGCATTCAACTCACAGAGTTGAATGATTCTTTACACAGAGCAGATTTGAGACACTCTTTTGGTGGAATTTGTAAGTGGAGAATTCAGCCGCTTTGAGGTCAACGGTAGAAAAGCAAATATCTTCGCATAAAAACTAGACAGAATGATTCTCAGAAACTGTTTTGTGATGTGTGCGTTCAACTCACAGAGTTTAACCTTTCTTTTCAAAGAGCAGTTAGGAAACACTCTGTTTGTAAAGTCTGCAAGTGGATATTCAGACCTCTTTGAGGCCTTCGTTGGAAACGGGATTTCTTCATATTATGCTAGACAGATGAATTCTCAGTAACTTCCTTGTGTTGTGTGTATTCAACTCACAGAGTTGAACGATCCTTTACACAGAGCAGATTTGAAACACTGTTTTTCTGGAATTTGCAAGTGGAGATTTCAGCCGCTTTGAGGTCAATGGTAGAAAAGGAAATATCTTCGTATAAAAACTAGACAGAATGATTCTCAGAAACTCCTTTGTGATGTGTGCGTTCAACTCACAGAGTTTAACCTTTCTTTTCACAGAGCAGTTAGGAAACACTCTGTTTGTGAAGCCTGCCAGTGGATATTCGGACCTCTTTGAGGCCTTCGTTGGAAACGGGATTTCTTCATATTATGCTAGACAGAAGATTTCTCAGTAACTTCTTTGTGTTGTGTGTATGCAACTCACAGAGTTCAACCTTCCTTTAGAAAGAGCAGATTTGAAACACTCTTTTTGTGGAATTTGCAAGTGGAGATTTCAAGCGCTTCGATGCCAATGGTAGAAAAGGAAATATCTTCGTATAAAAACAAGACAAACTCGTTCCCAGACACTGCGTAGTGATGTGTGTGTTTAACTCACAGAGTTTCACCTTTCTTTTCATACAGCATTCTGGAAACCCTCTGTTTGTAAAGTCTGCAAGTCGATATTTGGACCTCTTAGATGCCTTCGTTGGAAACGGGATTTCTTCATATAATGCTAGAGGGAAGAATTCTTAGTAACTTCTTTGTGTTGTGTGTATTCAACTGACAGAGTTGAACCTTCCTTTAGACAGAGCAGATTTGAAAGTCTCTTTTTGTGGAATTTGCAAGTGGAGATTTCAAGCGCTTTGAGGCCAAAAGCAGAAAAGGAAATATTTTCCTATAAAACCTCGACAGAATCTTTCTCAGAAACTGCTCTGGGATGTGTGCGTTCAACTCACAGAGTTTAACTTTTCTTTTCATTCAGCGTTTGGAAACACTCTGTTTGGAAAGTCTGCCTTGGATATTTTGACCTCTTTGAGGCCTTCGTTGGAAACGGGTTTTTTTCATGTAAGGCTAGACAGAAGAAATCTCAGTAACTTCCTTGTGTTGTGTATTCAACTGACAGAGTTGAACCTTCCTTTAGACAGAGCAGATTCGAAACACTCTTTTTCTGCAATTTGCAAGTGGAGACTTCAAGCGCTTTGAGGCCAAAGGCAGAAAAGGAAATATCTTCGTATAAGAACCCGACAGAATCATTCTCAGAAACTGCTCTGTGATGTGTGCGTTCAACTCACAGAGTTTAACTTTTCTTTTCATTCAGCAGTTTGGAAACACTCTGTTTGTAAAGTCTGCAAGTGGATATCTTGGCCTCTTAGAGGCCTTCGTTGGAAACGGGTTTTTTCATGTAAGGATAGACAGAGGAATTCCCAGTAACTTCCTTGTGTTGTGTGCATTCAACTCACAGAGTTGAATGATTCTTTACACAGAGCAGATTTGAGACACTCTTTTGGTGGAATTTGTAAGTGGAGAATTCAGCCGCTTTGAGGTCAACGGTAGAAAAGGAAATATCTTCGTATAAAAACTAGACAGAATGATTCTCAGAAACTGTTTTGTGATGTGTGCGTTCAACTCACAGAGTTTAACCTTTCTTTTCAGAGAGCAGTTAGGAAACACTCTGTTTGTAAAGTCTGCAAGTGGATATTCAGACCTCTTTGAGGCCTTCGTTGGAAACGGGATTTCTTCATATTATGCTAGACAGATGAATTCTCAGTAACTTTCCTTGTGTTGTGTGTATTCAACTCACAGAGTTGAACGATCCTTTACACAGAGCAGATTTGAAACACTGTTTTTCTGGAATTTGCAAGTGGAGATTTCAGCCGCTTTGAGGTCAATGGTAGAAAAGGAAATATGCTTCGTATAAAAACTAGACAGAATGATTCTCAGAAACTCCTTTGTGATGTGTGCGTTCAACTCACAGAGTTTAACCTTTCTTTTCACAGAGCAGTTAGGAAACACTCTGTTTGTGAAGCCTGCCAGTGGATATTCGGACCTCTTTGAGGCCTTCGTTGGAAACGGGATTTCTTCATATTATGCTAGACAGAAGATTTCTCAGTAACTTCTTTGGGTTGTGTGTATGCAACTCACAGAGTTCAACCTTCCTTTAGACAGAGCAGATTTGAAACACTCTTTTTGTGGAATTTGCAAGTGGAGATTTCAAGCGCTTCGATGCCAATGGTAGAAAAGGAAATATCTTCGTATAAAAACAAGACAAACTCGTTCCCAGACACTGCGTAGTGATGTGTGTGTTTAACTCACAGAGTTTAACCTTTCTTTTCATACAGCATTCTGGAAACCCTCTGTTTGTAAAGTCTGCAAGTGGATATTTGGACCTCTTAGATGCCTTCGTTGGAAACGGGATTTCTTCATATAATGCTAGAGGGAAGAATTCTTAGTAACTTCTTTGTGTTGTGTGTATTCAACTGACAGAGTTGAACCTTCCTTTAGACAGAGCAGATTTGAAAGTCTCTTTTTGTGGAATTTGCAAGTGGAGATTTCAAGCGCTTTGAGGCGAAAAGCAGAAAAGGAAATATTTTCCTATAAAAGCTAGACAGAATCTTTCTCAGAAACTACTCTGGGATGTGTGCGTTCAACTCACAGAGTTTAACTTTTCTTTTCATTCAGCAGTTTGGAAACACTCTGTTTGGAAAGTCTGCACGTGGATATTTTGACCTCTTTGAGGCCTTCGTTGGAAACGGGTTTTTTTCATGTAACGCTAGACAGAAGAAATCTCAGTAACTTCCTTGTGTTATGTGTATTCAACTGACAGAGTTGAACCTTCCTTTAGACAGAGCAGATTCGAAACACTCTTTTTCTGCAATTTGCAAGTGGAGACTTCAAGCGCTTTGAGGCCAAAGGCAGAAAAGGAAATATCTTCGTATAAAAACCCGACAGAATCATTCTCAGAAACTGCTCTGTGATGTGTGCGTTCAACTCACAGAGTTTAACTTTTCTTTTCATTCAGCAGTTTGGAAACACTCTGTTTGTAAAGTCTGCAAGTGGATATCTTGGCCTCTTAGAGGCCTTCGTTGGAAACGGGTTTTTTCATGTAAGGTTAGACAGAGGAATTCCCAGTAACTTCCTTGTGTTGTGTGCATTCAACTCACAGAGTTGAATGATTCTTTACACAGAGCAGATTTGAGACACTCTTTTGGTGGAATTTGTAAGTGGAGAATTCAGCCGCTTTGAGGTCAACGGTAGAAAAGGAAATATCTTCGTATAAAAACTAGACAGAATGATTCTCAGAAACTGTTTTGTGATGTGTGCGTTCAACTCACAGAGTTTAACCTTTCTTTTCAAAGAGCAGTTAGGAAACACTCTGTTTGTAAAGTCTGCAAGTGGATATTCAGACCTCTTTGAGGCCTTCGTTGGAAACGGGATTTCTTCATATTATGCTAGACAGATGAATTCTCAGTAACTTCCTTGTGTTGTGTGTATTCAACTCACAGAGTTGAACGATCCTTTACACAGAGCAGATTTGAAACACTGTTTTTCTGGAATTTGCAAGTGGAGATTTCAGCCGCTTTGAGGTCAATGGTAGAAAAGGAAATATCTTCGTATAAAAACTAGACAGAATGATTCTCAGTAAACTCCTTTGTGATGTGTGCGTTCAACTCACAGGGTTTAACCTTTCTTTTCACAGAGCAGTTAGGAAACACTCTGTTTGTGAAGCCTGCCAGTGGATATTCGGACCTCTTTGAGGCCTTCGTTGGAAACGGGATTTCTTCATATTATGCTAGACAGAAGATTTCTCAGTAACTTCTTTGTGTTGTGTGTATGCAACTCACAGAGTTCAACCTTCCTTTAGACAGAGCAGATTTGAAACACTCTTTTTGTGGAATTTGCAAGTGGAGATTTCAAGCGCTTCGATGCCAATGGTAGAAAAGGAAATATCTTCGTATAAAAACAAGACAAACTCGTTCCCAGACACTGCGTAGTGATGTGTGTGTTTAACTCACAGAGTTTAACCTTTCTTTTCATACAGCATTCTGGAAACCCTCTGTTTGTAAAGTCTGCAAGTGGATATTTGGACCTCTTAGATGCCTTCGTTGGAAACGGGATTTCTTCATATAATGCTAGAGGGAAGAATTCTTAGTAACTTCTTTGTGTTGTGTGTATTCAACTGACAGAGTTGAACCTTCCTTTAGACAGAGCAGAGTTGAAAGTCTCTTTTTGTGGAATTTGCAAGTGGAGATTTCAAGCGCTTTGAGGGCAAAAGCAGAAAAGGAAATATTTTCCTATAAAAACTCGACAGAATCTTTCTCAGAAACTGCTCTGGGATGTGTGCGTTCAACTCACAGAGTTTAACTTTTCTTTTCATTCAGCAGTTTGGAAACACTCTGTTTGGAAAGTCTGCACGTGGATATTTTGACCTCTTTGAGGCCTTCGTTGGAAACGGGTTTTTTTCATGTAAGGCTAGACAGAAGAAATCTCAGTAACTTCCTTGTGTTGTGTGTATTCAACTGACAGAGTTGAACCTTCCTTTAGACAGAGCAGATTCGAAACACTCTTTTTCTGCAATTTGCAAGTGGAGACTTCAAGCGCTTTGAGGCCAAAGGCAGAAAAGGAAATATCTTCGTATAAAAACCCGACAGAATCATTCTCAGAAACTGCTCTGTGATGTGTGCGTTCAACTCACAGAGTTTAACTTTTCTTTTCATTCAGCAGTTTGGAAACACTCTGTAAAGTCTGCAAGTGGATATCTTGGCCTCTTAGAGGCCTTCGTTGGAAGCGGGTTTTTTCATGTAAGGATAGACAGAGGAATTCCCAGTAACTTCCTTGTGTTGTGTGCATTCAACTCACAGAGTTGAATGATTCTTTACACAGAGCAGATTTGAGACACTCTTTTGGTGGAATTTGTAAGTGGAGAATTCAGCCGCTTTGAGGTCAACGGTAGAAAAGGAAATATCTTCGTATAAAAACTAGACAGAATGATTCTCAGAAACTGTTTTGTGATGTGTGCGTTCAACTCACAGAGTTTAACCTTTCTTTTCAAAGAGCAGTTAGGAAACACTCTGTAAAGTCTGCAAGTGGATATTCAGACCTCTTTGAGGCCTTCGTTGGAAACGGGATTTCTTCATATCATGCTAGACAGATGAATTCTCAGTAACTTCCTTGTGTTGTGTGTATTCAACTCACAGAGTTGAACGATCCTTTACACAGAGCAGATTTGAAACACTGTTTTTCTGGAATTTGCAAGTGGAGATTTCAGCCGCTTTGAGGTCAATGGTAGAAAAAGAAATATCTTCGTATAAAAACTAGACAGAATGATTCTCAGAAACTCCTTTGTGATGTGTGCGTTCAACTCACAGAGTTTAACCTTTCTTTTCACAGAGCAGTTAGGAAACACTCTGTTTGTGAAGCCTGCCAGTGGATATTCGGACCTCTTTGAGGCCTTCGTTGGAAACGGGATTTCTTCATATTATGCTAGACAGAAGATTTCTCAGTAACTTCTTTGTGTTGTGTGTATGCAACTGACAGAGTTCAACCTTCCTTTAGACAGAGCAGATTTGAAACACTCTTTTTGTGGAATTTGCAAGTGGAGATTTCAAGCGCTTTGAGGCCAAAAGCAGAAAAGGAAATATTTTCCTATAAAAACTAGACAGAATCTTTCTCAGAAACTGCTCTGTGATGTGTGCGTTCAACTCACAGAGTTTAACTTTTCTTTTCATTCAGCAGTTTGGAAACACTCTGTTTGTAAAGTCTGCAAGTGGATATCTTGGCCTCTTAGAGGCCTTCGTTGGAAACGGGTTTTTTCATGTAAGGATAGACAGAGGAATTCCCAGTAACTTCCTTGTGTTGTGTGCATTCAACTCACAGAGTTGAATGAGTCTTTACACAGAGCAGATTTGAGACACTCTTTTGGTGGAATTTGTAGGTGGAGAATTCAGCCGCTTTGAGGTCAACGGTAGAAAAGGAAATATCTTCGTATAAAAACTAGACAGAATGATTCTCAGAAACTGTTTTGTGATGTGTGCGTTCAACTCACAGAGTTTAACCTTTCTTTTCAAAGAGCAGTTAGGAAACACTCTGTTTGTAAAGTCTGCAAGTGGATATTCAGACCTCTTTGAGGCCTTCGTTGGAAACGGGATTTCTTCATATTATGCTAGACAGTTGAATTCTCAGTAACTTCCTTGTGTTGTGTGTATTCAACTCACAGAGTTAAACGATCCTTTACACAGAGCAGATTTGAAACACTGTTTTTCTGGAATTTGCAAGTGGAGATTTCAGCCGCTTTGAGGTCAATGGTAGAAAAGGAAATATCTTCGTATAAAAACTAGACAGAATGATTCTCAGAAACTCCTTTGTGATGTGTGCGTTCAACTCACAGAGTTTAACCTTTCTTTTCACAGAGCAGTTAGGAAACACTCTGTTTGTGAAGCCTGCCAGTGGATATTCGGACCTCTTTGAGGCCTTCGTTAGAAACGGGATTTCTTCATATTATGCTAGACAGAAGATTTCTCAGTAACTTCTTTGTGTTGTGTGTATGCAACTCACAGAGTTCAACCTTCCTATAGACAGAGCAGATTTGAAACACTCTTTTTGTGGAATTTGCAAGTGGAGATTTCAAGCGCTTCGATGCCAATGGTAGAAAAGGAAATATCTTCGTATAAAAACAAGACAAACTCGTTCCCAGACACTGCGTAGTGATGTGTGTGTTTAACTCACAGAGTTTAACCTTTCTTTTCATACAGCATTCTGGAAACCCTCTGTTTGTAAAGTCTGCAAGTGGATATTTGGACCTCTTAGATGCCTTCGTTGGAAACGGGATTTCTTCATATAATGCTAGAGGGAAGAATTCTTAGTAACTTCTTTGTGTTGTGTGTATTCAACTGACAGAGTTGAACCTTCCTTTAGACAGAGCAGATTTGAAAGTCTCTTTTTGTGGAATTTGCAAGTGGAGATTTCAAGCACTTTGAGGCCAAAAGCAGAAAAGGAAATATTTTCCTATAAAAACTAGACAGAATCTTTCTCAGAAACTGCTCTGGGATGTGTGCGTTCAACTCACAGAGTTTAACTTTTCTTTTCATTCAGCAGTTTGGAAACACTCTGTTTGGAAAGTCTGCACGTGGATATTTTGACCTCTTTGAGGCCTTCGTTGGAAACGGGTTTTTTTCATGTAAGGCTAGACAGAAGAAATCTCAGTAACTTCCTTGTGTTGTGTGTATTCAACTGACAGAGTTGAACCTTCTTTTAGACAGAGCAGATTCGAAACACTCTTTTTCTGCAATTTGCAAGTGGAGACTTCAAGCGCTTTGAGGCCAAAGGCAGAAAAGGAAATATCTTCGTATAAAAACCCGACAGAATCATTCTCAGAAACTGCTCTGTGATGTGTGCGTTCAACTCACAGAGTTTAACTTTTCTTTTCATTCAGCAGTTTGGAAACACTCTGTTTGTAAAGTCTGCAAGTGGATATCTTGGCCTCTTAGAGGCCTTCGTTGGAAAAGGGTTTTTTCATGTAAGGTTAGAGAGGGGAATTCCCAGTAACTTCCTTGTGTTGTGTGCATTCAACTCACAGAGTTGAATGATTCTTTACACAGAGCAGATTGGAGACACTCTTTTGGTGGAATTTGTAAGTGGAGAATTCAGCCGCTTTGAGATCAATGGTAGAAAAGGAAATATCTTCGTATAAAAACTAGACACAATGATTCTCAGAAACTGTTTTGTGATGTGTGCGTTCAACTCACAGAGTTTAACCTTCCTTTTCAAAGAGCAGTTAGGAAACACTCTGTTTGTAAAGTCTGCAAGTGGATATTCAGACCTCTTTGAGGCCTTCGTTGGAAACGGGATTTCTTCATATTATGCTAGACAGATGAATTCTCAGTAACTTCCTTGTGTTGTGTGTATTCAACTCACAGAGTTGAACGATCCTTTACACAGAGCAGATTTGAAACACTGTTTTTCTGGAATTTGCAAGTGGAGATTTCAGCCGCTTTGAGGTCAATGGTAGAAAAGGAAATATCTTCGTATAAAAACTAGACAGAATGATTCTCAGAAACTCCTTTGTGATGTGTGCGTTCAACTCACAGGGTTTAACCTTTCTTTTCACAGAGCAGTTAGGAAACACTCTGTTTGTGAAGCCTGCCAGTGGATATTCGGACCTCTTTGAGGCCTTCGTTGGAAACGGGATTTCTTCATATTATGCTAGACAGAAGATTTCTCAGTAACTTCTTTGTGTTGTGTGTATGCAACTCACAGAGTTCAACCTTCCTTTAGACAGAGCAGATTTGAAACACTCTTTTTGTGGAATTTGCAAGTGGAGATTTCAAGCGCTTCGATGCCAATGGTAGAAAAGGAAATATCTTCGTATAAAAACAAGACAAACTCGTTCCCAGACACTGCGTAGTGATGTGTGTGTTTAACTCACAGAGTTTCACCTTTCTTTTCATACAGCATTCTGGAAACCCTCTGTTTGTAAAGTCTGCAAGTGGATATTTGGACCTCTTGGATGCCTTCGTTGCAAACGGGATTTCTTCATATAATGCTAGAGGGAAGAATTCTTAGTAACTTCTTTGTGTTGTGTGTATTCAACTGACAGAGTTGAACCTTCCTTTAGACAGAGCAGATTTGAAAGTCTCTTTTTGTGGAATTTGCAAGTGGAGATTTCAAGCGCTTTGAGGCCAAAAGCAGAAAAGGAAATATTTTCCTATAAAAACTCGACAGAATCTTTCTCAGAAACTGCTCTGGGATGTGTGCGTTCAACTCACAGAGTTTAACTTTTCTTTTCATTCAGCAGTTTGGAAACACTCTGTTTGGAAAGTCTGCACGTGGATATTTTGACCTCTTTGAGGCCTTCGTTGGAAACGGGTTTTTTTCATGTAAGGCTAGACAGAAGAAATCTCAGTAACTTCCTTGTGTTGTGTGTATTCAACTGACAGAGTTGAACCTTCCTTTAGACAGAGCAGATTCGAAACACTCTTTTTCTGCAATTTGCAAGTGGAGACTTCAAGCGCTTTGAGGCCAAAGGCAGAAAAGGAAATATCTTCGTATAAAAACCCGACAGAATCATTCTCAGAAACTGCTCTGTGATGTCTGCGTTCAACTCACATAGTTTAACTTTTCTTTTCATTCAGCAGTTTGGAAACACTCTGTTTGTAAAGTCTGCAAGTGGATATCTTGGCCTCTTAGAGGCCTTCGTTGGAAACGGGTTTTTTCATGTAAGGATAGACAGAGGAATTCCCAGTAACTTCCTTGTGTTGTGTGCATTCAACTCACAGTAGTTGAATGATTCTTTACACAGAGCAGATTTGAGACACTCTTTTGGTGGAATTTGTTAGTGGAGAATTCAGCCGCTTTGAGGTCAACGGTAGAAAAGGAAATATCTTCGTATAAAAACTAGACAGAATGATTCTCAGAAACTTTTTTGTGATGTGTGCGTTCAACTCACAGAGTTTAACCTTTCTTTTCAAAGAGCAGTTAGGAAACACTCTGTTTGTAAAGTCTGCAAGTGGATATTCAGACCTCTTTGAGGCCTTCGTTGGAAACGGGATTTCTTCATATTATGCTAGACAGATGAATTCTCAGTAACTTCCTTGTGTTGTGTGTATTCAACTCACAGAGTTGAACGATCCTTTACACAGAGCAGATTTGAAACACTGTTTTTCTGGAATTTGCAAGTGGAGATTTCAGCCGCTTTGAGGTCAATGGTAGAAAAAGAAATATCTTCGTATAAAAACTAGACAGAATGATTCTCAGAAACTCCTTTGTGATGTGTGCGTTCAACTCACAGAGTTTAACCTTTCTTTTCACAGAGCAGTTAGGAAACACTCTGTTTGTGAAGCCTGCCAGTGGATATTCGGACCTCTTTGAGGCCTTCGTTGGAAACGGGATTTCTTCATATTATGCTAGACAGAAGATTTCTCAGTAACTTCTTTGTGTTGTGTGTATGCAACTCACAGAGTTCAACCTTCCTTTAGACAGAGCAGATTTGAAACACTCTTTTTGTGGAATTTGCAAGTGGAGATTTCAAGCGCTTCGATGCCAATGGTAGAAAAGGAAATATCTTCGTATAAAAACAAGACAAACTCGTTCCCAGACACTGCGTAGTGATGTGTGTGTTTAACTCACAGAGTTTAACCTTTCTTTTCATACAGCATTCTGGAAACCCTGTGTTTGTAAAGTCTGCAAGTGGATATTTGGACCTCTTAGATGCCTTCGTTGGAAACGGGATTTCTTCATATAATGCTAGAGGGAAGAATTCTTAGTAACTTCTTTGTGTTGTGTGTATTCAACTGACAGAGTTGAACCTTCCTTTAGACAGAGCAGATTTGAAAGTCTCTTTTTGTGGAATTTGCAAGTGGAGATTTCAAGCGCTTTGAGGCCAAAAGCAGAAAAGGAAATATTTTCCTATAAAAACTCGACAGAATCTTTCTCAGAAACTGCTCTGGGATGTGTGCGTTCAACTCACAGAGTTTAACTTTTCTTTTCATTCAGCAGTTTGGAAACACTCTGTTTGGAAAGTCTGCACGTGGATATTTTGACCTCTTTGAGGCCTTCGTTGGAAACGGGTTTTTTTCATGTAAGGCTAGACAGAAGAAATCTCAGTAACTTCCTTGTGTTGTGTGTATTCAACTGACAGAGTTGAACCTTCCTTTAGACAGAGCAGATTCGAAACACTCTTTTTCTGCAATTTGCAAGTGGAGACTTCAAGCGCTTTGAGGCCAAAGGCAGAAAAGGAAATATCTTCGTATAAAAACCCGACAGAATCATTCTCAGAAACTGCTCTGTGATGTGTGCGTTCAACTCACAGAGTTTAACTTTTCTTTTCATTCAGCAGTTTGGAAACACTCTGTTTGTAAAGTCTGCAAGTGGATATCTTGGCCTCTTAGAGGCCTTCGTTGGAAACGGGTTTTTTCATGTAAGGTTAGACAGAGGAATTCCCAGTAACTTCCTTGTGTTGTGTGCATTCAACTCACAGAGTTGAATGATTCTTTACACAGAGCAGATTTGAGACACTCTTTGGGTGGAATTTGTAAGTGGAGAATTCAGCCGCTTTGAGGTCAACGGTAGAAAAGGAAATATCTTCGTATAAAAACTAGACAGAATGATTCTCAGAAACTGTTTTGTGATGTGTGCGTTCAACTCACAGAGTTTAACCTTTCTTTTCAAAGAGCAGTTAGGAAACACTCTGTAAAGTCTGCAAGTGGATATTCAGACCTCTTTGAGGCCTTCGTTGGAAACGGGATTTCTTCATATAATGCTAGAGGGAAGAATTCTTAGTAACTTCTTTGTGTTGTGTGTATTGAAATGACAGAGTTGAACCTTCCTTTAGACAGAGCAGATTTGAAAGTCTCTTTTTGTGGAATTTGCAAGTGGAGATTTCAAGCGCTTTGAGGCCAAAAGCAGAAAAGGAAATATTTTCCTATAAAAACTAGACAGAATCATTCTCAGAAACTGCTCTGTGATGTGTGTGTTCAACTCACAGAGTTTAACTTTCTTTTCATTCAGCAGTTTGGAAACACTCTGTTTGGAAAGTCTGCACGTGGATATTTTGACCTCTTTGAGGCCTTCGTTGGAAACGGGTTTTTTTCATGTAAGGCTAGACAGAAGAAATCTCAGTAACTTCCTTGTGTTGTGTGTATTTAACTGACAGAGTTGAACCTTCCTTTAGACAGAGCAGATTCGAAACGCTCTTTTTCTGCAATTTGCAAGTGGAGACTTCAAGCGCTTTGAGGCCAAGGCAGAAAAGGAAATATCTTCGTATAAAAACCCGACAGAATCATTCTCAGAAACTGCTCTGTGATGTGTGCGTTCAACTCACAGAGTTTAACTTTTCTTTTCATTCAGCAGTTTGGAAACACTCTGTTTGTAAAGTCTGCAAGTGGATATCTTGGCCTCTTAGAGGCCTTCGTTGGAAACGCGTTTTTTCATGTAAGGTTAGACAGAGGAATTCCCAGTAACTTCCTTGTGTTGTGTGCATTCAACTCACAGAGTTGAATGATTCTTTACACAGAGCAGATTTGAGACACTCTTTTGGTGGAATTTGTAAGTGGAGAATTCAGCCGCTTTGAGGTCAACGGTAGAAAAGGAAATATCTTCGTATAAAAACTAGAAAGAATGATTCTCAGAAACTGTTTTGTGATGTGTGCGTTCAACTCACAGAGTTTAACCTTTCTTTTCAAAGAGCAGTTAGGAAACACTCTGTTTTTAAAGTCTGCAAGTGGATATTCAGACCTCTTTGAAGCCTTCGTTGGAAACGGGATTTCTTCATATTATGCTAGACAGATGAATTCTCAGTAACTTCCTTGTGTTGTGTGTATTCAACTCACAGAGTTGAACGATCCTTTACACAGAGCAGATTTGAAACACTGTTTTTCTGGAATTTGCAAGTGGAGATGTCAGCCGCTTTGAGGTCAATGGTAGAAAAGGAAATATCTTCGTATAAAAACTAGACAGAATGATTCTCAGAAACTCCTTTGTGATGTGTGCGTTCAACTCACAGAGTTTAACCTTTCTTTTCACAGAGCAGTTAGGAAACACTCTGTTTGTGAAGCCTGCCAGTGGATATTCGGACCTCTTTGAGGCCTTCGTTGGAAACGGGATTTCTTCATATTATGCTAGACAGAAGATTTCTCAGTAACTTCTTTGTGTTGTGTGTATGCAACTCACAGAGTTCAACCTTCCTTTAGACAGAGCAGATTTGAAACACTCTTTTTGTGGAATTTGCAAGTGGAGATTTCAAACGCTTCGATGCCAATGGTAGAAAAGGAAATATCTTCGTATAAAAACAAGACAAACTCGTTCCCAGACACTGCGTAGTGATGTGTGTGTTTAACTCACAGAGTTTAACCTTTCTTTTCATACAGCATTCTGGAAACCCTCTGTTTGTAAAGTCTGCAAGTGGATATTTGGACCTCTTAGATGCCTTCGTTGGGAACGGGATTTCTTCATATAATGCTAGAGGGAAGAATTCTTAGTAACTTCTTTGTGTTGTGTGTATTCAACTGACAGAGTTGAACCTTCCTTTAGACAGAGCAGATTTGAAAGTCTCTTTTTGTGGAATTTGCAAGTGGAGATTTCAAGCGCTTTGAGGCCAAAAGCAGAAAAGGAAATATTTTCCTATAAAAACTCGACAGAATCTTTCTCAGAAACTGCTCTGGGATGTGTGCGTTCAACTCACAGAGTTTAACTTTTCTTTTCATTCAGCAGTTTGGAAACACTCTGTTTGGAAAGTCTGCACAGTGGATATTTTGACCTCTTTGAGGCCTTCGTTGGAAACGGGTTTTTTTCATGTAAGGCTAGACAGAAGAAATCTCAGTAACTTCCTTGTGTTGTGTGTATTCAACTGACAGAGTTGAACCTTCCTTTAGACAGAGCAGATTCGAAACACTCTTTTTCTGCAATTTGCAAGTGGAGACTTCAAGCGCTTTGAGGCCAAAGGCAGAAAAGGAAATATCTTCGTATAAAAACCCGACAGAATCACTCTCAGAAACTGCTCTGTGATGTGTGCGTTCAACTCACAGAGTTTAACTTTTCTTTTCATTCAGCAGTTTGGAAACACTCTGTTTGTAAAGTCTGCAAGTGGATATCTTGGCCTCTTAGAGGCCTTCGTTGGAAACGGGTTTTTTCATGTAAGGATAGACAGAGGAATTCCCAGTAACTTTCCTTGTGTTGTGTGCATTCAACTCACAGAGTTGAATGATTCTTTACACAGAGCAGATTTGAGACACTCTTTGGGTGGAATTTGTAAGTGGAGAATTCAGCCGCTTTGAGGTCAACGGTAGAAAAGGAAATATCTTCGTATAAAAACTAGACAGAATGATTCTCAGAAACTGTTTTGTGATGTGTGCGTTCAACTCACAGAGTTTCACCTTTCTTTTCAAAGAGCAGTTAGGAAACACTCTGTAAAGTCTGCAAGTGGATATTCAGACCTCTTTGAGGCCTTCGTTGGAAACGGGATTTCTTCATATAATGCTAGAGGGAAGAATTCTTAGTAACTTCTTTGTGTTGTGTGTATTCAACTGACAGAGTTGAACCTTCCTTTAGACAGAGCAGATTTGAAAGTCTCTTTTTGTGGAATTTGCAAGTGGAGATTTCAAGCGCTTTGAGGCCAAAAGCAGAAAAGGAAATATTTTCCTATAAAAACTAGAGAGAATCATTCTCAGAAACTGCTCTGTGATGTGTGTGTTCAACTCACAGAGTTTAACTTTCTTTTCATTCAGCAGTTTGGAAACACTCTGTTTGGAAAGTCTGCACGTGGATATTTTGACCTCTTTGAGGCCTTCGTTGGAAACGGGTTTTTTTCATGTAAGGCTAGACAGAAGAAATCTCAGTAACTTCCTTGTGTTGTGTGTATTCAACTGACAGAGTTGAACCTTCCTTTAGACAGAGCAGATTCGAAACGCTCTTTTTCTGCAATTTGCAAGTGGAGACTTCAAGCGCTTTGAGGCCAAAGGCAGAAAAGGAAATATCTTCGTATAAAAACCCGACAGAATCATTCTCAGAAACTGCTCTGTGATGTGTGCGTTCAACTCACAGAGTTTAACTTTTCTTTTCATTCAGCAGTTTGGAAACACTCTGTTTGTAAAGTCTGCAAGTGGATATCTTGGCCTCTTAGAGGCCTTCGTTGGAAACGCGTTTTTTCATGTAAGGTTAGACAGAGGAATTCCCAGTAACTTCCTTGTGTTGTGTGCATTCAACTCACAGAGTTGAATGATTCTTTACACAGAGCAGATTTGAGACACACTTTTGGTGGAATTTGTAAGTGGAGAATTCAGCCGCTTTGAGGTCAACGGTAGAAAAGGAAATATCTTCGTATAAAAACTAGAAAGAATGATTCTCAGAAACTGTTTTGTGATGTGTGCGTTCAACTCACAGAGTTTAACCTTTCTTTTCAAAGAGCAGTTAGGAAACACTCTGTTTGTAAAGTCTGCAAGTGGATATTCAGACCTCTTTGAAGCCTTCGTTGGAAACGGGATTTCATCATATTATGCTAGACAGATGAATTCTCAGTAACTTCCTTGTGTTGTGTGTATTCAACTCACAGAGTTGAACGATCCTTTACACAGAGCAGATTTGAAACACTTTTTCTGGAATTTGCAAGTGGAGATTTCAGCCGCTTTGAGGTCAATGGTAGAAAAGGAAATATCTTCGTATAAAAACTGGACAGAATGATTCTCAGAAACTCCTTTGTGATGTGTGCGTTCAACTCACAGAGTTTAACCTTTCTTTTCACAGAGCAGTTAGGAAACACTCTGTTTGTGAAGCCTGCCAGTGGATATTCGGACCTCTTTGAGGCCTTCGTTGGAAACGGGATTTCTTCATATTTTGCTAGACAGAAGATTTCTCAGTAACTTCTTTGTGTTGTGTGTATGCAACTCACAGAGTTCAACCTTCCTTTAGACAGAGCAGATTTGAAACACTCTTTTTGTGGAATTTGCAAGTGGAAATTTCAAGCGCATCGATGCCAATGGTAGAAAAGGAAATATCTTCGTATAAAAACAAGACAAACTCGTTCCCAGACACTGCGTAGTGATGTGTGTGTTTAACTCACAGAGTTTAACCTTTCTTTTCATACAGCATTCTGGAAACCCTCTGTTTGTAAAGTCTGCAAGTGGATATTTGGACCTCTTAGATGCCTTCGTTGGAAACGGGATTTCTTCATATAATGCTAGAGGGAAGAATTCTTAGTAACTTCTTTGTGTTGTGTGTATTCAACTGACAGAGTTGAACCTTCCTTTAGACAGAGCAGATTTGAAAGTCTCTTTTTGTGGAATTTGCAAGTGGAGATTTCAAGCGCTTTGAGGCCAAAAGCAGAAAAGGAAATATTTTCCTATAAAAACTAGACAGAATCTTTCTCAGAAACTGCTCTGGGATGTGTGCGTTCAACTCACAGAGTTTAACTTTTCTTTTCATTCAGCAGTTTGGAAACACTCTGTTTGGAAAGTCTGCACGTGGATATTTTGACCTCTTTGAGGCCTTCGTTGGAAACGGGTTTTTTAATGTAACGCTAGACAGAAGAAATCTCAGTATCTTCCTTGTGTTGTGTGTATTCAACTGACAGAGTTGAACCTTCCTTTAGACAGAGCAGATTCGAAACACTCTTTTTCTGCAATTTGCAAGTGGAGACTTCAAGCGCTTTGAGGCCAAAGGCAGAAAAGGAAATATCTTCGTATAAAAACCCGACAGAATCATTCTCAGAAACTGCTCTGTGATGTGTGCGTTCAACTCACAGAGTTTAACTTTTCTTTTCATTCAGCAGTTTGGAAACACTCTGTTTGTAAAGTCTGCAAGTGGATATCTTGGCCTCTTAGAGGCCTTCGTTGGAAACGGGTTTTTTCATGTAAGGATAGACAGAGGAATTCCCAGTAACTTCCTTGTGTTGTGTGCATTCAACTCACAGAGTTGAATGATTCTTTACACAGAGCAGATTTGAGACACTCTTTTGGTGGAATTTGTAAGTGGAGAATTCAGCCGCTTTGAGGTCAACGGTAGAAAAGGAAATATCTTCGTATAAAAACTAGACAGAATGATTCTCAGAAACTGTTTTGTGATGTGTGCGTTCAACTCACAGAGTTTAACCTTTCTTTTCAAAGAGCAGTTAGGAAACACTCTGTTTGTAAAGTCTGCAAGTGGATATTCAGACCTCTTTGAGGCCTTCGTTGGAAACGGGATTTCTTCATATTATGCTAGACAGATGAATTCTCAGTAACTTCCTTGTGTTGTGTGTATTCAACTCACAGAGTTGAACGATCCTTTACACAGAGCAGATTTGAAACACTGTTTTTCTGGAATTTGCAAGTGGAGATTTCAGCCGCTTTGAGGTCAATGGTAGAAAAGGAAATATCTTCGTATAAAAACTAGACAGAATGATTCTCAGAAACTCCTTTGTGATGTGTGCGTTCAACTCACAGAGTTTAACCTTTCTTTTCACAGAGCAGTTAGGGAACACTCTGTTTGTGAAGCCTGCCAGTGGATATTCGGACCTCTTTGAGGCCTTCGTTGGAAACGGGATTTCTTCATATTATGCTAGACAGAAGATTTCTCAGTAACTTCTTTGTGTTGTGTGTATGCAACTCACAGAGTTCAACCTTCCTTTAGACAGAGCAGATTTGAAACACTCTTTTTGTGGAATTTGCAAGTGGAGATTTCAAGCGCTTCGATGCCAATGGTAGAAAAGGAAATATCTTCGTATAAAAACAAGACAAACTCGTTCCCAGACACTGCGTAGTGATGTGTGTGTTTAACTCACAGAGTTTCACCTTTCTTTTCATACAGCATTCTGGAAACCCTCTGTTTGTAAAGTCTGCAAGTGGATATTTGGACCTCTTAGATGCCTTCGTTGGAAACGGGATTTCTTCATATAATGCTAGAGGGAAGAATTCTTAGTAACTTCTTTGTGTTGTGTGTATTCAACTGACAGAGTTGAACCTTCCTTTAGACAGAGCAGATTTGAAAGTCTCTTTTTGTGGAATTTGCAAGTGGAGATTTCAAGCGCTTTGAGGCCAAAAGCAGAAAAGGAAATATTTTCCTATAAAAACTCGACAGAATCTTTCTCAGAAACTGCTCTGGGATGTGTGCGTTCAACTCACAGAGTTTAACTTTTCATTCAGCAGTTTGGAAACACTCTGTTTGGAAAGTCTGCACGTGGATATTTTGACCTCTTTGAGGCCTTCGTTGGAAACGGGTTTTTTTCATGTAAGGCTAGACAGAAGAAATCTCAGTAACTTCCTTGTGTTGTGTGTATTCAACTGACAGAGTTGAACCTTCCTTTAGACAGAGCAGATTCGAAACACTCTTTTTCTGCAATTTGCAAGTGGAGACTTCAAGCGCTTTGAGGCCAAAGGCAGAAAAGGAAATATCTTCGTATAAAAACCCGACAGAATCATTCTCAGAAACTGCTCTGTGATGTGTGCGTTCAACTCACAGAGTTTAACTTTTCTTTTCATTCAGCAGTTTGGAAACACTCTGTTTGTAAAGTCTGCAAGTGGATATCTTGGCCTCTTAGAGGCCTTCGTTGGAAACGGGTTTTTTCATGTAAGGTTAGACAGAGGAATTCCCAGTAACTTCCTTGTGTTGTGTGCATTCAACTCACAGAGTTGAATGATTCTTTACACAGAGCAGATTTGAGACACTCTTTGGGTGGAATTTGTAAGTGGAGAATTCAGCCGCTTTGAGGTCAACGGTAGAAAAGGAAATATCTTCGTATAAAATCTAGACAGAATGATTCTCAGAAACTGTTTTTTGATGTGTGCGTTCAACTCACAGAGTTTAACCTTTCTTTTCAAAGAGCAGTTAGGAAACACTCTGTTTGTAAAGTCTGCAAGTGGATATTCAGACCTCTTTGAGGCCTTCGTTGGAAACGGGATTTCTTCATATTATGCTAGACAGATGAATTCTCAGTAACTTCCTTGTGTTGTGTGTATTCAACTCACAGAGTTGAACGATCCTTTACACAGAGCAGATTTGAAACACTGTTTTTCTGGAATTTGCAAGTGGAGATTTCAGCCGCTTTGAGGTCAATGGTAGAAAAGGAAATATCTTCGTATAAAAACTAGACAGAATGATTCTCAGAAACTCCTTTGTGATGTGTGCGTTCAACTCACAGAGTTTAACCTTTCTTTTCACAGAGCAGTTAGGAAACACTCTGTTTGTGAAGCCTGCCAGTGGATATTCGGACCTCTTTGAGGCCTTCGTTGGAAACGGGATTTCTTCATATTATGCTAGACAGAAGATTTCTCAGTAACTTCTTTGTGTTGTGTGTATGCAACTCACAGAGTTCAACCTTCCTTTAGACAGAGCAGATTTGAAACACTCTTTTTGTGGAATTTGCAAGTGGAGATTTCAAGCGCTTCGATGCCAATGGTAGAAAAGGAAATATCTTCGTATAAAAACAAGACAAACTCGTTCCCAGACACTGCGTAGTGATGTGTGTGTTTAACTCACAGAGTTTAACCTTTCTTTTCATACAGCATTCTGGAAACCCTGTGTTTGTAAAGTCTGCAAGTGGATATTTGGACCTCTTAGATGCCTTCGTTGGAAACGGGATTTCTTCATATAATGCTAGAGGGAAGAATTCTTAGTAACTTCTTTGTGTTGTGTGTATTCAACTGACAGAGTTGAACCTTCCTTTAGACAGAGCAGATTTGAAAGTCTCTTTTTGTGGAATTTGCAAGTGGAGATTTCAAGCGCTTTGAGGCCAAAAGCAGAAAAGGAAATATTTTCCTATAAAAACTCGACAGAATCTTTCTCAGAAACTGCTCTGGGATGTGTGCGTTCAACTCACAGAGTTTAACTTTTCTTTTCATTCAGCAGTTTGGAAACACTCTGTTTGGAAAGTCTGCACGTGGATATTTTGACCTCTTTGAGGCCTTCGTTGGAAACGGGTTTTTTTCATGTAAGGCTAGACAGAAGAAATCTCAGTAACTTCCTTGTGTTGTGTGTATTCAACTGACAGAGTTGAACCTTCCTTTAGACAGAGCAGATTCGAAACACTCTTTTTCTGCAATTTGCAAGTGGAGACTTCAAGCGCTTTGAGGCCAAAGGCAGAAAAGGAAATATCTTCGTATAAAAACCCGACAGAATCATTCTCAGAAACTGCTCTGTGATGTGTGCGTTCAACTCACAGAGTTTAACTTTTCTTTTCATTCAGCAGTTTGGAAACACTCTGTTTGTAAAGTCTGCAAGTGGATATCTTGGCCTCTTAGAGGCCTTCGTTGGAAACGGGTTTTTTCATGTAAGGTTAGACAGAGGAATTCCCAGTAACTTTCCTTGTGTTGTGTGCATTCAACTCACAGAGTTGAATGATTCTTTACACAGAGCAGTTTTGAGACACTCTTTTGGTGGAATTTGTAAGTGGAGAATTCAGCCGCTTTGAGGTCAACGGTAGAAAAGGAAATATCTTCGTATAAAAACTAGACAGAATGATTCTCAGAAACTGTTTTGTGATGTGTGCGTTCAACTCACAGAGTTTAACCTTTCTTTTCAAAGAGCAGTTAGGAAACACTCTGTTTGTAAAGTCTGCAAGAGGATATTCAGACCTCTTTGAGGCCTTCGTTGGAAACGGGATTTCTTCATATTATGCTAGACAGATGAATTCTCAGTAACTTCCTTGTGTTGTGTGTATTCAACTCACAGAGTTGAACGATCCTTTACACAGAGCAGATTTGAAACACTGTTTTTCTGGAATTTGCAAGTGGAGATTTCAGCCGCTTTGAGGTCAATGGTAGAAAAGGAAATATCTTCGTATAAAAACTAGACAGAATGATTCTCAGAAACTCCTTTGTGATGTGTGCGTTCAACTCACAGAGTTTAACCTTTCTTTTCACAGAGCAGTTAGGAAACACTCTGTTTGTGAAGCCTGCCAGTGGATATTCGGACCTCTTTGAGGCCTTCGTTGGAAACGGGATTTCTTCATATTATGCTAGTCAGAAGATTTCTCAGTAACTTCTTTGTGTTGTGTGTATGCAACTCACAGAGTTCAACCTTCCTTTAGACAGAGCAGATTTGAAACACTCTTTTTGTGGAATTTGCAAGTGGAGATTTCAAGCGCTTCGATGCCAATGGTAGAAAAGGAAATATCTTCGTATAAAAACAAGACAAACTCGTTCCCAGACACTGCGTAGTGATGTGTGTGTTTAACTCACAGAGTTTAACCTTTCTTTTCATACAGCATTCTGGAAACCCTGTGTTTGTAAAGTCTGCAAGTGGATATTTGGACCTCTTAGATGCCTTCGTTGGAAACGGGATTTCTTCATATAATGCTAGAGGGAAGAATTCTTAGTAACTTCTTTGTGTTGTGTGTATTCAACTGACAGAGTTGAACCTTCCTTTAGACAGAGCAGATTTGAAAGTCTCTTTTTGTGGAATTTGCAAGTGGAGATTTCAAGCGCTTTGAGGCCAAAAGCAGAAAAGGAAATATTTTCCTATAAAAACTCGACAGAATCTTTCTCAGAAACTGCTCTGGGATGTGTGCGTTCAACTCACAGAGTTTAACTTTTCTTTTCATTCAGCAGTTTGGAAACACTCTGTTTGGAAAGTCTGCACGTGGATATTTTGACCTCTTTGAGGCCTTCGTTGGAAACGGGTTTTTTTCATGTAAGGCTAGACAGAAGAAATCTCAGTAACTTCCTTGTGTTGTGTGTATTCAACTGACAGAGTTGAACCTTCCTTTAGACAGAGCAGATTCGAAACACTCTTTTTCTGCAATTTGCAAGTGGAGACTTCAAGCGCTTTGAGGCCAAAGGCAGAAAAGGAAATATCTTCGTATAAAAACCCGACAGAATCATTCTCAGAAACTGCTCTGTGATGTGTGCGTTCAACTCACAGAGTTTAACTTTTCTTTTCATTCAGCAGTTTGGAAACACTCTGTTTGTAAAGTCTGCAAGTGGATATCTTGGCCTCTTAGAGGCCTTCGTTGGAAACGGGTTTTTTCATGTAAGGTTAGACAGAGGAATTCCCAGTAACTTCCTTGTGTTGTGTGCATTCAACTCACAGAGTTGAATGATTCTTTACACAGAGCAGATTTGAGACACTCTTTTGGTGGAATTTGTAAGTGGAGAATTCAGCCGCTTTGAGGTCAACGGTAGAAAAGGAAATATCTTCGTATAAAAACTAGACAGAATGATTCTCAGAAACTGTTTTGTGATGTGTGCGTTCAACTCACAGAGTTTAACCTTTCTTTTCAAAGAGCAGTTAGGAAACACTCTGTTTGTAAAGTCTGCAAGTGGATATTCAGACCTCTTTGAGGCCTTCGTTGGAAACGGGATTTCTTCATATTATGCTAGACAGATGAATTCTCAGTAACTTCCTTGTGTTGTGTGTATTCAACTCACAGAGTTGAACGATCCTTTACACAGAGCAGATTTGAAACACTGTTTTTCTGGAATTTGCAAGTGGAGATTTCAGCCGCTTTGAGGTCAATGGTAGAAAAGGAAATATCTTCGTATAAAAACTAGACAGAATGATTCTCAGAAACTCCTTTGTGATGTGTGCGTTCAACTCACAGGGTTTAACCTTTCTTTTCACAGAGCAGTTAGGAAACACTCTGTTTGTGAAGCCTGCCAGTGGATATTCGGACCTCTTTGAGGCCTTCGTTGGAAACGGGATTTCTTCATATTATGCTAGACAGAAGATTTCTCAGTAACTTCTTTGTGTTGTGTGTATGCAACTCACAGAGTTCAACCTTCCTTTAGACAGAGCAGATTTGAAACACTCTTTTTGTGGAATTTGCAAGTGGAGATTTCAAGCGCTTCGATGCCAATGGTAGAAAAGGAAATATCTTCGTATAAAAACAAGACAAACTCGTTCCCAGACACTGCGTAGTGATGTGTGTGTTTAACTCACAGAGTTTAACCTTTCTTTTCATACAGCATTCTGGAAACCCTGTGTTTGTAAAGTCTGCAAGTGGATATTTGGACCTCTTAGATGCCTTCGTTGGAAACGGGATTTCTTCATATAATGCTAGAGGGAAGAATTCTTAGTAACTTCTTTGTGTTGTGTGTATTCAACTGACAGAGTTGAACCTTCCTTTAGACAGAGCAGATTTGAAAGTCTCTTTTTGTGGAATTTGCAAGTGGAGATTTCAAGCGCTTTGAGGCCAAAAGCAGAAAAGGAAATATTTTCCTATAAAAACTCGACAGAATCATTCTCAGAAACTGCTCTGTGATGTGTGCGTTCAACTCACAGAGTTTAACTTTTCTTTTCATTCAGCAGTTTGGAAACACTGTTTGGAAAGTCTGCACGTGGATATTTTGACCTCTTTGAGGCCTTCGTTGGAAACGGGTTTTTTTCATGTAAGGCTAGACAGAAGAAATCTCAGTAACTTCCTTGTGTTGTGTGTATTCAACTGACAGAGTTGAACCTTCCTTTAGACAGAGCAGATTCGAAACAATCTTTTTCTGCAATTTGCAAGTGGAGACTTCAAGCGCTTTGAGGCCAAAGGCAGAAAAGGGAATATCTTCGTATAAAAACCCGACAGAATCATTCTCAGAAACTGCTCTGTGATGTGTGCGTTCAACTCACAGAGTTTAACTTTTCTTTTCATTCAGCAGTTTGGAAACACTCTGTTTGTAAAGTCTGCAAGTGGATATCTTGGCCTCTTAGAGGCCTTCGTTGGAAACGGGTTTTTTCATGTAAGGTTAGACAGAGGAATTCCCAGTAACTTCCTTGTGTTGTGTGCATTCAACTCACAGAGTTGAATGATTCTTTACACAGAGCAGATTTGAGACACTCTTTTGGTGGAATTTGTTAGTGGAGAATTCAGCCGCTTTGAGGTCAACGGTAGAAAAGGAAATATCTTCGTATAAAAACTAGACAGAATGATTCTCAGAAACTGTTTTGTGATGTGTGCGTTCAACTCACAGAGTTTAACCTTTCTTTTCAAAGAGCAGTTAGGAAACACTCTGTTTGTAAAGTCTGCAAGTGGATATTCAGACCTCTTTGAGGCCTTCGTTGGAAACGGGATTTCTTCATATTATGCTAGACAGATGAATTCTCAGTAACTTCCTTGTGTTGTGTGTATTCAACTCACAGAGTTGAACGATCCTTTACACAGAGCAGATTTGAAACACTGTTTTTCTGGAATTTGCAAGTGGAGATTTCAGCCGCTTTGAGGTCAATGGTAGAAAAAGAAATATCTTCGTATAAAAACTAGACAGAATGATTCTCAGAAACTCCTTTGTGATGTGTGCGTTCAACTCACAGAGTTTAACCTTTCTTTTCACAGAGCAGTTAGGAAACACTCTGTTTGTGAAGCCTGCCAGTGGATATTCGGACCTCTTTGAGGCCTTCGTTGGAAACGGGATTTCTTCATATTATGCTAGACAGAAGATTTCTCAGTAACTTCTTTGTGTTGTGTGTATGCAACTCACAGAGTTCAACCTTCCTTTAGACAGAGCAGATTTGAAACACTCTTTTTGTGGAATTTGCAAGTGGAGATTTCAAGCGCTTCGATGCCAATGGTAGAAAAGGAAATATCTTCGTATAAAACAAGACAAAACTCGTTCCCAGACACTGCGTAGTGATGTGTGTGTTTAACTCACAGAGTTTCACCTTTCTTTTCATACAGCATTCTGGAAACCCTCTGTTTGTAAAGTCTGCAAGTGGATATTTGGACCTCTTAGATGCCTTCGTTGGAAACGGGATTTCTTCATATAATGCTAGAGGGAAGAATTCTTAGTAACTTCTTTGTGTTGTGTGTATTCAACTGACAGAGTTGAACCTTCCTTTAGACAGAGCAGATTTGAAAGTCTCTTTTTGTGGAATTTGCAAGTGGAGATTTCAAGCGCTTTGAGGCCAAAAGCAGAAAAGGAAATATTTTCCTATAAAAACTAGACAGAATCTTTCTCAGAAACTGCTCTGGGATGTGTGCGTTCAACTCACAGAGTTTAACTTTTCTTTTCATTCAGCAGTTTGGAAACACTCTGTTTGGAAAGTCTGCACGTGGATATTTTGACCTCTTTGAGGCCTTCGTTGGAAACGGGTTTTTTTCATGTAAGGCTAGACAGAAGAAATCTCAGTAACTTCCTTGTGTTGTGTGTATTCAACTGACAGAGTTGAACCTTCCTTTAGACAGAGCAGATTCGAAACACTCTTTTTCTGCAATTTGCAAGTGGAGACTTCAAGCGCTTTGAGGCCAAAGGCAGAAAAGGAAATATCTTCGTATAAAAACCCGACAGAATCATTCTCAGAAACTGCTCTGTGATGTGTGCGTTCAACTCACAGAGTTTAACTTTTCTTTTCATTCAGCAGTTTGGAAACACTCTGTAAAGTCTGCAAGTGGATATCTTGGCCTCTTAGAGGCCTTCGTTGGAAGCGGGTTTTTTCATGTAAGGTTAGACAGAGGAATTCCCAGTAACTTCCTTGTGTTGTGTGCATTCAACTCACAGAGTTGAATGATTCTTTACACAGAGCAGATTTGAGACACTCTTTTGGTGGAATTTGTAAGTGGAGAATTCAGCCGCTTTGAGGTCAACGGTAGAAAAGGAAATATCTTCGTATAAAAACTAGACAGAATGATTCTCAGAAACTGTTTTGTGATGTGTGCGTTCAACTCACAGAGTTTAACCTTTCTTTTCAAAGAGCAGTTAGGAAGCACTCTGTTTGTAAAGTCTGCAAGTGGATATTCAGACCTCTTTGAGGCCTTCGTTGGAAACGGGATTTCTTCATATTATGCTAGACAGATGAATTCTCAGTAACTTCCTTGTGTTGTGTGTATTCAACTCACAAGAGTTGAACGATCCTTTACACAGAGCAGATTTGAAACACTGTTTTTCTGGAATTTGCAAGTGGAGATTTCAGCCGCTTTGAGGTCAATGGTAGAAAAGGAAATATCTTCGTATAAAAACTAGACAGAATGATTCTCAGAAACTCCTTTGTGATGTGTGCGTTCAACTCACAGAGTTTAACCTTTCTTTTCACAGAGCAGTTAGGAAACACTCTGTTTGTGAAGCCTGCCAGTGGATATTCGGACCTCTTTGAGGCCTTCGTTGGAAACGGGATTTCTTCATATTATGCTAGACAGAAGATTTCTCAGTAACTTCTTTGTGTTGTGTGTATGCAACTCACAGAGTTCAACCTTCCTTTAGACAGAGCAGATTTGAAACACTCTTTTTGTGGAATTTGCAAGTGGAGATTTCAAGCGCTTCGATGCCAATGGTAGAAAAGGAAATATCTTCGTATAAAAACAAGACAAACTCGTTCCCAGACACTGCGTAGTGATGTGTGTGTTTAACTCACAGAGTTTAACCTTTCTTTTCATACAGCATTCTGGAAACCCTGTGTTTGTAAAGTCTGCAAGTGGATATTTGGACCTCTTAGATGCCTTCGTTGGAAACGGGATTTCTTCATATAATGCTAGAGGGAAGAATTCTTAGTAACTTCTTTGTGTTGTGTGTATTCAACTGACAGAGTTGAACCTTCCTTTAGACAGAGCAGATTTGAAAGTCTCTTTTTGTGGAATTTGCAAGTGGAGATTTCAAGCGCTTTGAGGCCAAAAGCAGAAAAGGAAATATTTTCCTATAAAAACTCGACAGACTCATTCTCAGAAACTACTCTGTGATGTGTGCGTTCAACTCACAGAGTTTAACTTTTCTTTTCATTCAGCAGTTTGGAAACACTGTTTGGAAAGTCTGCACGTGGATATTTTGACCTCTTTAAGGCCTTCGTTGGAAACGGGTTATTTTTATGTAAGGCTAGACAGAAGAAATCTCAGTAACTTCCTTGTGTTGTGTGTATTCAACTGACAGAGTTGAACCTTCCTTTAGACAGAGCAGATTCGAAACACTCTTTTTCTGCAATTTGCAAGTGGAGACTTCAAGCGCTTTGAGGCCAAAGGCAGAAAAGGAAATATCTTCGTATAAAAACCCGACAGAATCATTCTCAGAAACTGCTCTGTGATGTGTGCGTTCAACTCACAGAGTTTAACTTTTCTTTTCATTCAGCAGTTTGGAAACACTCTGTTTGTAAAGTCTGCAAGTGGATATCTTGGCCTCTTAGAGGCCTTCGTTGGAAACGGGTTTTTTCATGTAAGGTTAGACAGAGGAATTCCCAGTAACTTCCTTGTGTTGTGTGCATTCAACTCACAGAGTTGAATGATTCTTTACACAGAGCAGATTTGAGACACTCTTTTGGTGGAATTTGTTAGTGGAGAATTCAGCCGCTTTGAGGTCAACGGTAGAAAAGGAAATATCTTCGTATAAAAACTAGACAGAATGATTCTCAGAAACTGTTTTGTGATGTGTGCGTTCAACTCACAGAGTTTAACCTTTCTTTTCAAAGAGCAGTTAGGAAACACTCTGTTTGTAAAGTCTGCAAGTGGATATTCAGACCTCTTTGAGGCCTTCGTTGGAAACGGGATTTCTTCATATTATGCTAGACAGATGAATTCTCAGTAACTTCCTTGTGTTGTGTGTATTCAACTCACAGAGTTGAACGATCCTTTACACAGAGCAGATTTGAAACACTGTTTTTCTGGAATTTGCAAGTGGAGATTTCAGCCGCTTTGAGGTCAATGGTAGAAAAGGAAATATCTTCGTATAAAAACTAGACAGAATGATTCTCAGAAACTCCTTTGTGATGTGTGCGTTCAACTCACAGAGTTTAACCTTTCTTTTCACAGAGCAGTTAGGAAACACTCTGTTTGTGAAGCCTGCCAGTGGATATTCGGACCTCTTTGAGGCCTTCGTTGGAAACGGGATTTCTTCATATTATGCTAGACAGAAGATTTCTCAGTAACTTCTTTGGGTTGTGTGTATGCAACTCACAGAGTTCAACCTTCCTTTAGACAGAGCAGATTTGAAACACTCTTTTTGTGGAATTTGCAAGTGGAGATTTCAAGCGCTTCGATGCCAATGGTAGAAAAGGAAATATCTTCGTATAAAAACAAGACAAACTCGTTCCCAGACACTGCGTAGTGATGTGTGTGTTTAACTCACAGAGTTTAACCTTTCTTTTCATACAGCATTCTGGAAACCCTCTGTTTGTAAAGTCTGCAAGTGGATATTTGGACCTCTTAGATGCCTTCGTTGGAAACGGGATTTCTTCATATAATGCTAGAGGGAAGAATTCTTAGTAACTTCTTTGTGTTGTGTGTATTCAACTGACAGAGTTGAACCTTCCTTTAGACAGAGCAGATTTGAAAGTCTCTTTTTGTGGAATTTGCAAGTGGAGATTTCAAGCGCTTTGAGGCCAAAAGCAGAAAAGGAAATATTTTCCTATAAAAACTAGACAGAATCTTTCTCAGAAACTGCTCTGGGATGTGTGTGTTCAACTCACAGAGTTTAACTTTCTTTTCATTCAGCAGTTTGGAAACACTCTGTTTGGAAAGTCTGCACGTGGATATTTTGACCTCTTTGAGGCCTTCGTTGGAAACGGGTTTTTTTCATGTAAGGCTAGACAGAAGAAATCTCAGTAACTTCCTTGTGTTGTGTGTATTCAACTGACAGAGTTGAACCTTCCTTTAGACAGAGCAGATTCGAAACACTCTTTTTCTGCAATTTGCAAGTGGAGACTTCAAGCACTTTGAGGCCAAAGGCAGAAAAGGAAATATCTTCGTATAAAAACCCGACAGAATCATTCTCAGAAACTGCTCTGTGATGTGTGCGTTCAACTCACAGAGTTTAACTTTTCTTTTCATTCAGCAGTTTGGAAACACTCTGTTTGTAAAGTCTGCAAGTGGATATCTTGGCCTCTTAGAGGCCTTCGTTGGAAACGGGTTTTTTCATGTAAGGTTAGACAGAGGAATTCCCAGTAACTTCCTTGTGTTGTGTGCATTCAACTCACAGAGTTGAATGATTCTTTACACAGAGCAGATTTGAGACACTCTTTGGGTGGAATTTGTAAGTGGAGAATTCAGCCGCTTTGAGGTCAACGGTAGAAAAGGAAATATCTTCGTATAAAAACTAGACAGAATGATTCTCAGAAACTGTTTTGTGATGTGTGCGTTCAACTCACAGAGTTTAACCTTTCTTTTCAAAGAGCAGTTAGGAAACACTCTGTAAAGTCTGCAAGTGGATATTCAGACCTCTTTGAGGCCTTCGTTGGAAACGGGATTTCTTCATATTATGCTAGACAGATGAATTCTCAGTAACTTCCTTGTGTTGTGTGTATTCAACTCACAGAGTTGAACGATCCTTTACACAGAGCAGATTTGAAACACTGTTTTTCTGGAATTTGCAAGTGGAGATTTCAGCCGCTTTGAGGTCAATGGTAGAAAAGGAAATATCTTCGTATAAAAACTAGACAGAATGATTCTCAGAAACTCCTTTGTGATGTGTGCGTTCAACTCACAGAGTTTAACCTTTCTTTTCACAGAGCAGTTAGGAAACACTCTGTTTGTGAAGCCTGCCAGTGGATATTCAGACCTCTTTCAGGCCTTCGTTGGAAACGGGATTTCTTCATATTATGCTAGACAGAAGATTTCTCAGTAACTTCTTTGTGTTGTGTGTATGCAACTCACAGAGTTCAACCTTCCTTTAGACAGAGCAGATTTGAAACACTCTTTTTGTGGAATTTGCAAGTGGAGATTTCAAGCGCTTCGATGCCAATGGTAGAAAAGGAAATATCTTCGTATAAAAACAAGACAAACTCGTTCCCAGACACTGCGTAGTGATGTGTGTGTTTAACTCACAGAGTTTAACCTTTCTTTTCATACAGCATTCTGGAAACCCTCTGTTTGTAAAGTCTGCAAGTGGATATTTGGACCTCTTAGATGCCTTCGTTGGAAACGGGATTTCTTCATATAATGCTAGAGGGAAGAATTCTTAGTAACTTCTTTGTGTTGTGTGTATTCAACTGACAGAGTTGAACCTTCCTTTAGACAGAGCAGATTTGAAAGTCTCTTTTTGTGGAATTTGCAAGTGGAGATTTCAAGCGCTTTGAGGCCAAAAGCAGAAAAGGAAATATTTTCCTATAAAAACTCGACACAATCTTTCTGAGAAACTGCTCTGGGATGTGTGCGTTCAACTCACAGAGTTTAACTTTTCTTTTCATTCAGCAGTTTAGAAACACTCTGTTTGGAAAGTCTGCACGTGGATATTTTGACCTCTTTGAGGCCTTCGTTGGAAACGGGTTTTTTTCATGTAAGGCTAGACAGAAGAAATCTCAGTAACTTCCTTGTGTTGTGTGTATTCAACTGACAGAGTTGAACCTTCCTTTAGACAGAGCAGATTCGAAACACTCTTTTTCTGCAATTTGCAAGTGGAGACTTCAAGCGCTTTGAGGCCAAAGGCAGAAAAGGAAATATCTTCGTATAAAAACCCGACAGAATCATTCTCAGAAACTGCTCTGTGATGTGTGCGTTCAACTCACAGAGTTTAACTTTTCTTTTCATTCAGCAGTTTGGAAACACTCTGTTTGTAAAGTCTGCAAGTGGATATCTTGGCCTCTTAGAGGCCTTCGTTGGAAACGGGTTTTTTCATGTAAGGTTAGACAGAGGAATTCCCAGTAACTTCCTTGTGTTGTGTGCATTCAACTCACAGAGTTGAATGATTCTTTACACAGAGCAGATTTGAGACACTCTTTTGGTGGAATTTGTAAGTGGAGAATTCAGCTGCTTTGAGGTCAACGGTAGAAAAGGAAATATCTTCGTATAAAAACTAGAATGATTCTCAGAAACTGTTTTGTGATGTGTGCGTTCAACTCACAGAGTTTAACCTTTCTTTTCAAAGAGCAGTTAGGAAACACTCTGTTTGTAAAGTCTGCAAGTGGATATTCAGACCTCTTTGAGGCCTTCGTTGGAAACGGGATTTCTTCATATTATGCTAGACAGATGAATTCTCAGTAACTTCCTTGTGTTGTGTGTATTCAACTCACAGAGTTGAACGATCCTTTACACAGAGCAGATTTGAAACACTGTTTTTCTGGAATTTGCAAGTGGAGATTTCAGCCGCTTTGAGGTCAATGGTAGAAAAGGAAATATCTTCGTATAAAAACTAGACAGAATGATTCTCAGAAACTCCTTTGTGATGTGTGCGTTCAACTCACAGAGTTTAACCTTTCTTTTCACAGAGCAGTTAGGAAACACTCTGTTTGTGAAGCCTGCCAGTGGATATTCGGACCTCTTTGAGGCCTTCGTTGGAAACGGGATTTCTTCATATTATGCTAGACAGAAGATTTCTCAGTAACTTCTTTGTGTTGTGTGTATGCAACTCACAGAGTTCAACCTTCCTTTAGACAGAGCAGATTTGAAACACTCTTTTTGTGGAATTTGCAAGTGGAGATTTCAAGCGCTTCGATGCCAATGGTAGAAAAGGAAATATCTTCGTATAAAAACAAGACAAACTCGTTCCCAGACACTGCGTAGTGATGTGTGTGTTTAACTCACAGAGTTTCACCTTTCTTTTCATACAGCATTCTGGAAACCCTGTGTTTGTAAAGTCTGCAAGTGGATATTTGGACCTCTTAGATGCCTTCGTTGGAAACGGGATTTCTTCATATAATGCTAGAGGGAAGAATTCTTAGTAACTTCTTTGTGTTGTGTGTATTCAACTGACAGAGTTGAACCTTCCTTTAGACAGAGCAGATTTGAAAGTCTCTTTTTGTGGAATTTGCAAGTGGAGATTTCAAGCGCTTTGAGGCCAAAAGCAGAAAAGGAAATATTTTCCTATAAAAACTCGACAGAATCTTTCTCAGAAACTGCTCTGGGATGTGTGCGTTCAACTCACAGAGTTTAACTTTTCTTTTCATTCAGCAGTTTGGAAACACTCTGTTTGGAAAGTCTGCACTTGGATATTTTGACCTCTTTGAGGCCTTCGTTGGAAACGGGTTTTTTTCATGTAAGGCTAGACAGAAGAAATCTCAGTAACTTCCTTGTGTTGTGTGTATTCAACTGACAGAGTTGAACCTTCCTTTAGACAGAGCAGATTCGAAACACTCTTTTTCTGCAATTTGCAAGTGGAGACTTCAAGCGCTTTGAGGCCAAAGGCAGAAAAGGAAATATCTTCGTATAAAAACCCGACAGAATCACTCTCAGAAACTGCTCTGTGATGTGTGCGTTCAACTCACAGAGTTTAACTTTTCTTTTCATTCAGCAGTTTGGAAACACTCTGTTTGTAAAGTCTGCAAGTGGATATCTTGGCCTCTTAGAGGCCTTCGTTGGAAACGGGTTTTTTCATGTAAGGTTAGACAGAGGAATTCCCAGTAACTTCCTTGTGTTGTGTGCATTCAACTCACAGAGTTGAATGATTCTTTACACAGAGCAGATTTGAGACACTCTTTTGGTGGAATTTGTAAGTGGAGAATTCAGCCGCTTTGAGGTCAACGGTAGAAAAGGAAATATCTTCGTATAAAAACTAGACAGAATGATTCTCAGAAACTGTTTTGTGATGTGTGCGTTCAACTCACAGAGTTTAACCTTTCTTTTCACAGAGCAGTTAGGAAACACTCTGTTTGTAAAGTCTGCAAGTGGATATTCAGACCTCTTTGAGGCCTTCGTTGGAAACGGGATTTCTTCATATTATGCTAGACAGATGAATTCTCAGTAACTTCCTTGTGTTGTGTGTATTCAACTCACAGAGTTGAACGATCCTTTACACAGAGCAGATTTGAAACACTGTTTTTCTGGAATTTGCAAGTGGAGATTTCAGCCGCTTTGAGGTCAATGGTAGAAAAGGAAATATCTTCGTATAAAAACTAGACAGAATGATTCTCAGAAACTCCTTTGTGATGTGTGCGTTCAACTCACAGAGTTTAACCTTTCTTTTCACAGAGCAGTTAGGAAACACTCTGTTTGTGAAGCCTGCCAGTGGATAATCGGACCTCTTTGAGGCCTTCGTTGGAAACGGGATTTCTTCATATTATGCTAGACAGAAGATTTCTCAGTAACTTCTTTGTGTTGTGTGTATGCAACTCACAGAGTTCAACCTTCCTTTAGAGAGAGCATATTTGAAACACTCTTTTTGTGGAATTTGCAAGTGGAGATTTCAAGCGCTTCGATGCCAATGGTAGAAAAGGAAATATCTTCGTATAAAAACAAGACAAACTCGTTCCCAGACACTGCGTAGTGATGTGTGTGTTTAACTCACAGAGTTTCACCTTTCTTTTCATACAGCATTCTGGAAACCCTCTGTTTGTAAAGTCTGCAAGTGGATATTTGGACCTCTTAGATGCCTTCGTTGGAAACGGGATTTCTTCATATAATGCTAGAGGGAAGAATTCTTAGTAACTTCTTTGTGTTGTGTGTATTCAACTGACAGAGTTGAACCTTCCTTTAGACAGAGCAGATTTGAAAGTCTCTTTTTGTGGAATTTGCAAGTGGAGATTTCAAGCGCTTTGAGGCCAAAAGCAGAAAAGGAAATATTTTCCTATAAAAACTCGACAGAATCTTTCTCAGAAACTGCTCTGGGATGTGTGCGTTCAACTCACAGAGTTTAACTTTTCTTTTCATTCAGCAGTTTGGAAACACTCTGTTTGGAAAGTCTGCACGTGGATATTTTGACCTCTTTGAGGCCTTCGTTGGAAACGGGTTTTTTTCATGTAAGGCTAGACAGAAGAAATCTCAGTAACTTCCTTGTGTTGTGTGTATTCAACTGACAGAGTTGAACCTTCCTTTAGACAGAGCAGATTCGAAACACTCTTTTTCTGCAATTTGCAAGTGGAGACTTCAAGCGCTTTGAGGCCAAAGGCAGAAAAGGAAATATCTTCGTATAAAAACCCGACAGAATCATTCTCAGAAACTGCTCTGTGATGTGTGTGTTCAACTCACAGAGTTTAACTTTTCTTTTCATTCAGCAGTTTGGAAACACTCTGTTTGTAAAGTCTGCAAGTGGATATCTTGGCCTCTTAGAGGCCTTCGTTGGAAACGGGTTTTTTCATCTAAGGTTAGACAGAGGAATTCCCAGTAACTTCCTTGTGTTGTGTGCATTCAACTCACAGAGTTGAATGATTCTTTACACAGAGCAGATTTGAGACACTCTTTTGGTGGAATTTGTAAGTGGAGAATTCAGCCGCTTTGAGGTCAACGGTAGAAAAGGAAATATCTTCGTATAAAAACTAGACAGAATGATTCTCAGAAACTGTTTTGTGATGTGTGCGTTCAACTCACAGAGTTTAACCTTTCTTTTCAAAGAGCAGTTAGGAAACACTCTGTTTGTAAAGTCTGCAAGTGGATATTCAGACCTCTTTGAGGCCTTCGTTGGAAACGGGATTTCTTCATATTATGCTAGACAGATGAATTCTCAGTAACTTCCTTGTGTTGTGTGTATTCAACTCACAGAGTTGAACGATCCTTTACACAGAGCAGATTTGAAACACTGTTTTTCTGGAATTTGCAAGTGGAGATTTCAGCCGCTTTGAGGTCAATGGTAGAAAAAGAAATATCTTCGTATAAAAACTAGACAGAATGATTCTCAGAAACTCCTTTGTGATGTGTGCGTTCAACTCACAGAGTTTAACCTTTCTTTTCACAGAGCAGTTAGGAAACACTCTGTTTGTGAAGCCTGCCAGTGGATATTCGGACCTCTTTGAGGCCTTCGTTGGAAACGGGATTTCTTCATATTATGCTAGACAGAAGATTTCTCAGTAACTTCTTTGTGTTGTGTGTATGCAACTCACAGAGTTCAACCTTCCTTTAGACAGAGCAGATTTGAAACACTCTTTTTGTGGAATTTGCAAGTGGAGATTTCAAACGCTTCGATGCCAATGGTAGAAAAGGAAATATCTTCATACAAAAACAAGACAAACTCGTTCCCAGACACTGCGTAGTGATGTGTGTGTTTAACTCACAGAGTTTAACCTTTCTTTTCATACAGCATTCTGGGAACCCTCTGTTTGTAAAGTCTGCAAGTGGATATTTGGACCTCTTAGATGCCTTCGTTGGAAACGGGATTTCTTCATATAATGCTAGAGGGAAGAATTCTTAGTAACTTCTTTGTGTTGTGTGTATTCAACTGACAGAGTTGAACCTTCCTTTAGACAGAGCAGATTTGAAAGTCTCTTTTTGTGGAATTTGCAAGTGGAGATTTCAAGCGCTTTGAGGCCAAAAGCAGAAAAGGAAATATTTTCCTATAAAAACTAGACAGAATCTTTCTCAGAAACTGCTCTGGGATGTGTGCGTTCAACTCACAGAGTTTTTTTCTTTTCATTCAGCAGTTTGGAAACACTCTGTTTGGAAAGTCTGCACGTGGATATTTTGACCTCTTTGAGGCCTTCGTTGGAAACGGGTTTTTTTCATGTAAGGCTAGACAGAAGAAATCTCAGTAACTTCCTTGTGTTGTGTGTATTCAACTGACAGAGTTGAACCTTCCTTTAGACAGAGCAGATTCGAAACACTCTTTTTCTGCAATTTGCAAGTGGAGACTTCAAGCGCTTTGAGGCCAAAGGCAGAAAAGGAAATATCTTCGTATAAAAACCCGACAGAATCATTCTCAGAAACTGCTCTGTGATGTGTGCGTTCAACTCACAGAGTTTAACTTTTCTTTTCATTCAGCAGTTTGGAAACACTCTGTTTGTAAAGTCTGCAAGTGGATATCTTGGCCTCTTAGAGGCCTTCGTTGGAAACGGGTTTTTTCATTTAAGGTTAGACAGAGGAATTCCCAGTAACTTTCCTTGTGTTGTGTGCATTCAACTCACAGAGTTGAATGATTCTTTTCACAGAGCAGATTTGAGACACTCTTTTGGTGGAATTTGTAAGTGGAGAATTCAGCCGCTTTGAGGTCAACGGTAGAAAAGGAAATATCTTCGTATAAAAACTAGACAGAATGATTCTCAGAAACTGTTTTGTGATGTGTGCGTTCAACTCACAGAGTTTAACCTTTCTTTTCAAAGAGCAGTTAGGAAACACTCTGTTTGTAAAGTCTGCAAGTGGATATTCAGACCTCTTTGAGGCCTTCGTTGGAAACGGGATTTCTTCATATTATGCTAGACAGATGAATTCTCAGTAACTTCCTTGTGTTGTGTGTATTCAACTCACAGAGTTGAACGATCCTTTACACAGAGCAGATTTGAAACACTGTTTTTCTGGAATTTGCAAGTGGAGATTTCAGCCGCTTTGAGGTCAATGGTAGAAAAGGAAATATCTTCGTATAAAAACTAGACAGAATGATTCTCAGAAACTCCTTTGTGATGTGTGCGTTCAACTCACAGAGTTTAACCTTTCTTTTCACAGAGCAGTTAGGAAACACTCTGTTTGTGAAGCCTGCCAGTGGATATTCGGACCTCTTTGAGGCCTTCGTTGGAAACGGGATTTCTTCATATTATGCTAGACAGAAGATTTCTCAGTAACTTCTTTGTGTTGTGTGTATGCAACTCACAGAGTTCAACCTTCCTTTAGACAGAGCAGATTTGAAACACTCTTTTTGTGGAATTTGCAAGTGGAGATTTCAAGCGCTTCGATGCCAATGGTAGAAAAGGAAATATCTTCGTATAAAAACAAGACAAACTCGTTCCCAGACACTGCGTAGTGATGTGTGTGTTTAACTCACAGAGTTTAACCTTTCTTTTCATACAGCATTCTGGAAACCCTCTGTTTGTAAAGTCTGCAAGTGGATATTTGGACCTCTTAGATGCCTTCGTTGGAAACGGGATTTCTTCATATAATGCTAGAGGGAAGAATTCTTAGTAACTTCTTTGTGTTGTGTGTATTCAACTGACAGAGTTGAACCTTCCTTTAGACAGAGCAGATTTGAAAGTCTCTTTTTGTGGAATTTGCAAGTGGAGATTTCAAGCGCTTTGAGGCCAAAAGCAGAAAAGGAAATATTTTCCTATAAAAACTCGACAGAATCTTTCTCAGAAACTGCTCTGGGATGTGTGCGTTCAACTCACAGAGTTTAACTTTTCTTTTCATTCAGCAGTTTGGAAACACTCTGTTTGGAAAGTCTGCACGTGGATATTTTGACCTCTTTGAGGCCTTCGTTGGAAACGGGTTTTTTTCATGTAAGGCTAGACAGAAGAAATCTCAGTAACTTCCTTGTGTTGTGTGTATTCAACTGACAGAGTTGAACCTTCCTTTAGACAGAGCAGATTCGAAACACTCTTTTTCTGCAATTTGCAAGTGGAGACTTCAAGCGCTTTGAGGCCAAAGGCAGAAAAGGAAATATCTTCGTATAAAAACCCGACAGAATCATTCTCAGAAACTGCTCTGTGATGTGTGCGTTCAACTCACAGAGTTTAACTTTTCTTTTCATTCAGCAGTTTGGAAACACTCTGTAAAGTCTGCAAGTGGATATCTTGGCCTCTTAGAGGCCTTCGTTGGAAGCGGGTTTTTTCATGTAAGGATAGACAGAGGAATTCCCAGTAACTTCCTTGTGTTGTGTGCATTCAACTCACAGAGTTGAATGATTCTTTACACAGAGCAGATTTGAGACACTCTTTTGGTGGAATTTGTAAGTGGAGAATTCAGCCGCTTTGAGGTCAACGGTAGAAAAGGAAATATCTTCGTATAAAAACTAGACAGAATGATTCTCAGAAACTGTTTTGTGATGTGTGCGTTCAACTCACAGAGTTTAACCTTTCTTTTCAAAGAGCAGTTAGGAAACACTCTGTTTGTAAAGTCTGCAAGTGGATATTCAGACCTCTTTGAGGCCTTCGTTGGAAACGGGATTTCTTCATATTATGCTAGACAGATGAATTCTCAGTAACTTCCTTGTGTTGTGTGTATTCAACTCACAGAGTTAAACGATCCTTTACACAGAGCAGATTTGAAACACTGTTTTTCTGGAATTTGCAAGTGGAGATTTCAGCCGCTTTGAGGTCAATGGTAGAAAAGGAAATATCTTCGTATAAAAACTAGACAGAATGATTCTCAGAAACTCCTTTGTGATGTGTGCGTTCAACTCACAGAGTTTAACCTTTCTTTTCACAGAGCAGTTAGGAAACACTCTGTTTGTGAAGCCTGCCAGTGGATATTCGGACCTCTTTGAGGCCTTCGTTGGAAACGGGATTTCTTCATATTATGCTAGACAGAAGATTTCTCAGTAACTTCTTTGTGTTGTGTGTATGCAACTCACAGAGTTCAACCTTCCTTTAGACAGAGCAGATTTGAAACACTCTTTTTGTGGAATTTGCAAGTGGAGATTTCAAGCGCTTCGATGCCAATGGTAGAAAAGGAAATATCTTCGTATAAAAACAAGACAACTCGTTCCCAGACACTGCGTAGTGATGTGTGTGTTTAACTCACAGAGTTTTAACCTTTCTTTTCATACAGCATTCTGGAAACCCTGTGTTTGTAAAGTCTGCAAGTGGATATTTGGACCTCTTAGATGCCTTCGTTGGAAACGGGATTTCTTCATATAATGCTAGAGGGAAGAATTCTTAGTAACTTCTTTGTGTTGTGTGTATTCAACTGACAGAGTTGAACCTTCCTTTAGACAGAGCAGATTTGAAAGTCTCTTTTTGTGGAATTTGCAAGTGGAGATTTCAAGCGCTTTGAGGCCAAAAGCAGAAAAGGAAATATTTTCCTATGAAAACTCGACAGAATCTTTCTCAGAAACTGCTCTGGGTTGTGTGTGTTCAACTCACAGAGTTTAACTTTTCTTTTCATTCAGCAGTTTGGAAACACTCTGTTTGGAAAGTCTGCACGTGGATATTTTGACCTCTTTGAGGCCTTCGTTGGAAACGGGTTTTTTTCATGTAAGGCTAGACAGAAGAAATCTCAGTAACTTCCTTGTGTTGTGTGTATTCAACTGACAGAGTTGAACCTTCTTTTAGACAGAGCAGATTCGAAACACTCTTTTTCTGCAATTTGCAAGTGGAGACTTCAAGCGCTTTGAGGCCAAAGGCAGAAAAGGAAATATCTTCGTATAAAAACCCGACAGAATCATTCTCAGAAACTGCTCTGTGATGTGTGCGTTCAACTCACAGAGTTTAACTTTTCTTTTCATTCAGCAGTTTGGAAACACTCTGTTTGTAAAGTCTGCAAGTGGATATCTTGGCCTCTTAGAGGCCTTCGTTGGAAACGGGTTTTTCATGTAAGGTTAGACAGAGGAATTCCCAGTAACTTGCTTGTGTTGTGTGCATTCAACTCACAGAGTTGAATGATTCTTTACACAGAGCAGATTTGAGAAACTCTTTTGGTGGAATTTGTAAGTGGAGAATTCAGCCGCTTTGAGGTCAACGGTAGAAAAGGAAATATCTTCGTATAAAAACTAGACAGAATGATTCTCAGAAACTGTTTTGTGATGTGTGCGTTCAACTCACAGAGTTTAACCTTTCTTTTCAAAGAGCAGTTAGGAAACACTCTGTTTGTAAAGTCTGCAAGTGGATATTCAGACCTCTTTGAGGCCTTCGTTGGAAACGGGATTTCTTCATATTATGCTAGACAGATGAATTCTCAGTAACTTCCTTGTGTTGTGTGTATTCAACTCACAGAGTTGAACGATCCTTTACACAGAGCAGATTTGAAACACTGTTTTTCTGGAATTTGCAAGTGGAGATTTCAGCCGCTTTGAGGTCAATGGTAGAAAAAGAAATATCTTCGTATAAAAACTAGACAGATAATGATTCTCAGAAACTCCTTTGTGATGTGTGCGTTCAACTCACAGAGTTTAACCTTTCTTTTCACAGAGCAGTTAGGAAACACTCTGTTTGTGAAGCCTGCCAGTGGATATTCAGACCTCTTTGAGGCCTTCGTTGGAAACGGGATTTCTTCATATTATGCTAGACAGAAGATTTCTCAGTAACTTCTTTGTGTTGTGTGTATGCAACTTACAGAGTTCAACCTTCCTTTAGAGAGAGCATATTTGAAACACTCTTTTTGTGGAATTTGCAAGTGGAGATTTCAAGCGCTTCGATGCAAATGGTAGAAAAGGAAATATCTTCGTAGAAAAACAAGACAAACTCGTTCCCAGACACTGCGTAGTGATGTGTGTGTTTAACTCACTGAGTTTAACCTTTCTTTTCATACAGCATTCTGGAAACCCTCTGTTTGTAAAGTCTGCAAGTGGATATTTGGACCTCTTAGATGCCTTCGTTGGAAACGGGATTTCTTCGTATAATGCTAGAGGGAAGAATTCTTAGTAACTTCTTTGTGTTGTGTGTATTCAACTGACAGAGTTGAACCTTCCTTTAGACAGAGCAGATTTGAAAGTCTCTTTTTGTGGAATTTGCAAGTGGAGATTTCAAGCGCTTTGAGGCCAAAAGCAGAAAAGGAAATATTTTCCTATAAAAACTCGACAGAATCATTCTCAGAAACTGCTCTGTGATGTGTGCGTTCAACTCACAGAGTTTAACTTTTCTTTTCATTCAGCAGTTTGGAAACACTGTTTGGAAAGTCTGCACGTGGATATTTTGACCTCTTTGAGGCCTTCGTTGGAAACGGGTTTTTTTCATGTAAGGCTAGACAGAAGAAATCTCAGTAACTTCCTTGTGTTGTGTGTATTCAACTGACAGAGTTGAACCTTCCTTTAGACAGAGCAGATTCGAAACACTCTTTTTCTGCAATTTGCAAGTGGAGACTTCAAGCACTTTGAGGCCAAAGGCAGAAAAGGAAATATCTTCGTATAAAAACCCGACAGAATCATTCTCAGAAACTGCTCTGTGATGTGTGCGTTCAACTCACAGAGTTTAACTTTTCTTTTCATTCAGCAGTTTGGAAACACTCTGTTTGTAAAGTCTGCAAGTGGATATCTTGGCCTCTTAGAGGCCTTCGTTGGAAACGGGTTTTTTCATGTAAGGTTAGACAGAGGAATTCCCAGTAACTTCCTTGTGTTGTGTGCATTCAACTCACAGAGTTGAATGATTCTTTACACAGAGCAGATTTGAGACACTCTTTGGGTGGAATTTGTAAGTGGAGAATTCAGCCGCTTTGAGGTCAACGGTAGAAAAGGAAATATCTTCGTATAAAAACTAGACAGAATGATTCTCAGAAACTGTTTTGTGATGTGTGCGTTCAACTCACAGAGTTTAACCTTTCTTTTCAAAGAGCAGTTAGGAAACACTCTGTAAAATCTGCAAGTGGATATTCAGACCTCTTTGAGGCCTTCGTTGGAAACGGGATTTCTTCATATAATGCTAGAGGGAAGAATTCTTAGTAACTTCTTTGTGTTGTGTGTATTCAACTGACAGAGTTGAACCTTCCTTTAGACAGAGCAGATTTGAAAGTCTCTTTTTGTGGAATTTGCAAGTGGAGATTTCAAGCGCTTTGAGGCCAAAAGCAGAAAAGGAAATATTTTCCTATAAAAACTAGACAGAATCTTTCTCAGAAACTGCTCTGGGATGTGTGCGTTCAACTCACAGAGTTTAACTTTTCTTTTCATTCAGCAGTTTGGAAACACTCTGTTTGGAAAGTCTGCACGTGGATATTTTGACCTCTTTGAGGCCTTCGTTGGAAACGGGTTTTTTTCATGTAAGGCTAGACAGAAGAAATCTCAGTAACTTCCTTGTGTTGTGTGTATTCAACTGACAGAGTTGAACCTTCTTTTAGACAGAGCAGATTCGAAACACTCTTTTTCTGCAATTTGCAAGTGGAGACTTCAAGCGCTTTGAGGCCAAAGGCAGAAAAGGAAATATCTTCGTATAAAAACCCGACAGAATCATTCTCAGAAACTGCTCTGTGATGTGTGCGTTCAACTCACAGAGTTTAACTTTTCTTTTCATTCAGCAGTTTGGAAACACTCTGTTTGTAAAGTCTGCAAGTGGATATCTTGGCCTCTTAGAGGCCTTCGTTGGAAACGGGTTTTTTCATGTAAGGTTAGACAGAGGAATTCCCAGTAACTTCCTTGTGTTGTGTGCATTCAACTCACAGAGTTGAATGATTCTTTACACAGAGCAGATTTGAGACACTCTTTTGGTGGAATTTGTAAGTGGAGAATTCAGCCGCTTTGAGGTCAACGGTAGAAAAGGAAATATCTTCGTATAAAAACTAGACAGAATGATTCTCAGAAACTGTTTTGTGATGTGTGCTTTCAACTCACAGAGTTTAACCTTTCTTTTCAAAGAGCAGTTAGGAAACACTCTGTTTGTAAAGTCTGCAAGTGGATATTCAGACCTCTTTGAGGCCTTCGTTGGAAACGGGGTTTCTTCATATTATGCTAGACAGATGAATTCTCAGTAACTTCCTTGTGTTGTGTGTATTCAACTCACAGAGTTGAACGATCCTTTACACAGAGCAGATTTGAAACACTGTTTTTCTGGAATTTGCAAGTGGAGATTTCAGCCGCTTTGAGGTCAATGGTAGAAAAGGAAATATCTTCGTATAAAAACTAGACAGAATGATTCTCAGAAACTCCTTTGTGATGTGTGCGTTCAACTCACAGAGTTTAACCTTTCTTTTCACAGAGCAGTTAGGAAACACTCTGTTTGTGAAGCCTGCCAGTGGATATTCGGACCTCTTTGAGGCCTTCGTTGGAAACGGGATTTCTTCATATTATGCTAGACAGAAGATTTCTCAGTAACTTCTTTGTGTTTTGTGTATGCAACTCACAGAGTTCAACCTTCCTTTAGACAGAGCAGATTTGAAACACTCTTTTTGTGGAATTTGCAAGTGGAGATTTCAAGCGCTTCGATGCCAATGGTAGAAAAGGAAATATCTTCGTATAAAAACAAGACAAACTCGTTCCCAGACACTGCGTAGTGATGTGTGTGTTTAACTCACAGAGTTTAACCTTTCTTTTCATACAGCATTCTGGAAACCCTGTGTTTGTAAAGTCTGCAAGTGGATATTTGGACCTCTTAGATGCCTTCGTTGGAAACGGGATTTCTTCATATAATGCTAGAGGGAAGAATTCTTAGTAACTTCTTTGTGTTGTGTGTATTCAACTGACAGAGTTGAACCTTCCTTTAGACAGATCAGATTTGAAAGTCTCTTTTTGTGGAATTTGCAAGTGGAGATTTCAAGCGCTTTGAGGCCAAAAGCAGAAAAGGAAATATTTTCCTATAAAAACTCGACAGAATCTTTCTCAGAAACTGCTCTGGGATGTGTGCGTTCAACTCACAGAGTTTAACTTTTCTTTTCATTCAGCAGTTTGGAAACACTCTGTTTGGAAAGTCTGCACGTGGATATTTTGACCTCTTTGAGGCCTTCGTTGGAAACGGGTTTTTTTCATGTAAGGCTAGACAGAAGAAATCTCAGTAACTTCCTTGTGTTGTGTGTATTCAACTGACAGAGTTGAACCTTCCTTTAGACAGAGCAGATTCGAAACACTCTTTTTCTGCAATTTGCAAGTGGAGACTTCAAGCGCTTTGAGGCCAAAGGCAGAAAAGGAAATATCTTCGTATAAAAACCCGACAGAATCATTCTCAGAAACTGCTCTGTGATGTGTGCGTTCAACTCACAGAGTTTAACTTTTCTTTTCATTCAGCAGTTTGGAAACACTCTGTTTGTAAAGTCTGCAAGTGGATATCTTGGCCTCTTAGAGGCCTTCGTTGGAAGCGGGTTTTTTCATGTAAGGTTAGACAGAGGAATTCCCACTAACTTCCTTGTGTTGTGTGCATTCAACTCACAGAGTTGAATGATTCTTTACACAGAGCAGATTTGAGACACTCTTTTGGTGGAATTTGTAAGTGGAGAATTCAGCCGCTTTGAGGTCAACGGTAGAAAAGGAAATATCTTCGTATAAAAACTAGACAGAATGATTCTCAGAAACTGTTTTGTGATGTGTGCGTTCAACTCACAGAGTTTAACCTTTCTTTTCAAAGAGCAGTTAGGAAGCACTCTGTTTGTAAAGTCTGCAAGTGGATATTCAGACCTCTTTGAGGCCTTCGTTGGAAACGGGATTTCTTCATATTATGCTAGACAGATGAATTCTCAGTAACTTCCTTGTGTTGTGTGTATTCAACTCACAGAGTTGAACGATCCTTTACACAGAGCAGATTTGAAACACTGTTTTTCTGGAATTTGCAAGTGGAGATTTCAGCCGCTTTGAGGTCAATGGTAGAAAAGGAAATATCTTCGTATAAAAACTAGACAGAATGATTCTCAGAAACTCCTTTGTGATGTGTGCGTTCAACTCACAGAGTTTAACCTTTCTTCTCACAGAGCAGTTAGGAAACACTCTGTTTGTGAAGCCTGCCAGTGGATATTCGGACCTCTTTGAGGCCTTCGTTGGAAACGGGATTTCTTCATATTATGCTAGACAGAAGATTTCTCAGTAACTTCTTTGTGTTGTGTGTATGCAACTCACAGAGTTCAACCTTCCTTTAGACAGAGCAGATTTGAAACACTCTTTTTGTGGAATTTGCAAGTGGAGATTTCAAGCGCTTCGATGCCAATGGTAGAAAAGGAAATATCTTCGTATAAAAACAACACAAACTCGTTCCCAGACACTGCGTAGTGATGTGTGTGTTTAACTCACAGAGTTTAACCTTTCTTTTCATACAGCATTCTGGAAACCCTCTGTTTGTAAAGTCTGCAAGTGGATATTTGGACCTCTTAGATGCCTTCGTTGGAAACGGGATTTCTTCATATAATGCTAGAGGGAAGAATTCTTAGTAACTTCTTTGTGTTGTGTGTATTCAACTGACAGAGTTGAACCTTCCTTTAGACAGAGCAGATTTGAAAGTCTCTTTTTGTGGAATTTGCAAGTGGAGATTTCAAGCGCTTTGAGGCCAAAAGCAGAAAAGGAAATATTTTCCTATAAAAACTAGACAGAATCTTTCTCAGAAACTGCTCTGGGATGTGTGCGTTCAACTCACAGAGTTTAACTTTTCTTTTCATTCAGCAGTTTGGAAACACTCTGTTTGGAAAGTCTGCACGTGGATATTTTGACCTCTTTGAGGCCTTCGTTGGAAACGGGTTTTTTTCATGTAAGGCTAGACAGAAGAAATCTCAGTAACTTCCTTGTGTTGTGGGTATTCAACTGACAGAGTTGAACCTTCCTTAAGACAGAGGAGATTCAAAACACACTTTTTCTGCAATTTGCAAGTGGAGACTTCAAGCGCTTTGAGGCCAAAGGCAGAAAAGGAAATATCTTCGTATAAAAACCAGACAGAATCATTCTCATAAACTGCTCTGTGATGTGTGCGTTCAACTCACAGAGTTTAACTTTTCTTTTCATTCAGCAGTTTTGAAACACTCTGTTTTTAAAGTCTGCAAGTGGATATATTGGCATCTTAGAGGCCTTCGTTGGAAACGGGTTTTTTCATGTAAGGTTAGACAGAGGAATTCCCAGTAACTTCCTTGTGTTGTGTGCATTCAACTCGCAGAGTTGAATGATTCTTTACACAGAGCAGATTTGAGACACTCTTTTGGTGGAATTTGTAAGTGGAGAATTCAGCCGCTTTGAGGTCAACGGTAGAAAAGGAAATATCTTCGTATAAAAACTAGACAGAATGATTCTCAGAAACTGTTTTGTGATGTGTGCGTTCAACTCACAGAGTTTAACCTTTCTTTTCAAAGAGCAGTTAGGAAACACTCTGTTTGTAAAGTCTGCAAGTGGATATTCAGACCTCTTTGAGGCCTTCGTTGGAAACGGGATTTCTTCATATTATGCTAGACAGATGAATTCTCAGTAACTTCCTTGTGTTGTGTGTATTCAACTCACAGAGTTGAACGATCCTTTACACAGAGCAGATTTGAAACACTGTTTTTCTGGAATTTGCAAGTGGAGATTTCAGCCGCTTTGAGGTCAATGGTAGAAAAGGAAATATCTTCGTATAAAAACTAGACAGAATGATTCTCAGCAACTCCTTTGTGATGTGTGCGTTCAACTCACAGAGTTTAACCTTTCTTTTCACAGAGCAGTTAGGAAACACTCTGTTTGTGAAGCCTGCCAGTGGATAATCGGACCTCTTTGAGGCCTTCGTTGGAAACGGGATTTCTTCATATTATGCTAGACAGAAGATTTCTCAGTAACTTCTTTGTGTTGTGTGTATGCAACTCACAGAGTTCAACCTTCCTTTAGAGAGAGCATATTTGAAACACTCTTTTTGTGGAATTTGCAAGTGGAGATTTCAAGCGCTTCGATGCCAATGGTAGAAAAGGAAATATCTTCGTATAAAAACAAGACAAACTCGTTCCCAGACACTGCGTAGTGATGTGTGTGTTTAACTCACAGAGTTTAACCTTTCTTTTCATACAGCATTCTGGAAACCCTGTGTTTGTAAAGTCTGCAAGTGGATATTTGGACCTCTTAGATGCCTTCGTTGGAAACGGGATTTCTTCATATAATGCTAGAGGGAAGAATTCTTAGTAACTTCTTTGTGTTGTGTGTATTCAACTGACAGAGTTGAACCTTCCTTTAGACAGAGCAGATTTGAAAGTCTCTTTTTGTGGAATTTGCAAGTGGAGATTTCAAGCGCTTTGAGGCCAAAAGCAGAAAAGGAAGTATTTTCCTATAAAAACTCGACAGAATCTTTCTCAGAAACTGCTCTGGGACGTGTGCGTTCAACTCACAGAGTTTAACTTTTCTTTTCATTCAGCAGTTTGGAAACACTCTGTTTGGAAAGTCTGCACGTGGATATTTTGACCTGCTTTGAGGCCTTTGTTGGAAACGGGTTTTTTTCATGTAAGGCTAGACAGAAGAAATCTCAGTAACTTCCTTGTGTTGTGTGTATTCAACTGACAGAGTTGAACCTTCCTTTAGACAGAGCAGATTCGAAACACTCTTTTTCTGCAATTTGCAAGTGGAGACTTCAAGCGCTTTGAGGCCAAAGGCAGAAAAGGAAATATCTTCGTATAAAAACCCGACAGAATCATTCTCAGAAACTGCTCTGTGATGTGTGCGTTCAACTCACAGAGTTTAACTTTTCTTTTCATTCAGCAGTTTGGAAACACTCTGTTTGTAAAGTCTGCAAGTGGATATCTTGGCCTCTTAGAGGCCTTCGTTGGAAACGGGTTTTTTCATGTAAGGTTAGACAGAGGAATTCCCAGTAACTTCCTTGTGTTGTGTGCATTCAACTCACAGAGTTGAATGATTCTTTACACAGAGCAGATTTGAGACACTCTTTTGGTGGAATTTGTAAGTGGAGAATTCAGCCTCTTTGAGGTCAACGGTAGAAAAGGAAATATCTTCGTATAAAAACTAGACAGAATGATTCTCAGAAACTGTTTTGTGATGTGTGCGTTCAACTCACAGAGTTTAACCTTTCTTTTCAAAGAGCAGTTAGGAAACACTCTGTTTGTAAAGTCTGCAAGTGGATATTCAGACCTCTTTGAGGCCTTCGTTGGAAACGGGATTTCTTCATATTATGCTAGACAGATGAATTCTCAGTAACTTCCTTGTGTTGTGTGTATTCAACTCACAGAGTTGAACGATCCTTTACACAGAGCAGATTTGAAACACTGTTTTTCTGGAATTTGCAAGTGGAGATTTCAGCCGCTTTGAGGTCAATGGTAGAAAAGGAAATATCTTCGTATAAAAACTAGACAGAATGATTCTCAGAAACTCCTTTGTGATGTGTGCGTTCAACTCACAGAGTTTAACCTTTCTTTTCACAGAGCAGTTAGGAAACACTCTGTTTGTGAAGCCTGCCAGTGGATATTCGGACCTCTTTGAGGCCTTCGTTGGAAACGGGATTTCTTCATATTATGCTAGACAGAAGATTTTCTCAGTAACTTCTTTGTGTTGTGTGTATGCAACTCACAGAGTTCAACCTTCCTTTAGACAGAGCAGATTTGAAACACTCTTTTTGTGGAATTTGCAAGTGGAGATTTCAAGCGCTTCGATGCCAATGGTAGAAAAGGAAATATCTTCGTATAAAAACAAGACAAACTCGTTCCCAGACACTGCGTAGTGATGTGTGTGTTTAACTCACAGAGTTTCACCTTTCTTTTCATACAGCATTCTGGAAACCCTCTGTTTGTAAAGTCTGCAAGTGGATATTTGGACCTCTTAGATGCCTTCGTTGGAAACGGGATTTCTTCATATAATGCTAGAGGGAAGAATTCTTAGTAACTTCTTTGTGTTGTGTGTATTCAACTGACAGAGTTGAACCTTCCTTTAGACAGAGCAGATTTGAAAGTCTCTTTTTGTGGAATTTGCAAGTGGAGATTTCAAGCGCTTTGAGGCCAAAAGCAGAAAAGGAAATATTTTCCTATAAAAACTAGACAGAATCTTTCTCAGAAACTGCTCTGGGATGTGTGCGTTCAACTCACAGAGTTTAACTTTTCTTTTCATTCAGCAGTTTGGAAACACTCTGTTTGGAAAGTCTGCACGTGGATATTTTGACCTACTTTGAGGCCTTCGTTGGAAACGGGTTTTTTTCATGTAAGGCTAGACAGAGGAAATCTCAGTAACTTCCTTGTGTTGTGTGTATTCAACTGACAGGGTTGAACCTTCCTTTAGACAGAGCAGATTCGAAACACTCTTTTTCTGCAATTTGCAAGTGGAGACTTCAAGCGCTTTGAGGCCAAAGGCAGAAAAGGAAATATCTTCGTATAAAAACCCGACAGAATCATTCTCAGAAACTGCTCTGTGATGTGTGCGTTCAACTCACAGAGTTTAACTTTTCTTTTCATTCAGCAGTTTGGAAACACTCTGTTTGTAAAGTCTGCAAGTGGATATCTTGGCCTCTTAGAGGCCTTCATTGGAAACGGGTTTTTTCATGTAAGGTTAGACAGAGGAATTCCCAGTAACTTCCTTGTGTTGTGTGCATTCAACTCACAGAGTTGAATGATTCTTTACACAGAGCAGATTTGAGACACTCTTTTGGTGGAATTTGTTAGTGGAGAATTCAGCCGCTTTGAGGTCAACGGTAGAAAAGGAAATATCTTCGTATAAAAACTAGACAGAATGATTCTCAGAAACTTTTTTGTGATGTGTGCGTTCAACTCACAGAGTTTAACCTTTCTTTTCAAAGAGCAGTTAGGAAACACTCTGTTTGTAAAGTCTGCAAGTGGATATTCAGACCTCTTTGAGGCCTTCGTTGGAAACGGGATTTCTTCATATTATGCTAGACAGATGAATTCTCAGTAACTTCCTTGTGTTGTGTGTATTCAACTCACAGAGTTGAACGATCCTTTACACAGAGAAGATTTGAAACACTGTTTTTCTGGAATTTGCAAGTGGAGATTTCAGCCGCTTTGAGGTCAATGGTAGAAAAAGAAATATCTTCGTATAAAAACTAGACAGAATGATTCTCAGAAACTCCTTTGTGATGTGTGCGTTCAACTCACAGAGTTTAACCTTTCTTTTCACAGAGCAGTTAGGAAACACTCTGTTTGTGAAGCCTGCCAGTGGATATTCGGACCTCTTTGAGGCCTTCGTTGGAAACGGGATTTCTTCATATTATGCTAGACAGAAGATTTCTCAGTAACTTCTTTGTGTTGTGTGTATGCAACTCACAGAGTTCAACCTTCCTTTAGACAGAGCAGATTTGAAACACTCTTTTTGTGGAATTTGCAAGTGGAGATTTCAAGCGCTTCGATGCCAATGGTAGAAAAGGAAATATCTTCGTATAAAAACAAGACAAACTCGTTCCCAGACACTGCGTAGTGATGTGTGTGTTTAACTCACAGAGTTTCACCTTTCTTTTCATACAGCATTCTGGAAACCCTGTGTTTGTAAAGTCTGCAAGTGGATATTTGGACCTCTTAGATGCCTTCGTTGGAAACGGGATTTCTTCATATAATGCTAGAGGGAAGAATTCTTAGTAACTTCTTTGTGTTGTGTGTATTCAACTGACAGAGTTGAACCTTCCTTTAGACAGAGCAGATTTGAAAGTCTCTTTTTGTGGAATTTGCAAGTGGAGATTTCAAGAGCTTTGAGGCCAAAAGCAGAAAAGGAAATATTTTCCTATAAAAACTCGACAGAATCTTTCTCAGAAACTGCTCTGGGATGTGTGCGTTCAACTCACAGAGTTTAACTTTTCTTTTCATTCAGCAGTTTGGAAACACTCTGTTTGGAAAGTCTGCACGTGGATATTTTGACCTCTTTGAGGCCTTCGTTGGAAACGGGTTTTTTTCATGTAAGGCTAGACAGAAGAAATCTCAGTAACTTCCTTGTGTTGTGTGTATTCAACTGACAGAGTTGAACCTTCCTTTAGACAGAGCAGATTCGAAACACTCTTTTTCTGCAATTTGCAAGTGGAGACTTCAAGCGCTTTGAGGCCAAAGGCAGAAAAGGAAATATCTTCGTATAAAAACCCGACAGAATCATTCTCAGAAACTGCTCTGTGATGTGTGCGTTCAACTCACAGAGTTTAACTTTTCTTTTCATTCAGCAGTTTGGAAACACTCTGTTTGTAAAGTCTGCAAGTGGATATCTTGGCCTCTTAGAGGCCTTCGTTGGAAACGGGTTTTTTCATGTAAGGTTAGACAGAGGAATTCCCAGTAACTTCCTTGTGTTGTGTGCATTCAACTCACAGAGTTGAATGATTCTTTACACAGAGCAGTTTTGAGACACTCTTTTGGTGGAATTTGTAAGTGGAGAATTCAGCCGCTTTGATGTCAACGGTAGAAAAGGAAATATCTTCGTATAAAAACTAGACAGAATGATTCTCAGAAACTGTTTTGTGATGTGTGCGTTCAACTCACAGAGTTTAACCTTTCTTTTCAAAGAGCAGTTAGGAAACACTCTGTTTGTAAAGTCTGCAAGTGGATATTCAGACCTCTTTGAGGCCTTCGTTGGAAACGGGATTTCTTCATATTATGCTAGACAGATGAATTCTCAGTAACTTCCTTGTGTTGTGTGTATTCAACTCACAGAGTTGAACGATCCTTTACACAGAGCAGATTTGAAACATTGTTTTTCTGGAATTTGCAAGTGGAGATTTCAGCCGCTTTGAGGTCAATGGTAGAAAAGGAAATATCTTCGTATAAAAACTAGACAGAATGATTCTCAGAAACTCCTTTGTGATGTGTGCGTTCAACTCACAGGGTTTAACCTTTCTTTTCACAGAGCAGTTAGGAAACACTCTGTTTGTGAAGCCTGCCAGTGGATATTCGGACCTCTTTGAGGCCTTCGTTGGAAACGGGATTTCTTCATATTATGCTAGACAGAAGATTTCTCAGTAACTTCTTTGTGTTGTGTGTATGCAACTCACAGAGTTCAACCTTCCTTTAGACAGAGCAGATTTGAAACACTCTTTTTGTGGAATTTGCAAGTGGAGATTTCAAGCGCTTCGATGCCAATGGTAGAAAAGGAAATATCTTCGTATAAAAACAAGACAAACTCGTTCCCAGACACTGCGTAGTGATGTGTGTGTTTAACTCACAGAGTTTAACCTTTCTTTTCATACAGCATTCTGGAAACCCTCTGTTTGTAAAGTCTGCAAGTGGATATTTGGACCTCTTAGATGCCTTCGTTGGAAACGGGATTTCTTCATATAATGCTAGAGGGAGAATTCTTAGTAACTTCTTTGTGTTGTGTGTATTCAACTGACAGAGTTGAACCTTCCTTTAGACAGAGCAGATTTGAAAGTCTCTTTTTGTGGAATTTGCAAGTGGAGATTTCAAGCGCTTTGAGGCCAAAAGCAGAAAAGGAAATATTTTCCTATAAAAACTAGACAGAATCTTTCTCAGAAACTGCTCTGGGATGTGTGCGTTCAACTCACAGAGTTTAACTTTTCTTTTCATTCAGCAGTTTGGAAACACTCTGTTTGGAAAGTCTGCACGTGGATATTTTGACCTCTTTGAGGCCTTCGTTGGAAACGGGTGTTTTTCATGTAAGGCTAGACAGAAGAAATCTCAGTAACTTCCTTGTGTTGTGTGTATTCAACTGACAGAGTTGAACCTTCCTTTAGACAGAGCAGATTCGAAACACTCTTTTTCTGCAATTTGCAAGTGGAGACTTCAAGCGCTTTGAGGCCAAAGGCAGAAAAGGATATATCTTCGTATAAAAACCCGACAGAATCATTCTCAGAAACTGCTCTGTGATGTGTGCGTTCAACTCACAGAGTTTAACTTTTCTTTTCATTCAGCAGTTTGGAAACACTCTGTTTGTAAAGTCTGCAAGTGGATATCTTGGCCTCTTAGAGGCCTTCGTTGGAAACGGGTTTTTTCATGTAAGGTTAGACAGAGGAATTCCCAGTAACTTCCTTGTGTTGTGTGCATTCAACTCACAGAGTTGAATGATTCTTTACACAGAGCAGATTTGAGACACTCTTTGGGTGGAATTTGTAAGTGGAGAATTCAGCCGCTTTGAGGTCAACGGTAGAAAAGGAAATATCTTCGTATAAAAACTAGACAGAATGATTCTCAGAAACTGTTTTTTGATGTGTGCGTTCAACTCACAGAGTTTAACCTTTCTTTTCAAAGAGCAGTTAGGAAACACTCTGTTTGTAAAGTCTGCAAGTGGATATTCAGACCTCTTTGAGGCCTTCGTTGGAAACGGGATTTCTTCATATTATGCTAGACAGATGAATTCTCAGTAACTTCCTTGTGTTGTGTGTATTCAACTCACAGAGTTGAACGATCCTTTACACAGAGCAGATTTGAAACACTGTTTTTCTGGAATTTGCAAGTGGAGATTTCAGCCGCTTTGAGGTCAATGGTAGAAAAGCAAATATCTTCGTATAAAAACTAGACAGAATGATTCTCAGAAACTCCTTTGTGATGTGTGCGTTCAACTCACAGAGTTTAACCTTTCTTTTCACAGAGCAGTTAGGAAACACTCTGTTTGTGAAGCCTGCCAGTGGATATTCGGACCTCTTTGAGGCCTTCGTTGGAAACGGGATTTCTTCATATTATGCTAGACAGAAGATTTCTCAGTAACTTCTTTGTGTTGTGTGTATGCAACTCACAGAGTTCAACCTTCCTTTAGACAGAGCAGATTTGAAACACTCTTTTTGTGGAATTTGCAAGTGGAGATTTCAAGCGCTTCGATGCCAATGGTAGAAAAGGAAATATCTTCGTATAAAAACAAGACAAACTCGTTCCCAGACACTGCGTAGTGATGTGTGTGTTTAACTCACAGAGTTTAACCTTTCTTTTCATACAGCATTCTGGAAACCCTGTGTTTGTAAAGTCTGCAAGTGGATATTTGGACCTCTTAGATGCCTTCGTTGGAAACGGGATTTCTTCATATAATGCTAGAGGGAAGAATTCTTAGTAACTTCTTTGTGTTGTGTGTATTCAACTGACAGAGTTGAACCTTCCTTTAGACAGAGCAGATTTGAAAGTCTCTTTTTGTGGAATTTGCAAGTGGAGATTTCAAGCGCTTTGAGGCCAAAAGCAGAAAAGGAAATATTTTCCTATAAAAACTAGACAGAATCTTTCTCAGAAACTGCTCTGGGATGTGTGCGTTCAACTCACAGAGTTTAACTTTTCTTTTCATTCAGCAGTTTGGAAACACTCTGTTTGGAAAGTCTGCACGTGGATATTTTGACCTCTTTGAGGCCTTCGTTGGAAACGGGTTTTTTTCATGTAAGCTAGACAGAAGAAATCTCAGTAACTTCCTTGTGTTGTGTGTATTCAACTGACAGAGTTGAACCTTCCTTTAGACAGAGCAGATTCGAAACACTCTTTTTCTGCAATTTGCAAGTGGAGACTTCAAGCGCTTTGAGGCCAAAGGCAGAAAAGGAAATATCTTCGTATAAAAACCCGACAGAATCATTCTCAGAAACTGCTCTGTGATGTGTGCGTTCAACTCACAGAGTTTAACTTTTCTTTTCATTCAGCAGTTTGGAAACACTCTGTTTGTAAAGTCTGCAAGTGGATATCTTGGCCTCTTAGAGGCCTTCGTTGGAAACGGGTTTTTTCATGTAAGGATAGACAGAGGAATTCCCAGTAACTTTCCTTGTGTTGTGTGCATTCAACTCACAGAGTTGAATGATTCTTTTCACAGAGCAGATTTGAGACACTCTTTTGGTGGAATTTGTAAGTGGAGAATTCAGCCGCTTTGAGGTCAACGGTAGAAAAGGAAATATCTTCGTATAAAAACTAGACAGAATGATTCTCAGAAACTGTTTTGTGATGTGTGCGTTCAACTCACAGAGTTTAACCTTTCTTTTCAAAGAGCAGTTAGGAAACACTCTGTTTGTAAAGTCTGCAAGTGGATATTCAGACCTCTTTGAGGCCTTCGTTGGAAACGGGATTTCTTCATATTATGCTAGACAGATGAATTCTCAGTAACTTCCTTGTGTTGTGTGTATTCAACTCACAGAGTTGAACGATCCTTTACACAGAGCAGATTTGAAACACTGTTTTTCTGGAATTTGCAAGTGGAGATTTCAGCCGCTTTGAGGTCAATGGTAGAAAAGGAAATATCTTCGTATAAAACTAGACAGAATGATTCTCAGAAACTCCTTTGTGATGTGTGCGTTCAACTCACAGAGTTTAACCTTTCTTTTCACAGAGCAGTTAGGAAACACTCTGTTTGTGAAGTCTGCCAGTGGATATTCTGACCTCTTTGAGGCCTTCGTTGGAAACGGGTTTTCTTCATATTATGCTAGACAGATTTCTCAGTAACTACTTTGTGTTATGTGTATGCAACTCACAGAGTTCATCCTTCCCTTAGACAGAGCAGATTTGAAACACTCTTTTTGTGGAATTTGCAAGTGGAGATTTCAAGCGCTTCGACGCCAATGGTCGAAAAGGAAATATCTTCGTATAAAAACAAGACAAAATCATTCCCAGAAACTGCGTAGTGATGTGTGTGTTTAACTCACAGAGTTTCACCTTTCTTTTCATACAGAATTCTGGAAACCCTCTGTTTGTAAAGTCTGCAAGTGGATATTTGGACCTCTTAGATGCCTTCGTTGGAAACGGGATTTCGTCATATAATGGTAGAGGGAAGAATTCTCAGTAACTTCTTTGTGTTGTCTGTATTCAACTGACAGAGTTGAACCTTCCTTTAGACAGAGCAGATTTGAAAGTCTCTTTTTGTGGAATTTGCAAGTGGAGATTTCAAGCGCTTTGAGGCCAAAAGCAGAAAAGGAAATATTTTCCTATAAAAACTAGACAGAATCATTCTCAGAAACTGCTCTGTGATGTGTGCGTTCAACTCACACAGTTTAACTTTTCTTTTCATTCAGCAGTTTGGAAACACTCTGTTTGGAAAGTCTGCACGTGGATATTTTGACCTCTTTGAGGCCTTCGTTGGAAACGGGTTTTATCATGTAAGGCTAGACAGAGGAAATCTCAGTAACTTCCTTGTGTTGTGTGTATTCAACTGACAGGGTTGAACCTTCCTTTAGACAGAGCAGATTCGAAACACTCTTTTTCTGCAATTTGCAAGTGGAGACTTCAAGCGCTTTGAGGCCAAAGGCAGAAAAGGAAATATCTTCGTATAAAAACCCGACAGAATCATTCTCAGAAACTGCTCTGTGATGTGTGCGTTCAACTCACAGAGTTTAACTTTTCTTTTCATTCAGCAGTTTGGAAACACTCTGTTTGTAAAGTCTGCAAGTGGATATCTTGGCCTCTTAGAGGCCTTCATTGGAAACGGGTTTTTTCATGTAAGGTTAGACAGAGGAATTCCCAGTAACTTCCTTGTGTTGTGTGCATTCAACTCACAGAGTTGAATGATTCTTTACACAGAGCAGATTTGAGACACTCTTTTGGTGGAATTTGTTAGTGGAGAATTCAGCCGCTTTGAGGTCAACGGTAGAAAAGGAAATATCTTCGTATAAAAACTAGACAGAATGATTCTCAGAAACTGTTTTGTGATGTGTGCGTTCAACTCACAGAGTTTAACCTTTCTTTTCAAAGAGCAGTTAGGAAACACTCTGTTTGTAAAGTCTGCAAGCGGATATTCAGACCTCTTTGAGGCCTTCGTTGGAAACGGGATTTCTTCATATTATGCTAGACAGATGAATTCTCAGTAACTTCCTTGTGTTGTGTGTATTCAACGCACAGAGTTGAACGATCCTTTACACAGAGCAGATTTGAAACACTGTTTTTCTGGAATTTGCAAGTGGAGATTTCAGCCGCTTTGAGGTCAATGGTAGAAAAGGAAATATCTTCGTATAAAAACTAGACAGAATGATTCTCAGAAACTCCTTTGTGATGTGTGCGTTCAACTCACAGAGTTTAACCTTTCTTTTCACAGAGCAGTTAGGAAACACTCTGTTTGTGAAGCCTGCCAGTGGATATTCGGACCTCTTTGAGGCCTTCGTTGGAAACGGGATTTCTTCATATTATGCTAGACAGAAGATTTCTCAGTAACTTCTTTGTGTTGTGTGTATGCAACTCACAGAGTTCAACCTTCCTTTAGACAGAGCAGATTTGAAACACTCTTTTTGTGGAATTTGCAAGTGGAGATTTCAAGCGCTTCGATGCCAATGGTAGAAAAGGAAATATCTTCGTATAAAAACAAGACAAACTCGTTCCCAGACACTGCGTAGTGATGTGTGTGTTTAACTCACAGAGTTTCACCTTTCTTTTCATACAGCATTCTGGAAACCCTCTGTTTGTAAAGTCTGCAAGTGGATATTTGGACCTCTTAGATGCCTTCGTTGGAAACGGGATTTCTTCATATAATGCTAGAGGGAAGAATTCTTAGTAACTTCTTTGTGTTGTGTGTATTCAACTGACAGAGTTGAACCTTCCTTTAGACAGAGCAGATTTGAAAGTCTCTTTTTGTGGAATTTGCAAGTGGAGATTTCAAGCGCTTTGAGGCCAAAAGCAGAAAAGGAAATATTTTCCTATAAAAACTAGACAGAATCATTCTCAGAAACTGCTCTGGGATGTGTGCGTTCAACTCACAGAGTTTAACTTTTCTTTTCATTCAGCAGTTTGGAAACACTCTGTTTGGAAAGTCTGCACGTGGATATTTTGACCTCTTTGAGGCCTTCGTTGGAAACGGGTTTTTTTCATGTAAGGCTAGACAGAAGAAATCTCAGTAACTTCCTTGTGTTGTGTGTATTCAACTGACAGAGTTGAACCTTCCTTTAGACAGAGCAGATTCGAAACACTCTTTTTCTGCAATTTGCAAGTGGAGACTTCAAGCGCTTTGAGGCCAAAGGCAGAAAAGGAAATATCTTCGTATAAAAACCCGACAGAATCATTCTCAGAAACTGCTCTGTGATGTGTGCGTTCAACTCACAGAGTTTAACTTTTCTTTTCATTCAGCAGTTTGGAAACACTCTGTTTGTAAAGTCTGCAAGTGGATATCTTGGCCTCTTAGAGGCCTTCGTTGGAAACGGGTTTTTTCATGTAAGGTTAGACAGAGGAATTCCCAGTAACTTCCTTGTGTTGTGTGCATTCAACTCACAGAGTTGAATGATTCTTTACACAGAGCAGATTTGAGACACTCTTTGGGTGGAATTTGTAAGTGGAGAATTCAGCCGCTTTGAGGTCAACGGTAGAAAAGGAAATATCTTCGTATAAAAACTAGACAGAATGATTCTCAGAAACTGTTTTGTGATGTGTGCGTTCAACTCACAGAGTTTAACCTTTCTTTTCAAAGAGCAGTTAGGAAACACTCTGTAAAGTCTGCAAGTGGATATTCAGACCTCTTTGAGGCCTTCGTTGGAAACGGGATTTCTTCATATAATGCTAGAGGGAAGAATTCTTAGTAACTTCTTTGTGTTGTGTGTATTCAACTGACAGAGTTGAACCTTCCTTTAGACAGAGCAGATTTGAAAGTCTCTTTTTGTGGAATTTGCAAGTGGAGATTTCAAGCGCTTTGAGGCCAAAAGCAGAAAAGGAAATATTTTCCTATAAAAACTAGAGAGAATCATTCTCAGAAACTGCTCTGTGATGTGTGTGTTCAACTCACAGAGTTTAACTTTCTTTTCATTCAGCAGTTTGGAAACACTCTGTTTGGAAAGTCTGCACGTGGATATTTTGACCTCTTTGAGGCCTTCGTTGGAAACGGGTTTTTTTCATGTAAGGCTAGACAGAAGAAATCTCAGTAACTTCCTTGTGTTGTGTGTATTCAACTGACAGAGTTGAACCTTCCTTTAGACAGAGCAGATTCGAAACACTCTTTTTCTGCAATTTGCAAGTGGAGACTTCAAGCGCTTTGAGGCCAAAGGCAGAAAAGGAAATATCTTCGTATAAAAACCCGACAGAATCATTCTCAGAAACTGCTCTGTGATATGTGCGTTCAACTCACAGAGTTTAACTTTTCTTTTCATTCAGCAGTTTGGAAACACTCTGTTTGTAAAGTCTGCAAGTGGATATCTTGGCCTCTTAGAGGCCTTCGTTGGAAACGGGTTTTTTCATGTAAGGTTAGACAGAGGAATTCCCAGTAACTTCCTTGTGTTGTGTGCATTCAACTCACAGAGTTGAATGATTCTTTACACAGAGCAGATTTGAGACACTCTTTTGGTGGAATTTGTTAGTGGAGAATTCAGCCGCTTTGAGGTCAACGGTAGAAAAGGAAATATCTTCGTATAAAAACTAGACAGAATGATTCTCAGAAACTGTTTTGTGATGTGTGCGTTCAACTCACAGAGTTTAACCTTTCTTTTCAAAGAGCAGTTAGGAAACACTCTGTTTGTAAAGTCTGCAAGCGGATATTCAGACCTCTTTGAGGCCTTCGTTGGAAACGGGATTTCTTCATATTATGCTAGACAGATGAATTCTCAGTAACTTCCTTGTGTTGTGTGTATTCAACTCACAGAGTTGAACGATCCTTTACACAGAGCAGATTTGAAACACTCTTTTTCTGGAATTTGCAAGTGGAGATTTCAGCCGCTTTGAGGTCAATGGTAGAAAAGGAAATATCTTCGTATAAAAACTAGACAGAATGATTCTCAGAAACTCCTTTGTGATGTGTGCGTTCAACTCACAGAGTTTAACCTTTCTTTTCACAGAGCAGTTAGGAAACACTCTGTTTGTGAAGCCTGCCAGTGGATATTCGGACCTCCTTGAGGCCTTCGTTGGAAACGGGATTTCTTCATATTATGCTAGACAGAAGATTTCTCAGTAACTTCTTTGTGTTGTGTGTATGCAACTTACAGAGTTCAACCTTCCTTTAGAGAGAGCATATTTGAAACACTCTTTTTGTGGAATTTGCAAGTGGAGATTTCAAGCGCTTCGATGCCAATGGTAGAAAAGGAAATATCTTCGTATAAAAACAAGACAAACTCGTTCCCAGACACTGCGTAGTGATGTGTGTGTTTAACTCACAGAGTTTAACCTTTCTTTTCATACAGCATTCTGGAAACCCTCTGTTTGTAAAGTCTGCAAGTGGATATTTGGACCTCTTAGATGCCTTCGTTGGAAACGGGATTTCTTCATATAATGCTAGAGGGAAGAATTCTTAGTAACTTCTTTGTGTTGTGTGTATTCAACTGACAGAGTTGAACCTTCCTTTAGACAGAGCAGATTTGAAAGTCTCTTTTTGTGGAATTTGCAAGTGGAGATTTCAAGCGCTTTGAGGCCAAAAGCAGAAAAGGAAATATTTTCCTATAAAAACTAGACAGAATCATTCTCAGAAACTGCTCTGGGATGTGTGCGTTCAACTCACAGAGTTTAACTTTTCTTTTCATTCAGCAGTTTGGAAACACTCTGTTTGGAAAGTCTGCACGTGGATATTTTGACCTCTTTGAGGCCTTCATTGGAAACGGGTTTTTTTCATGTAACGCTAGACAGAAGAAATCTCAGTAACTTCCTTGTGTTGTGTGTATTCAACTGACAGAGTTGAACCTTCCTTTAGACAGAGCAGATTCGAAACACTCTTTTTCTGCAATTTGCAAGTGGAGACTTCAAGCGCTTTGAGGCCAAAGGCAGAAAAGGAAATATCTTCGTATAAAAACCCGACAGAATCATTCTCAGAAACTGCTCTGTGATGTGTGCGTTCAACTCACAGAGTTTAACTTTTCTTTTCATTCAGCAGTTTGGAAACACTCTGTTTGTAAAGTCTGCAAGTGGATATCTTGGCCTCTTAGAGGCCTTCGTTGGAAACGGGTTTTTTCATGTAAGGTTAGACAGAGGAATTCCCAGTAACTTCCTTGTGTTGTGTGCATTCAACTCACAGAGTTGAATGATTCTTTACACAGAGCAGATTTGAGACACTCTTTGGGTGGAATTTGTAAGTGGAGAATTCAGCCGCTTTGAGGTCAACGGTAGAAAAGGAAATATCTTCGTATAAAAACTAGACAGAATGATTCTCAGAAACTGTTTTGTGATGTGTGCGTTCAACTCACAGAGTTTAACCTTTCTTTTCAAAGAGCAGTTAGGAAACACTCTGTAAAGTCTGCAAGTGGATATTCAGACCTCTTTGAGGCCTTCGTTGGAAACGGGATTTCTTCATATAATGCTAGAGGGAAGAATTCTTAGTAACTTCTTTGTGTTGTGTGTATTCAACTGACAGAGTTGAACCTTCCTTTAGACAGAGCAGATTTGAAAGTCTCTTTTTGTGGAATTTGCAAGTGGAGATTTCAAGCGCTTTGAGGCCAAAAGCAGAAAAGGAAATATTTTCCTATAAAAACTAGAGAGAATCATTCTCAGAAACTGCTCTGTGATGTGTGTGTTCAACTCACAGAGTTTAACTTTCTTTTCATTCAGCAGTTTGGAAACACTCTGTTTGGAAAGTCTGCACGTGGATATTTTGACGTCTTTGAGGCCTTCGTTGGAAACGGGTTTTTTTCATGTAAGGCTAGACAAAAGAAATCTCAGTAACTTCCTTGTGTTGTGTGTATTCAACTGACAGAGTTGAACCTTCCTTTAGACAGAGCAGATTCGAAACGCTCTTTTTCTGCAATTTGCAAGTGGAGACTTCAAGCGCTTTGAGGCCAAAGGCAGAAAAGGAAATATCTTCGTATAAAAACCCGACAGAATCATTCTCAGAAACTGCTCTGTGATGTGTGCGTTCAACTCACAGAGTTTAACTTTTCTTTTCATTCAGCAGTTTGGAAACACTCTGTTTGTAAAGTCTGCAAGTGGATATCTTGGCCTCTTAGAGGCCTTCGTTGGAAACGGGTTTTTTCATGTAAGGTTAGACAGAGGAATTCCCAGTAACTTCCTTGTGTTGTGTGCATTCAACTCACAGAGTTGAATGATTCTTTACACAGAGCAGATTTGAGACACTCTTTTGGTGGAATTTGTTAGTGGAGAATTCAGCCGCTTTGAGGTCAACGGTAGAAAAGGAAATGTCTTCGTATAAAAACTAGACAGAATGATTCTCAGAAACTGTTTTGTGATGTGTGCGTTCAACTCACAGAGTTTAACCTTTCTTTTCAAAGAGCAGTTAGGAAACACTCTGTTTGTAAAGTCTGCAAGTGGATATTCAGACCTCTTTGAGGCCTTCGTTGGAAACGGGATTTCTTCATATTATGCTAGACAGATGAATTCTCAGTAACTTCCTTGTGTTGTGTGTATTCAACTCACAGAGTTGAACGATCCTTTACACAGAGCAGATTTGAAACACTGTTTTTCTGGAATTTGCAAGTGGAGATTTCAGCCGCTTTGAGGTCAATGGTAGAAAAAGAAATATCTTCGTATAAAAACTAGACAGAATGATTCTCAGAAACTCCTTTGTGATGTGTGCGTTCAACTCACAGAGTTTAACCTTTCTTTTCACAGAGCAGTTAGGAAACACTCTGTTTGTGAAGCCTGCCAGTGGATATTCGGACCTCTTTGAGGCCTTCGTTGGAAACGGGATTTCTTCATATTATGCTAGACAGAAGATTTCTCAGTAACTTCTTTGTGTTGTGTGTATGCAACTCACAGAGTTCAACCTTTCTTTAGACAGAGCAGATTTGAAACACTCTTTTTGTGGAATTTGCAAGTGGAGATTTCAAGCGCTTCGATGCCAATGGTAGAAAAGGAAATATCTTCGTATAAAAACAAGACAAACTCGTTCCCAGACACTGCGTAGTGATGTGTGTGTTTAACTCACAGAGTTTCACCTTTCTTTTCATACAGCATTCTGGAAACCCTCTGTTTGTAAAGTCTGCAAGTGGATATTTGGACCTCTTAGATGCCTTCGTTGGAAACGGGATTTCTTCATATAATGCTAGAGGGAAGAATTCTTAGTAACTTCTTTGTGTTGTGTGTATTCAACTGACAGAGTTGAACCTTCCTTTAGACAGAGCAGATTTGAAAGTCTCTTTTTGTGGAATTTGCAAGTGGAGATTTCAAGCGCTTTGAGGCCAAAAGCAGAAAAGGAAATATTTTCCTATAAAAACTAGACAGAATCTTTCTCAGAAACTGCTCTGGGATGTGTGCGTTCAACTCACAGAGTTTAACTTTTCTTTTCATTCAGCAGTTTGGAAACACTCTGTTTGGAAAGTCTGCACGTGGATATTTTGACCTCTTTGAGGCCTTCGTTGGAAACGGGTTTTTTTCATGTAAGGCTAGACAGAAGAAATCTCAGTAACTTCCTTGTGTTGTGTGTATTCAACTGACAGAGTTGAACCTTCCTTTAGACAGAGCAGATTGGAAACACTCTTGTTCTGCAATTTGCAAGTGGAGACTTCAAGCGCTTTGAGGCCAAAGGCAGAAAAGGAAATATCTTCGTATAAAAACCCGACAGAATCATTCTCAGAAACTGCTCTGTGATGTGTGCGTTCAACTCACAGAGTTTAACTTTTCTTTTCATTCAGCAGTTTGGAAACACTCTGTTTGTAAAGTCTGCAAGTGGATATCTTGGCCTCTTAGAGGCCTTCGTTGGAAACGGGTTTTTTCATGTAAGGATAGACACAGGAATTCCCAGTAACTTCCTTGTGTTGTGTGCATTCAACTCACAGAGTTGAATGATTCTTTACACAGAGCAGATTTGAGACACTCTTTTGGTGGAATTTGTAAGTGGAGAATTCAGCCGCTTTGAGGTCAACGGTAGAAAAGGAAATATCTTCGTATAAAAACTAGACAGAATGATTCTCAGAAACTGTTTTGTGATGTGTGCGTTCAACTCACAGAGTTTAACCTTTCTTTTCAGAGAGCAGTTAGGAAACACTCTGTTTGTAAAGTCTGCAAGTGGATATTCAGACCTCTTTGAGGCCTTCGTTGGAAACGGGATTTCTTCATATTATGCTAGACAGATGAATTCTCAGTAACTTCCTTGTGTTGTGTGTATTCAACTCACAGAGTTGAACGATCCTTTACACAGAGCAGATTTGAAACACTGTTTTTCTGGAATTTGCAAGTGGAGATTTCAGCCGCTTTGAGGTCAATGGTAGAAAAGGAAATATCTTCGTATAAAAACTAGACAGAATGATTCTCAGAAACTCCTTTGTGATGTGTGCGTTCAACTCACAGAGTTTAACCTTTCTTTTCACAGAGCAGTTAGGAAACACTCTGTTTGTGAAGCCTGCCAGTGGATATTCGGACCTCTTTGAGGCCTTCGTTGGAAACGGGATTTCTTCATATTATGCTAGACAGAAGATTTCTCAGTAACTTCTTTGTGTTGTGTGTATGCAACTCACAGAGTTCAACCTTCCTTTAGACAGAGCAGATTTGAAACACTCTTTTTGTGGAATTTGCAAGTGGAGATTTCAAGCGCTTCGATGCCAATGGTAGAAAAGGAAATATCTTCGTATAAAAACAAGACAAACTCGTTCCCAGACACTGCGTAGTGATGTGTGTGTTTAACTCACAGAGTTTCACCTTTCTTTTCATACAGCATTCTGGAAACCCTCTGTTTGTAAAGTCTGCAAGTGGATATTTGGACCTCTTAGATGCCTTCGTTGGAAACGGGATTTCTTCATATAATGCTAGAGGGAAGAATTCTTAGTAACTTCTTTGTGTTGTGTGTATTCAACTGACAGAGTTGAACCTTCCTTTAGACAGAGCAGATTTGAAAGTCTCTTTTTGTGGAATTTGCAAGTGGAGATTTCAAGCGCTTTGAGGCCAAAAGCAGAAAAGGAAATGTTTTCCTATAAAAACTAGACAGAATCTTTCTCAGAAACTGCTCTGGGATGTGTGCGTTCAACTCACAGAGTTTAACTTTTCTTTTCATTCAGCAGTTTGGAAACACTCTGTTTGGAAAGTCTGCACGTGGATATTTTGACCTCTTTGAGGCCTTCGTTGGAAACGGGTTTTTTTCATGTAAGGCTAGACAGAAGAAATCTCAGTAACTTCCTTGTGTTGTGTGTATTCAACTGACAGAGTTGAACCTTCTTTTAGACAGAGCAGATTCGAAACACTCTTTTTCTGCAATTTGCAAGTGGAGACTTCAAGCGCTTTGAGGCCAAAGGCAGAAAAGGAAATATCTTCGTATAAAAACCCGACAGAATCATTCTCAGAAACTGCTCTGTGATGTGTGCGTTCAACTCACAGAGTTTAACTTTTCTTTTCATTCAGCAGTTTGGAAACACTCTGTTTGTAAAGTCTGCAAGTGGATATCTTGGCCTCTTAGAGGCCTTCGTTGGAAACGGGTTTTTTCATGTAAGGTTAGACAGAGGAATTCCCAGTAACTTCCTTGTGTTGTGTGCATTCAACTCACAGAGTTGAATGATTCTTTACACAGAGCAGATTTGAGACACTCTTTTGGTGGAATTTGTAAGTGGAGAATTCAGCCGCTTTGAGGTCAACGGTAGAAAAGGAAATATCTTCGTATAAAAACTAGACAGAATGATTCTCAGAAACTGTTTTGTGATGTGTGCGTTCAACTCACAGAGTTTAACCTTTCTTTTCAAAGAGCAGTTAGGAAACACTCTGTTTGTAAAGTCTGCAAGTGGATATTCAGACCTCTTTGAAGCCTTCGTTGGAAACGGGATTTCATCATATTATGCTAGACAGATGAATTCTCAGTAACTTCCTTGTGTTGTGTGTATTCAACTCACAGAGTTGAACGATCCTTTACACAGAGCAGATTTGAAACACTGTTTTTCTGGAATTTGCAAGTGGAGATTTCAGCCGCTTTGAGGTCAATGGTAGAAAAGGAAATATCTTCGTATAAAAACTGGACAGAATGATTCTCAGAAACTCCTTTGTGATGTGTGCGTTCAACTCACAGAGTTTAACCTTTCTTTTCACAGAGCAGTTAGGAAACACTCTGTTTGTGAAGCCTGCCAGTGGATATTCGGACCTCTTTGAGGCCTTCGTTGGAAACGGGATTTCTTCATATTTTGCTAGACAGAAGATTTCTCAGTAACTTCTTTGTGTTGTGTGTATGCAACTCACAGAGTTCAACCTTCCTTTAGACAGAGCAGATTTGAAACACTCTTTTTGTGGAATTTGCAAGTGGAGATTTCAAGCGCTTCGATGCCAATGGTAGAAAAGGAAATATCTTCGTATAAAAACAAGACAAACTCGTTCCCAGACACTGCGTAGTGATGTGTGTGTTTAACTCACAGAGTTTAACCTTTCTTTTCATACAGCATTCTGGAAACCCTCTGTTTGTAAAGTCTGCAAGTGGATATTTGGACCTCTTAGATGCCTTCGTTGGAAACGGGATTTCCTCATATAATGCTAGAGGGAAGAATTCTTAGTAACTTCTTTGTGTTGTGTGTATTCAACTGACAGAGTTGAACCTTCCTTTAGACAGAGCAGATTTGAAAGTCTCTTTTTGTGGAATTTGCAAGTGGAGATTTCAAGCGCTTTGAGGCCAAAAGCAGAAAAGGAAATATTTTCCTATAAAAATTAGACAGAATCTTTCTCAGAAACTGCTCTGGGATGTGTGCGTTCAACTCACAGAGTTTAACTTTTCTTTTCATTCAGCAGTTTGGAAACACTCTGTTTGGAAAGTCTGCACGTGGATATTTTGACCTCTTTGAGGCCTTCGTTGGAAACGGGTTTTTTTCATGTAAGGCTAGACAGAAGAAATCTCAGTAACTTCCTTGTGTTGTGTGTATTCAACTGACAGAGTTGAACCTTCCTTTAGACAGAGCAGATTCGAAACACTCTTTTTCTGCAATTTGCAAGTGGAGACTTCAAGCGCTTTGAGGCCAAAGGCAGAAAAGGAAATATCTTCGTATAAAAACCCGACAGAATCATTCTCAGAAACTGCTCTGTGATGTGTGCGTTCAACTCACAGAGTTTAACTTTTCTTTTCATTCAGCAGTTTGGAAACACTCTGTTTGTAAAGTCTGCAAGTGGATATCTTGGCCTCTTAGAGGCCTTCGTTGGAAACGGGTTTTTTCATGTAAGGATAGACAGAGGAATTCCCAGTAACTTCCTTGTGTTGTGTGCATTCAACTCACAGAGTTGAATGATTCTTTACACAGAGCAGATTTGAGACACTCTTTTGGTGGAATTTGTAAGTGGAGAATTCAGCCGCTTTGAGGTCAACGGTAGAAAAGGAAATATCTTCGTATAAAAACTAGACAGAATGATTCTCAGAAACTGTTTTGTGATGTGTGCGTTCAACTCACAGAGTTTAACCTTTCTTTTCAGAGAGCAGTTAGGAAACACTCTGTTTGTAAAGTCTGCAAGTGGATATTCAGACCTCTTTGAGGCCTTCGTTGGAAACGGGATTTCTTCATATTATGCTAGACAGATGAATTCTCAGTAACTTCCTTGTGTTGTGTGTATTCAACTCACAGAGTTGAACGATCCTTTACACAGAGCAGATTTGAAACACTGTTTTTCTGGAATTTGCAAGTGGAGATGTCAGCCGCTTTGAGGTCAATGGTAGAAAAGGAAATATCTTCGTATAAAAACTAGACAGAATGATTCTCAGAAACTCCTTTGTGATGTGTGCGTTCAACTCACAGAGTTTAACCTTTCTTTTCACAGAGCAGTTAGGAAACACTCTGTTTGTGAAGCCTGCCAGTGGATATTCGGACCTCTTTGAGGCCTTCGTTGGAAACGGGATTTCTTCATATTATGCTAGACAGAAGATTTCTCAGTAACTTCTTTGTGTTGTGTGTATGCAACTCACAGAGTTCAACCTTCCTTTAGACAGAGCAGATTTGAAACACTCTTTTTGTGGAATTTGCAAGTGGAAATTTCAAGCGCATCGATGCCAATGGTAGAAAAGGAAATATCTTCGTATAAAAACAAGACAAACTCGTTCCCAGACACTGCGTAGTGATGTGTGTGTTTAACTCACAGAGTTTAACCTTTCTTTTCATACAGCATTCTGGAAACCCTGTGTTTGTAAAGTCTGCAAGTGGATATTTGGACCTCTTAGATGCCTTCGTTGGAAACGGGATTTCTTCATATAATGCTAGAGGGAAGAATTCTTAGTAACTTCTTTGTGTTGTGTGTATTCAACTGACAGAGTTGAACCTTCCTTTAGACAGAGCAGATTTGAAAGTCTCTTTTTGTGGAATTTGCAAGTGGAGATTTCAAGCGCTTTGAGGGCAAAAGCAGAAAAGGAAATATTTTCCTATAAAAACTAGACAATCTTTCTCAGAAACTGCTCTGGGATGTGTGCGTTCAACTCACAGAGTTTAACTTTTCTTTCCATTCAGCAGTTTGGAAACACTCTGTTTGGAAAGTCTGCACGTGGATATTTTGACCTCTTTGAGGCCTTCGTTAGAAACGGGTTTTTTTCATGTAAGGCTAGACAGAAGAAATCTCAGTAACTTCCTTGTGTTGTGTGTATTCAACTGACAGAGTTGAACCTTCCTTTAGACAGAGCAGATTCGAAACACTCTTTTTCTGCAATTTGCAAGTGGAGACTTCAAGCGCTTTGAGGCCAAAGGCAGAAAAGGAAATATCTTCGTATAAAAACCCGACAGAATCATTCTCAGAAACTGCTCTGTGATGTGTGCGTTCAACTCACAGAGTTTAACTTTTCTTTTCATTCAGCAGTTTGGAAACACTCTGTTTGTAAAGTCTGCAAGTGGATATCTTGGCCTCTTAGAGGCCTTCGTTGGAAACGGGTTTTTTCATGTAAGGTTAGACAGAGGAATTCCCAGTAACTTCCTTGTGTTGTGTGCATTCAACTCACAGAGTTGAATGATTCTTTACACAGAGCAGATTTGAGACACTCTTTTGGTGGAATTTGTTAGTGGAGAATTCAGCCGCTTTGAGGTCAACGGTAGAAAAGGATATATCTTCGTATAAAAACTAGACAGAATGATTCTCAGAAACTGTTTTGTGATGTGTGCGTTCAACTCACAGAGTTTAACCTTTCTTTTCAAAGAGCAGTTAGGAAACACTCTGTTTGTAAAGTCTGCAAGTGGATATTCAGACCTCTTTGAGGCCTTCGTTGGAAACGGGATTTCTTCATATTATGCTAGACAGATGAATTCTCAGTAACTTCCTTGTGTTGTGTGTATTCAACTCACAGAGTTGAACGATCCTTTACACAGAGCAGATTTGAAACACTGTTTTTCTGGAATTTGCAAGTGGAGATTTCAGCCGCTTTGAGGTCAATGGTAGAAAAAGAAATATCTTCGTATAAAAACTAGACAGAATGATTCTCAGAAACTCTTTTGTGATGTGTGCGTTCAACTCACAGAGTTTAACCTTTCTTTTCAACAGAGCAGTTAGGAAACACTCTGTTTGTGAAGCCTGCCAGTGGATATTCGGACCTCTTTGAGGCCTTCGTTGGAAACGGGATTTCTTCATATTATGCTAGACAGAAGATTTCTCAGTAACTTCTTTGTGTTGTGTGTATGCAACTCACAGAGTTCAACCTTCCTTTAGACAGAGCAGATTTGAAACACTCTTTTTGTGGAATTTGCAAGTGGAGATTTCAAGCGCTTTGAGGCCAAAAGCAGAAAAGGAAATATTTTCCTATAAAAACTAGACAGAATCTTTCTCAGAAACTGCTCTGTGATGTGTGCGTTCAACTCACAGAGTTTAACTTTTCTTTTCATTCAGCAGTTTGGAAACACTCTGTTTGTAAAGTCTGCAAGTGGATATCTTGGCCTCTTAGAGGCCTTCGTTGGAAACGGGTTTTTTCATGTAAGGATAGACAGAGGAATTCCCAGTAACTTCCTTGTGTTGTGTGCATTCAACTCACAGAGTTGAATGATTCTTTACACAGAGCAGATTTGAGACACTCTTTTGGTGGAATTTGTAAGTGGAGAATTCAGCCGCTTTGAGGTCAACGGTAGAAAAGGAAATATCTTCGTATAAAAACTAGACAGAATGATTCTCAGAAACTGTTTTGTGATGTGTGCGTTCAACTCACAGAGTTTAACCTTTCTTTTCAGAGAGCAGTTAGGAAACACTCTGTTTGTAAAGTCTGCAAGTGGATATTCAGACCTCTTTGAGGCCTTCGTTGGAAACGGGATTTCTTCATATTATGCTAGACAGATGAATTCTCAGTAACTTCCTTGTGTTGTGTGTATTCAACTCACAGAGTTGAACGATCCTTTACACAGAGCAGATTTGAAACACTGTTTTTCTGGAATTTGCAAGTGGAGATTTCAGCCGCTTTGAGGTCAATGGTAGAAAAGGAAATATCTTCGTAGAAAAACTAGACAGAATGATTCTCAGAAACTCCTTTGTGATGTGTGCGTTCAACTCACAGAGTTTAACCTTTCTTTTCACAGAGCAGTTAGGAAACACTCTGTTTGTGAAGCCTGCCAGTGGATATTCGGACCTCTTTGAGGCCTTCGTTGGAAACGGGATTTCTTCATATTTTGCTAGACAGAAGATTTCTCAGTAACTTCTTTGTGTTGTGTGTATGCAACTCACAGAGTTCAACCTTCCTTTAGACAGAGCAGATTTGAAACACTCTTTTTGTGGAATTTGCAAGTGGAGATTTCAAGCGCATCGATGCCAATGGTAGAAAAGGAAATATCTTCGTATAAAAACAAGACAAACTCGTTCCCAGACACTGCGTAGTGATGTGTGTGTTTAACTCACAGAGTTTAACCTTTCTTTTCATACAGCATTCTGGAAACCCTCTGTTTGTAAAGTCTGCAAGTGGATATTTGGACCTCTTAGATGCCTTCGTTGGAAACGGGATTTCCTCATATAATGCTAGAGGGAAGAAATCTCAGTAACTTCCTTGTGTTGTGTGTATTCAACTGACAGAGTTGAACCTTCCTTTAGACAGAGCAGATTCGAAACACTCTTTTTCTGCAATTTGCAAGTGGAGACTTCAAGCGCTTTGAGGCCAAAGGCAGAAAAGGATATATCTTCGTATAAAAACCCGACAGAATCATTCTCAGAAACTGCTCTGTGATGTGTGCGTTCAACTCACAGAGTTTAACTTTTCTTTTCATTCAGCAGTTTGGAAACACTCTGTTTGTAAAGTCTGCAAGTGGATATCTTGGCCTCTTAGAGGCCTTCGTTGGAAACGGGTTTTTTCCTGTAAGGTTAGACAGAGGAATTCCCAGTAACTTCCTTGTGTTGTGTGCATTCAACTCACAGAGTTGAATGATTCTTTACACAGAGCAGATTTGAGACACTCTTTAGGTGGAATTTGTTAGTGGAGAATTCAGCCGCTTTGAGGTCAACGGTAGAAAAGGAAATATCTTCGTATAAAAACTAGACAGAATGATTCTCAGAAACTGTTTTGTGATGTGTGCGTTCAACTCACAGAGTTTAACCTTTCTTTTCAAAGAGCAGTTAGGAAGCACTCTGTTTGTAAAGTCTGCAAGTGGATATTCAGACCTCTTTGAGGCCTTCGTTGGAAACGGGATTTCTTCATATTATGCTAGACAGATGAATTCTCAGTAACTTCCCTTGTGTTGTGTGTATTCAACTCACAGAGTTGAACGATCCTTTACACAGAGCAGATTTGAAACACTGTTTTTCTGGAATTTGCAAGTGGAGATTTCAGCCGCTTTGAGGTCAATGGTAGAAAAAGAAATATCTTCGTATAAAAACTAGACAGAATGATTCTCAGAAACTCCTTTGTGATGTGTGCGTTCAACTCACAGAGTTTAACCTTTCTTTTCACAGAGCAGTTAGGAAACACTCTGTTTGTGAAGCCTGCCAGTGGATATTCGGACCTCTTTGAGGCCTTCGTTGGAAACGGGATTTCTTCATATTATGCTAGACAGAAGATTTCTCAGTAACTTCTTTGTGTTGTGTGTATGCAACTCACAGAGTTCAACCTTCCTTTAGACAGAGCAGATTTGAAACACTCTTTTTGTGGAATTTGCAAGTGGAGATTTCAAGCACTTCGATGCCAATGGTAGAAAAGGAAATATCTTCGTATAAAAACAAGACAAACTCGTTCCCAGACACTGCGTAGTGATGTGTGTGTTTAACTCACAGAGTTTAACCTTTCTTTTCATACAGCATTCTGGAAACCCTCTGTTTGTAAAGTCTGCAAGTGGATATTTGGAACTCTTAGATGCCTTCGTTGGAAACGGGATTTCTTCATATAATGCTAGAGGGAAGAATTCTTAGTAACTTCTTTGTGTTGTGTGTATTCAACTGACAGAGTTGAACCTTCCTTTAGACAGAGCAGATTTGAAAGTCTCTTTTTGTGGAATTTGCAAGTGGAGATTTCAAGCGCTTTGAGGCCAAAAGCAGAAAAGGAAATATTTTCCTATAAAAACTAGACAGAATCATTCTCAGAAACTGCTCTGTGATGTGTGTGTTCAACTCACAGAGTTTAACTTTCTTTTCATTCAGCAGTTTGGAAACACTCTGTTTGGAAAGTCTGCACGTGGATATTTTGACCTCTTTGAGGCCTTCGTTGGAAACGGGTTTTTTTCATGTAAGGCTAGACAGAAGAAATCTCAGTAACTTCCTTGTGTTGTGTGTATTCAACTGACAGAGTTGAACCTTCCTTTAGACAGAGCAGATTCGAAACACTCTTTTTCTGCAATTTGCAAGTGGAGACTTCAAGCGCTTTGAGGCCAAAGGCAGAAAAGGAAATATCTTCGTATAAAAACCCGACAGAATCATTCTCAGAAACTGCTCTGTGATGTGTGCGTTCAACTCACAGAGTTTAACTTTTCTTTTCACTCAGCAGTTTGGAAACACTCTGTTTGTAAAGTCTGCAAGTGGATATCTTGGCCTCTTAGAGGCCTTCGTTGGAAACGGGTTTTTTCATGTAAGGTTAGACAGAGGAATTCCCAGTAACTTCCTTGTGTTGTGTGCATTCAACTCACAGAGTTGAATGATTCTTTACACAGAGCAGATTTGAGACACTCTTTTGGTGGAATTTGTTAGTGGAGAATTCAGCCGCTTTGAGGTCAACGGTAGAAAAGGAAATATCTTCGTATAAAAACTAGACAGAATGATTCTCAGAAACTGTTTTGTGATGTGTGCGTTCAACTCACAGAGTTTAACCTTTCTTTTCAAAGAGCAGTTAGGAAACACTCTGTTTGTAAAGTCTGCAAGTGGATATTCAGACCTCTTTGAGGCCTTCGTTGGAAACGGGATTTCTTCATATTATGCTAGACAGATGAATTCTCAGTAACTTCCTTGTGTTGTGTGTATTCAACTCACAGAGTTGAACGATCCTTTACACAGAGCAGATTTGAAACACTGTTTTTCTGGAATTTGCAAGTGGAGATTTCAGCCGCTTTGAGGTCAATGGTAGAAAAGGAAATATCTTCGTATAAAAACTAGACAGAATGATTCTCAGAAACTCCTTTGTGATGTGTGCGTTCAACTCACAGAGTTTAACCTTTCTTTTCACAGAGCAGTTAGGAAACACTCTGTTTGTGAAGCCTGCCAGTGGATATTCGGACCTCTTTGAGGCCTTCGTTGGAAACGGGATTTCTTCATATTATGCTAGACAGAAGATTTCTCAGTAACTTCTTTGTGTTGTGTGTATGCAACTCACAGAGTTCAACCTTCCTTTAGACAGAGCAGATTTGAAACACTCTTTTTGTGGAATTTGCAAGTGGAGATTTCAAGCGCTTCGATGCCAATGGTAGAAAAGGAAATATCTTCGTATAAAAACAAGACAAACTCGTTCCCAGACACTGCGTAGTGATGTGTGTGTTTAACTCACAGAGTTTCACCTTTCTTTTCATACAGCATTCTGGAAACCCTGTGTTTGTAAAGTCTGCAAGTGGATATTTGGACCTCTTAGATGCCTTCGTTGGAAACGGGATTTCTTCATATAATGCTAGAGGGAAGAATTCTTAGTAACTTCTTTGTGTTGTGTGTATTCAACTGACAGAGTTGAACCTTCCTTTAGACAGATCAGATTTGAAAGTCTCTTTTTGTGGAATTTGCAAGTGGAGATTTCAAGCGCTTTGAGGCCAAAAGCAGAAAAGGAAATATTTTCCTATAAAAACTCGACAGAATCTTTCTCAGAAACTGCTCTGGGATGTGTGCGTTCAACTCACAGAGTTTAACTTTTCTTTTCATTCAGCAGTTTGGAAACACTCTGTTTGGAAAGTCTGCACGTGGATATTTTGACCTCTTTGAGGCCTTCGTTGGAAACGGGTTTTTTTCATGTAAGGCTAGACAGAAGAAATCTCAGTAACTTCCTTGTGTTGTGTGTATTCAACTGAAAGAGTTGAACCTTCCTTTAGACAGAGCAGATTCGAAACACTCTTTTTCTGCAATTTGCAAGTGGAGACTTCAAGCGCTTTGAGGCCAAAGGCAGAAAAGGAAATATCTTCGTATAAAAACCCGACAGAATCATTCTCAGAAACTGCTCTGTGATGTGTGCGTTCAACTCACAGAGTTTAACTTTTCTTTTCATTCAGCAGTTTGGAAACACTCTGTTTGTAAAGTCTGCAAGTGGATATCTTGGCCTCTTAGAGGCCTTCGTTGGAAACGGGTTTTTTCATGTAAGGTTAGACAGAGGAATTCCCAGTAACTTCCTTGTGTTGTGTGCATTCAACTCACAGAGTTGAACGATTCTTTACACAGAGCAGATTTGAGACACTCTTTTGGTGGAATTTGTAAGTGGAGAATTCAGCCGCTTTGAGGTCAACGGTAGAAAAGGAAATATCTTCGTATAAAAACTAGACAGAATGATTCTCAGAAACTGTTTTGTGATGTGTGCGTTCAACTCACAGAGTTTAACCTTTCTTTTCAAAGAGCAGTTAGGAAACACTCTGTAAAGTCTGCAAGTGGATATTCAGACCTCTTTGAGGCCTTCGTTGGAAACGGGATTTCTTCATATTATGCTAGACAGATGAATTCTCAGTAACTTCCTTGTGTTGTGTGTATTCAACTCACAGAGTTGAACGATCCTTTACACAGAGCAGATTTGAAACACTGTTTTTCTGGAATTTGCAAGTGGAGATTTCAGCCGCTTTGAGGTCAATGGTAGAAAAGGAAATATCTTCGTATAAAAACTAGACAGAATGATTCTCAGAAACTCCTTTGTGATGTGTGCGTTCAACTCACAGGGTTTAACCTTTCTTTTCACAGAGCAGTTAGGAAACACTCTGTTTGTGAAGCCTGCCAGTGGATATTCGGACCTCTTTGAGGCCTTCGTTGGAAACGGGATTTCTTCATATTATGCTAGACAGAAGATTTCTCAGTAACTTCTTTGTGTTGTGTGTATGCAACTCACAGAGTTCAACCTTCCTTTAGACAGAGCAGATTTGAAACACTCTTTTTGTGGAATTTGCAAGTGGAGATTTCAAGCGCTTCGATGCCAATGGTAGAAAAGGAAATATCTTCGTATAAAAACAAGACAAACTCGTTCCCAGACACTGCGTAGTGATGTGTGTGTTTAACTCACAGAGTTTAACCTTTCTTTTCATACAGCATTCTGGAAACCCTCTGTTTGTAAAGTCTGCAAGTGGATATTTGGACCTCTTAGATGCCTTCGTTGGAAACGGGATTTCTTCATATAATGCTAGAGGGAAGAATTCTTAGTAACTTCTTTGTGTTGTGTGTATTCAACTGACAGAGTTGAACCTTCCTTTAGACAGAGCAGATTTGAAAGTCTCTTTTTGTGGAATTTGCAAGTGGAGATTTCAAGCGCTTTGAGGCCAAAAGCAGAAAAGGAAATATTTTCCTATAAAAACTAGACAGAATCTTTCTCAGAAACTGCTCTGGGATGTGTGCGTTCAACTCACAGAGTTTAACTTTTCTTTTCATTCAGCAGTTTGGAAACACTCTGTTTGGAAAGTCTGCACGTGGATATTTTGACCTCTTTGAGGCCTTCGTTGGAAACGGGTTTTTTTCATGTAACGCTAGACAGAAGAAATCTCAGTAACTTCCTTGTGTTGTGTGTATTCAACTGACAGAGTTGAACCTTCCTTTAGACAGAGCAGATTCGAAACACTCTTTTTCTGCAATTTGCAAGTGGAGACTTCAAGCGCTTTGAGGCCAAAGGCAGAAAAGGAAATATCTTCGTATAAAAACCCGACAGAATCATTCTCAGAAACTGCTCTGTGATGTGTGCGTTCAACTCACAGAGTTTAACTTTTCTTTTCATTCAGCAGTTTGGAAACACTCTGTTTGTAAAGTCTGCAAGTGGATATCTTGGCCTCTTAGAGGCCTTCGTTGGAAGCGGGTTTTTTCATGTAAGGATAGACAGAGGAATTCCCAGTAACTTCCTTGTGTTGTGTGCATTCAACTCACAGAGTTGAATGATTCTTTACACAGAGCAGATTTGAGACACTCTTTTGGTGGAATTTGTAAGTGGAGAATTCAGCCGCTTTGAGGTCAACGGTAGAAAAGGAAATATCTTCGTATAAAAACTAGACAGAATGATTCTCAGAAACTGTTTTGTGATGTGTGCGTTCAACTCACAGAGTTTAACCTTTCTTTTCAAAGAGCAGTTAGGAAACACTCTGTTTGTAAAGTCTGCAAGTGGATATTCAGACCTCTTTGAGGCCTTCGTTGGAAACGGGATTTCTTCATATTATGCTAGACAGATGAATTCTCAGTAACTTCCTTGTGTTGTGTGTATTCAACTCACAGAGTTAAACGATCCTTTACACAGAGCAGATTTGAAACACTGTTTTTCTGGAATTTTCAAGTGGAGATTTCAGCCGCTTTGAGGTCAACGGTAGAAAAGGAAATATCTTCGTATAAAAACTAGACAGAATGATTCTCAGAAACTCCTTTGTGATGTGTGCGTTCAACTCACAGGGTTTAACCTTTCTTTTCACAGAGCAGTTAGGAAACACTCTGTTTGTGAAGTCTGCCAGTGGATATTCGGACCTCTTTGAGGCCTTCGTTGGAAACGGGATTTCTTCATATTATGCTAGACAGAAGATTTCTCAGTAACTTCTTTGTGTTGTGTGTATGCAACTCACAGAGTTCAACCTTCCTTTAGACAGAGCAGATTTGAAACACTCTTTTTGTGGAATTTGCAAGTGGAGATTTCAAGCGCTTCGATGCCAATGGTAGAAAAGGAAATATCTTCGTATAAAAACAAGACAAACTCGTTCCCAGACACTGCGTAGTGATGTGTGTGTTTAACTCACAGAGTTTCACCTTTCTTTTCATACAGCATTCTGGAAACCCTGTGTTTGTAAAGTCTGCAAGTGGATATTTGGACCTCTTAGATGCCTTCGTTGGAAACGGGATTTCTTCATATAATGCTAGAGGGAAGAATTCTTAGTAACTTCTTTGTGTTGTGTGTATTCAACTGACAGAGTTGAACCTTCCTTTAGACAGAGCAGATTTGAAAGTCTCTTTTTGTGGAATTTGCAAGTGGAGATTTCAAGCGCTTTGAGGCCAAAAGCAGAAAAGGAAATATTTTCCTATAAAAACTCGACAGAATCTTTCTCAGAAACTGCTCTGGGATGTGTGCGTTCAACTCACAGAGTTTAACTTTTCATTCAGCAGTTTGGAAACACTCTGTTTGGAAAGTCTGCACGTGGATATTTTGACCTCTTTGAGGCCTTCGTTGGAAACGGGTTTTTTTCATGTAAGGCTAGACAGAAGAAATCTCAGTAACTTCCTTGTGTTGTGTGTATTCAACTGACAGAGTTGAACCTTCCTTTAGACAGAGCAGATTCGAAACACTCTTTTTCTGCAATTTGCAAGTGGAGACTTCAAGCGCTTTGAGGCCAAAGGCAGAAAAGGAAATATCTTCGTATAAAAACCCGACAGAATCATTCTCAGAAACTGCTCTGTGATGTGTGCGTTCAACTCACAGAGTTTAACTTTTCTTTTCATTCAGCAGTTTGGAAACACTCTGTTTGTAAAGTCTGCAAGTGGATATCTTGGCCTCTTAGAGGCCTTCGTTGGAAGCGGGTTTTTTCATGTAAGGTTAGACAGAGGAATTCCCACTAACTTCCTTGTGTTGTGTGCATTCAACTCACAGAGTTGAATGATTCTTTACACAGAGCAGATTTGAGACACTCTTTTGGTGGAATTTGTAAGTGGAGAATTCAGCCGCTTTGATGTCAACGGTAGAAAAGGAAATATCTTCGTATAAAAACTAGACAGAATGATTCTCAGAAACTGTTTTGTGATGTGTGCTTTCAACTCACAGAGTTTAACCTTTCTTTTCAAAGAGCAGTTAGGAAACACTCTGTTTGTAAAGTCTGCAAGTGGATATTCAGACCTCTTTGAGGCCTTCGTTGGAAACGGGATTTCTTCATATTATGCTAGACAGATGAATTCTCAGTAACTTCCTTGTGTTGTGTGTATTCAACTCACAGAGTTGAACGATCCTTTACACAGAGCAGATTTGAAACACTGTTTTTCTGGAATTTGCAAGTGGAGATTTCAGCCGCTTTGAGGTCAATGGTAGAAAAGGAAATATCTTCGTATAAAAACTAGACAGAATGATTCTCAGAAACTCCTTTGTGATGTGTGCATTCAACTCACAGAGTTTAACCTTTCTTTTCACAGAGCAGTTAGGAAACACTCTGTTTGTGAAGCCTGCCAGTGGATATTCGGACCTCTTTGAGGCCTTCGTTGGAAACGGGATTTCTTCATATTATGCTAGACAGAAGATTTCTCAGTAACTTCTTTGTGTTGTGTGTATGCAACTCACAGAGTTCAACCTTCCTTTAGACAGAGCAGATTTGAAACACTCTTTTTGTGGAATTTGCAAGTGGAGATTTCAAGCGCTTCGATGCCAATGGTAGAAAAGGAAATATCTTCGTATAAAAACAAGACAAACTCGTTCCCAGACACTGCGTAGTGATGTGTGTGTTTAACTCACAGAGTTTAACCTTTCTTTTCATACAGCATTCTGGAAACCCTCTGTTTGTAAAGTCTGGAAGTGGATATTTGGACCTCTTAGATGCCTTCATTGGAAACGGGATTTCTTCATATAATGCTAGAGGGAAGAATTCTTAGTAACTTCTTTGTGTTGTGTGTATTCAACTGACAGAGTTGAACCTTCCTTTAGACAGAGCAGATTTGAAAGTCTCTTTTTGTGGAATTTGCAAGTGGAGATTTCAAGCGCTTTGAGGCCAAAAGCAGAAAAGGAAATATTTTCCTATAAAAACTAGACAGAATCTTTCTCAGAAACTGCTCTGGGATGTGTGCGTTCAACTCACAGAGTTTAACTTTTCTTTTCATTCAGCAGTTTGGAAACACTCTGTTTGGAAAGTCTGCACGTGGATATTTTGACCTCTTTGAGGCCTTCGTTGGAAACGGGTTTTTTTCATGTAAGGCTAGACAGAAGAAATCTCAGTAACTTCCTTGTGTTGTGTGTATTCAACTGACAGAGTTGAACCTTCTTTTAGACAGAGCAGATTCGAAACACTCTTTTTCTGCAATTTGCAAGTGGAGACTTCAAGCGCTTTGAGGCCAAAGGCAGAAAAGGAAATATCTTCGTATAAAAACCCGACAGAATCATTCTCAGAAACTGCTCTGTGATGTGTGCGTTCAACTCACAGAGTTTAACTTTTCTTTTCATTCAGCAGTTTGGAAACACTCTGTTTGTAAAGTCTGCAAGTGGATATCTTGGCCTCTTAGAGGCCTTCGTTGGAAACGGGTTTTTTCATGTAAGGTTAGACAGAGGAATTCCCAGTAACTTCCTTGTGTTGTGTGCATTCAACTCACAGAGTTGAATGATTCTTTACACAGAGCAGATTTGAGACACTCTTTTGGTGGAATTTGTTAGTGGAGAATTCAGCCGCTTTGAGGTCAACGGTAGAAAAGGAAATATCTTCGTATAAAAACTAGACAGAATGATTCTCAGAAACTGTTTTGTGATGTGTGCGTTCAACTCACAGAGTTTAACCTTTCTTTTCAAAGAGCAGTTAGGAAACACTCTGTTTGTAAAGTCTGCAAGTGGATATTCAGACCTCTTTGAGGCCTTCGTTGGAAACGGGATTTCTTCATATTATGCTAGACAGATGAATTTCTCAGTAACTTCCCTTGTGTTGTGTGTATTCAACTCACAGAGTTGAACGATCCTTTACACAGAGCAGATTTGAAACACTGTTTTTCTGGAATTTGCAAGTGGAGATTTCAGCCGCTTTGAGGTCAATGGTAGAAAAGGAAATATCTTCGTATAAAAACTAGACAGAATGATTCTCAGAAACTCCTTTGTGATGTGTGCGTTCAACTCACAGAGTTTAACCTTTCTTTTCACAGAGCAGTTAGGAAACACTCTGTTTGTGAAGCCTGCCAGTGGATATGCGGACCTCTTTGAGGCCTTCGTTGGAAACGGGATTTCTTCATATTATGCTAGACAGAAGATTTCTCAGTAACTTCTTTGTGTTGTGTGTATGCAACTCACAGAGTTCAACCTTCCTTTAGACAGAGCAGATTTGAAACACTCTTTTTGTGGAATTTGCAAGTGGAGATTTCAAGCGCTTCGATGCCAATGGTAGAAAAGGAAATATCTTCGTATAAAAACAAGACAAACTCGTTCCCAGACACTGCGTAGTGATGTGTGTGTTTAACTCACAGAGTTTAACCTTTCTTTTCATACAGCATTCTGGAAACCCTCTGTTTGTAAAGTCTGCAAGTGGATATTTGGACCTCTTAGATGCCTTCGTTGGAACGGGATTTCCTCATATAATGCTAGAGGGAAGAATTCTTAGTAACTTCTTTGTGTTGTGTGTATTCAACTGACAGAGTTGAACCTTCCTTTAGACAGAGCAGATTTGAAAGTCTCTTTTTGTGGAATTTGCAAGTGGAGATTTCAAGCGCTTTGAGGCCAAAAGCAGAAAAGGAAATATTTTCCTATAAAAACTAGACAGAATCTTTCTCAGAAACTGCTCTGGGATGTGTGCGTTCAACTCACAGAGTTTAACTTTTCTTTTCATTCAGCAGTTTGGAAACACTCTGTTTGGAAAGTCTGCACGTGGATATTTTGACCTCTTTGAGGCCTTCGTTGGAAACGGGTTTTTTTCATGTAAGGCTAGACAGAAGAAATCTCAGTAACTTCCTTGTGTTGTGTGTATTCAACTGACAGAGTTGAACCTTCCTTTAGACAGAGCAGATTCGAAACACTCTTTTTCTGCAATTTGCAAGTGGAGACTTCAAGCGCTTTGAGGCCAAAGGCAGAAAAGGAAATATCTTCGTATAAAAACCCGACAGAATCATTCTCAGAAACTGCTCTGTGATGTGTGCGTTCAACTCACAGAGTTTAACTTTTCTTTTCATTCAGCAGTTTGGAAACACTCTGTTTGTAAAGTCTGCATGTGGATATCTTGGCCTCTTAGAGGCCTTCGTTGGAAACGGGTTTTATCATGTAAGGTTAGACAGAGGAATTCCCAGTAACTTCCTTGTGTTGTGTGCATTCAACTCACAGAGTTGAACGATTCTTTACACAGAGCAGATTTGAGACACTCTTTTGGTGGAATTTGTAAGTGGAGAATTCAGCCGCTTTGAGGTCAACGGTAGAAAAGGAAATATCTTCGTATAAAAACTAGACAGAATGATTCTCAGAAACTGTTTTGTGATGTGTGCGTTCAACTCACAGAGTTTAACCTTTCTTTTCAGAGAGCAGTTAGGAAACACTCTGTAAAGTCTGCAAGTGGATATTCAGACCTCTTTGAGGCCTTCCTTGGAAACGGGATTTCTTCATATTATGCTAGACAGATGAATTCTCAGTAACTTCCTTGTGTTGTGTGTATTCAACTCACAGAGTTGAACGATCCTTTACACAGAGCAGATTTGAAACACTGTTTTTCTGGAATTTGCAAGTGGAGATTTCAGCCGCTTTGAGGTCAATGGTAGAAAAGGAAATATCTTCGTATAAAAACTAGACAGAATGATTCTCAGAAACTCCTTTGTGATGTGTGCGTTCAACTCACAGAGTTTAACCTTTCTTTTCACAGAGCAGTTAGGAAACACTCTGTTTGTGAAGCCTGCCAGTGGATATTCGGACCTCTTTCAGGCCTTCGTTGGAAACGGGATTTCTTCATATTATGCTAGACAGAAGATTTCTCAGTAACTTCTTTGTGTTGTGTGTATGCAACTCACAGAGTTCAACCTTCCTTTAGACAGAGCAGATTTGAAACACTCTTTTTGTGGAATTTGCAAGTGGAGATTTCAAGCGCTTCGATGCCAATGGTAGAAAAGGAAATATCTTCGTATAAAAACAAGACAAACTCGTTCCCAGACACTGCGTAGTGATGTGTGTGTTTAACTCACAGAGTTTAACCTTTCTTTTCATACAGCATTCTGGAAACCCTCTGTTTGTAAAGTCTGCAAGTGGATATTTGGACCTCTTAGATGCCTTCGTTGGAAACGGGATTTCTTCATATAATGCTAGAGGGAAGAATTCTTAGTAACTTCTTTGTGTTGTGTGTATTCAACTGACAGAGTTGAACCTTCCTTTAGACAGAGCAGATTCGAAACACTCTTTTTCTGCAATTTGCAAGTGGAGACTTCAAGCGCTTTGAGGCCAAAGGCAGAAAAGGAAATATCCTTCGTATAAAAACCCGACAGAATCATTCTCAGAAACTGCTCTGTGATGTGTGCGTTCAACTCACAGAGTTTAACTTTTCTTTTCATTCAGCAGTTTGGAAACACTCTGTTTGTAAAGTCTGCAAGTGGATATCTTGGCCTCTTAGAGGCCTTCGTTTGAAACGGGTTTTTTCATGTAAGGTTAGACAGAGGAATTCCCAGTAACTTCCTTGTGTTGTGTGCATTCAACTCACAGAGTTGAATGATTCTTTACACAGAGCAGATTTGAGACACTCTTTTGGTGGAATTTGTAAGTGGAGAATTCAGCTGCTTTGAGGTCAACGGTAGAAAAGGAAATATCTTCGTATAAAAACTAGACAGAATGATTCTCAGAAACTGTTTTGTGATGTGTGCGTTCAACTCACAGAGTTTAACCTTTCTTTTCAAAGAGCAGTTAGGAAACACTCTGTTTGTAAAGTCTGCAAGTGGATATTCAGACCTCTTTGAGGCCTTCGTTGGAAACGGGATTTCTTCATATTATGCTAGACAGAATAATTCTCAGTAACTTCCTTGTGTTGTGTGTATTCAACTCACAGAGTTGAACGATCCTTTACACAGAGCAGATTTGAAACACTGTTTTTCTGGAATTTGCAAGTGGAGATTTCAGCTGCTTTGAGGTCAATGGTAGAAAAGGAAATATCTTCGTATAAAAACTAGACAGAATGATTCTCAGAAACTCCTTTGTGATGTGTGCGTTCAACTCACAGAGTTTAACCTTTCTTTTCACAGAGCAGTTAGGAAACACTCTGTTTGTGAAGCCTGCCAGTGGATATTCGGACCTCTTTGAGGCCTTCGTTGGAAACGGGATTTCTTCATATTATGCTAGACAGAAGATTTCTCAGTAACTTCTTTGTGTTGTGTGTATGCAACTCACAGAGTTCAACCTTCCTTTAGACAGAGCAGATTTGAAACACTCTTTTTGTGGAATTTGCAAGTGGAGATTTCAAGCGCTTCGATGCCAATGGTAGAAAAGGAAATATCTTCGTATAAAAACAAGACAAACTCGTTCCCAGACACTGCGTAGTGATGTGTGTGTTTAACTCACAGAGTTTCACCTTTCTTTTCATACAGCATTCTGGAAACCCTGTGTTTGTAAAGTCTGCAAGTGGATATTTGGACCTCTTAGATGCCTTCGTTGGAAACGGGATTTCTTCATATAATGCTAGAGGGAAGAATTCTTAGTAACTTCTTTGTGTTGTGTGTATTCAACTGACAGAGTTGAACCTTCCTTTAGACAGAGCAGATTTGAAAGTCTCTTTTTGTGGAATTTGCAAGTGGAGATTTCAAGCGCTTTGAGGCCGAAAGCAGAAAAGGAAATATTTTCCTATAAAAACTCGACAGAATCTTTCTCAGAAACTGCTCTGGGATGTGTGCGTTCAACTCACAGAGTTTAACTTTTCTTTTCATTCAGCAGTTTGGAAACACTCTGTTTGGAAAGTCTGCACGTGGATATTTTGACCTCTTTGAGGCCTTCATTGGAAACGGGTTTTTTTCATGTAAGGCTAGACAGAAGAAATCTCAGTAACTTCCTTGTGTTGTGTGTATTCAACTGACAGAGTTGAACCTTCCTTTAGACAGAGCAGATTCGAAACACTCTTTTTCTGCAATTTGCAAGTGGAGACTTCAAGCGCTTTGAGGCCAAAGGCAGAAAAGGAAATATCTTCGTATAAAAACCCGACAGAATCATTCTCAGAAACTGCTCTGTGATGTGTGCGTTCAACTCACAGAGTTTAACTTTTCTTTTCATTCAGCAGTTTGGAAACACTCTGTTTGTAAAGTCTGCAAGTGGATATCTTGGCCTCTTAGAGGCCTTCGTTGGAAACGGGTTTTTTCATGTAAGGATAGACAGAGGAATTCCCAGTAACTTCCTTGTGTTGTGTGCATTCAACTCACAGAGTTGAATGATTCTTTACACAGAGCAGATTTGAGACACTCTTTTGGTGGAATTTGTAAGTGGAGAATTCAGCCGCTTTGAGGTCAACGGTAGAAAAGGAAATATCTTTCGTATAAAAACTAGACAGAATGATTCTCAGAAACTGTTTTGTGATGTGTGCGTTCAACTCACAGAGTTTAACCTTTCTTTTCAAAGAGCAGTTAGGAAACACTCTGTTTGTAAAGTCTGCAAGTGGATATTCAGACCTCTTTGAGGCCTTCGTTGGAAACGGGATTTCTTCATATTATGCTAGACAGATGAATTCTCAGTAACTTCCTTGTGTTGTGTGTATTCAACTCACAGAGTTGAACGATCCTTTACACAGAGCAGATTTGAAACACTGTTTTTCTGGAATTTGCAAGTGGAGATTTCAGCCGCTTTGAGGTCAATGGTAGAAAAAGAAATATCTTCGTATAAAAACTAGACAGAATGATTCTCAGAAACTCCTTTGTGATGTGTGCGTTCAACTCACAGAGTTTAACCTTTCTTTTCACAGAGCAGTTAGGAAACACTCTGTTTGTGAAGCCTGCCAGTGGATATTCGGACCTCTTTGAGGCCTTCGTTGGAAACGGGATTTCTTCATATTATGCTAGACAGAAGATTTCTCAGTAACTTCTTTGTGTTGTGTGTATGCAACTCACAGAGTTCAACCTTCCTTTAGACAGAGCAGATTTGAAACACTCTTTTTGTGGAATTTGCAAGTGGAGATTTCAAGCGCTTCGATGCCAATGGTAGAAAAGGAAATATCTTCGTATAAAAACAAGACAAACTCGTTCCCAGACACTGCGTAGTGATGTGTGTGTTTAACTCACAGAGTTTAACCTTTCTTTTCATACAGCATTCTGGAAACCCTCTGTTTGTAAAGTCTGCAAGTCGATATTTGGACCTCTTAGATGCCTTCGTTGGAAACGGGATTTCTTCATATAATGCTAGAGGGAAGAATTCTTAGTAACTTCTTTGTGTTGTGTGTATTCAACTGACAGAGTTGAACCTTCCTTTAGACAGAGCAGATTTGAAAGTCTCTTTTTGTGGAATTTGCAAGTGGAGATTTCAAGCGCTTTGAGGCCAAAAGCAGAAAAGGAAATATTTTCCTATAAAAACTAGACAGAATCATTCTCAGAAACTGCTCTGTGATGTGTGCGTTCAACTCACAGAGTTTAACTTTTCTTTTCATTCAGCAGTTTGGAAACACTCTGTTTGTAAAGTCTGCAAGTGGATATCTTGGCCTCTTAGAGGCCTTCGTTGGAAACGGGTTTTTTCATGTAAGGTTAGACAGAGGAATTCCCAGTAACTTCCTTGTGTTGTGTGCATTCAACTCACAGAGTTGAATGATTCTTTACACAGAGCAGATTTGAGACACTCTTTTGGTGGAATTTGTAAGTGGAGAATTCAGCCGCTTTGAGGTCAACGGTAGAAAAGGAAATATCTTCGTATAAAAACTAGACAGAATGATTCTCAGAAACTGTTTTGTGATGTGTGCGTTCAACTCACAGAGTTTAACCTTTCTTTTCAAAGAGCAGTTAGGAAACACTCTGTTTGTAAAGTCTGCAAGTGGATATTCAGACCTCTTTGAGGCCTTCGTTGGAAACGGGATTTCTTCATATTATGCTAGACAGATGAATTCTCAGTAACTTCCTTGTGTTGTGTGTATTCAACTCACAGAGTTGAACGATCCTTTACACAGAGCAGATTTGAAACACTGTTTTTCTGGAATTTGCAAGTGGAGATTTCAGCCGCTTTGAGGTCAATGGTAGAAAAGGAAATATCTTCGTATAAAAACTAGACAGAATGATTCTCAGAAACTCCTTTGTGATGTGTGCGTTCAACTCACAGAGTTTAACCTTTCTTTTCACAGAGCAGTTAGGAAACACTCTGTTTGTGAAGCCTGCCAGTGGATATTCGGACCTCTTTGAGGCCTTCGTTGGAAACGGGATTTCTTCATATTATGCTAGACAGAAGATTTCTCAGTAACTTCTTTGTGTTGTGTGTATGCAACTCACAGAGTTCAACCTTCCTTTAGACAGAGCAGATTTGAAACACTCTTTTTGTGGAATTTGCAAGTGGAGATTTCAAGCGCTTCGATGCCAATGGTAGAAAAGGAAATATCTTCGTA